>NC_000002.12:235065375-235368405 GCF_000001405.40 Homo sapiens | reverse complement strand
GGTACCTGTGTGTCAATGTGCTTACCATGGTCTTGTCACCAGCATGTCACACTGAGACCGAAAACGTTATGTCCTTGTGCAATCTCTTCTGCTGCCTCCTTTTCCCTAGTACTTTTGCTGGGGCAGAGCACAGGTATGGGATGTGACGCTTCCACATTTTCAGAGCTGACATAGACCAAAGGCTTTTTATAGATGAGGAAATGAAAATGATGATTTTGAGCATGAAAATAACATGATCTAATTTAAGTTGAAAGTAGATTGCAGGGGACAGAGCAGACAGAGAGAGCCCAGGTAGAAAACCTTGCTAGTCTGAGAGAGGTGAAGGTGCTTCAGACTGGTGTGGCGGTAGTGAGGGTGAGAATCGGTCAGATCCTGGGTATATTTGCAGGTGGAGTTGGCGTGGCTTGCCAATGGATTGGATATAGAGAGTGAAAGAAAAGAGAAGGGTTAAGAAGGAGGTCATTGTTTTGGCCTGATCATGTTGGTGAATGAGCTTGCCCCTTACTGATATGGGCTGTGCTGGTGGAGAAATGGGTGAGAAGAGTTAAAATAAGAATTCTATTTTGGACAGGAAAAGTTTGAGATGCTGATGTGACATCCAAGGAGTAGTGAGGAGTAGAACATTGGATGGGTGGGCGAGGAAGCTCAGGAAGGGATTGAGGCAGGACAAATGTGGTTAGGACCAGCTGACCTTTGGATCCGGTGATGCGGAGGTCTTGGTGACCTTAACCAGGTTCGATTCAGTGGAGTGATGAGGAGAAGACCTTGCTGGAATGGGGTGAAGAGTGAGGGGAGGGTGAGGAGGTGGAAGTGCATTTATGGATGGCTCTATTTTTTTTTTTTTTTGAGGTAGAGTCTCACTCTGTCACCCAGGCTGGAGTGCAGTGGTGCCATCTTGGCTCACTGCAACCTCTATCACCTGGGTATAAGAGGTTCTCCTGTCTCAGCCTCCCGAGTAGCTGGGATGACAGGCACCCACCACCACACCCGGCTAATTTTTATACTTTTAATGTAGACAGGGTTTCACCATGTTGGCCAGGCTGGTCTCAAACTCCTGACCTCAAGTGATCTACCCATCTCGGCCTCCCAAAGTGCTGGGATTATAGGACTCAGCCATGCACCTGTCCTGGACAGCTCTTTTCAAGAGCTTTGTCATAAAGAGCAGGGGAATGTGGTGGGGTTGGAAGTGGGGTCCACAGACCATCAAGCATATCTGGATGATTTCCTGACCGGGGCTCCTGGCCCTGCCTGCTGGCTGCTTTTTCCCCCTAGCGACTCATAATGGCTCATGCCCATGGAACCTGCCCTAGGACAGGTGGTAATGTGCGTGGTTGGACTTCAATGAGGCACCTCATTAAAGCTGACACATCCTGCTGTAATGAAGCCACGCTTCACAATTCACAACCCGCTGCCTAAAAATAACAACATCGTGGAACCCTTGCCCAGCACTTTGCCAGCTAATTAGCTCATTCCTGCCCCTTAACGATTTGATTTATGTAGCTCCTCCCTCAGTGAGGCAAGCTCCTAGGTAAGGAAGTGCAGAGACATTGGGTGACCTGCCAAGGATGTCCCAGATCTGCACCGGGTTCAAGGTCCACACCCTCTTTTCCTAACTTGCTGATGGCTCCCCAAGCCATGGAATGAATGGGCCTGCCTCTGTTCAGTTTCTGGCTGGGTGGTCAGGAAGCTGTCCTTCCTCGGGGAAGGAAGAATGTGCTTCAATATTCTGGGAGCAGAGAGTGGCAGGAGCTAGAGCCTGGGGCATGGGTTGAAGCCATGTAGAGTCTGAAAGACCTGTTCCGTGGGAGGGCCAGGTGGAGTCACCGTGGTGTCAGCCGGAAGCTCGGGTGTGAGCCTGCCTAGCTGTGCTCCAGCCCCTCCCCTGGTCCTTCCCCATTATCGCCCAAGCCATCACATTCTAATAAGACCAAAGGGTGAGCTTCATTGCTGTTTTAAAAAATTCATGTATTCATTTGCTCTTCTATCTTGTTCTAAAACAAGAGAGACTTCCCCAGTGTCAGGGCTATGAAGGACAAGGTGTAGCCAGCTCCCATGCCAGGCAGACTATGGCACCAGGGCAGCCTGACCAATTCCCCGGACCAAATCCCTCTTGGACTTTCTGCCCTTCCCCGTAGCTCAGGCTACTGAGTTGTGTTCAAGGGGAAAATGCTGCTGCGTCTGTTTAGCTGGGAGCTGGCTCCTCTCACTGGGTGAATTAGTGGCTGATGGACAGCAAGAGAAGGGGACATTTGGAGTGCAAAGTGGACACTGTCCCATCCCTCTGGGGGGATTTTCCCCTGAATAAAAGAGCACACTACTAGTATCTGTGTAGGTACATAGATAATGGCAACTTATTAAAGTCCTGAGTGCCTTGAAGACAAAGTTCAGAGATTCTCATATTACAGATGAAAAGAGACCTCCACTTTGTATTGTCCAAGAATCTTGGGGCTTTCTTGGCTGAGGGCCAGCTCTGCTTCTGAACGCTTCTAGGGGAGGGAGGATGTAGGATGTCAGCCCCTGCACAGCCCCCAGCTCTGCTGCCAGTGCTCCTGCCTCCCTGCGTGGCTGGAGGAAGCAGCCCTGCCTTGCGTGGTGTGCTTGGCTCTGCTGCAAGGGTGCCCGTTGGTGTCCCAGAGCCCTGCCCACCTTGGTAGGGCCCATTCCTGGGCTTGTGAGTTTCCAGCTCTCTTTATTTCTGACTTCTTTGTTCTGCGCTGGTGGCTGGAGTGGGGGCAACTTCCAGCATTACTGCTTTCCCCCCAGATGGCTCCTCCCTTGCAAGATGGGCCTTCTGGCCCAGACCCCCTTCCCACAGCAGCTCTTGCCTCAGCTCCTTGGAGCCTTTTCCTGCTGATAAACTTCAGGTGGATGCTTTGGGGAATCCTTAGGAGACCCATGAGTGTACAGCTGCACCCTCTCAATGGGACAGATGAGCCTAATAGATGGGGACCACTGTCCTTCAGTAAGTAAGGTCAAGCTTGTGAGCTTTCTCAGGCTGTCTGTGGTGGATCCCAACCGAGGAAAGAGAAGTGCAGCCCAGAAACCAGGCAGGGAAATTTGTTTAAACAACTTGCTTCTTTTCTTCCCTCCTTCCCTCCCTCCCTCCCTCCCTCCCTCCTTCCCTCCCTCCCTTTTTTCCATGTGGGTGCCTCCATGGACAGGTTAGGAAGACCTTATCTTTGCATCCCAAAGAGGAATAAAGCAAGTTAAAACTGGAGTTTTACTACAGCCCTGCAACTTTCATTCCAAGGTATGGAGGGGGAGTTTCAGAACATCCCCACCTGTTCACTGGAAGGGAACCCTGTGGTCCCTGCAGGGCGCAGAGGTGGGTCCTCCCTTCTCAGTCACTGAGTGGCAACCTCTGACTCTCAAAGACACTCCCTGGGGCTCAGGCCACCCCCACTGTCTACAGGCAGAAGTCAAGGGTGGGTTGGCAGCTTCTGCGGAGAGTATGAAGTCATGTTTGATGGGGAATGGAGGGCACAGAAAACCCTGTCCCTGGCTTCTGTCCATGGTGTCCAGAGATGTCTGTCTTGCTGCAGTTGCAACCACTCATGTGATGGGGGCTCCTGAGAGGAGACAGTGCCTTGTGGGGCAGACGCTATGACTGCGACCGTCTCAGTGTGTCCGTGGGAAGACACGGCCCAGACAAGGCCCAGCCTTGGTGGAACCATCCAGAGGGTCCTGCCGCCCCTGTCCGCAAGGCCATGGCTAGCTGATGGCACTCCTTCCGTGACATTGGAGAGGCCTCTCGAGTGAATCTTCCTAGGACCTGCGAAGTCAGTCCAGGTTGACGGAGGTGGCTGCTGTCCACCAGGTCAGAGAAGAAGCAGGCAGTGTTAACAGCAGTCCTCTTGCTGATCATTTCAGAGTCCTCTCCCCCAACCTGGCCCCTGCTAAAAAGAGACAGCAGAGAGTAGACTACTGTTAACTTCCCTACAGTCGGTTGACAATTTGTCAGAGACAAGGGCTTTACAAACCACTTAAATACAACCCCCTACCCTGCAAAAGAGCAGCTGACGGCCTCTAAAGGCAGATAGCATTTTGCTAAATTAGTGGACATATTCACAGTTTTAAGCCCTGTAACCACATAGGTGATGCTGCTGGCAGAGTATTCCCTGCTTGCTATGCTCACTCTCTCCCGAAGAAATTTTCTTGCCTGTGAAAAACAGGCTATGATTAAGGTATTAAGATGACTTAGTGACTGATGAGACTGAGCGTCTGTCCTGCTTCCATCACTGCTTCCACAGACATTAATTCTGATCTTGGCTGTTACTGACCCGGAACAGGGAAATCGCCTTCTCCTCTGCTGCCTTTCGCACAGAGCCTCATCAATCCTGCACTGAGATCTTCACTGCTGAGGGATCTTGTTCCCATGGAATGTGGGCTGAGCATTTCTCAAAGGACACTGTGTAGGCTGGGCATGGTGGCTCACGCCTGTAACCCCCACCCGCCAAGGCAAGTGGATCGCCTGAGGTCAGGAATTCAAGACCAGCCTAGGCAACATGGTGAAACCCCGTCTCTACTAAAAATACAAAAGTAGCAGGGTGTGGTGGTGCATATCTATAATTCCAGCTACTTGGGAGGCTGAGGTGGGAGAATTGATTGAACCTGGGAAGTGCAGGTTGCAGTGAGCTGAGATGGTGCCACTGCACTCCAGCCTGGGCAACAGAGTGAAACTCTGTCTCAAAAAAAAAAAAAAAAAAAAGGACACTGTGTGCCGTGGAACTCTAGCTCTGGGGAATGTTCATGGACAGACGGAAAAATACAGTGATTTGGGACATACTGGGTCAAGCTGGCCTTCTCAGCACAGGACAACTCAGGGTCCTTACCTGTGTACAAATGTGTGTGTATCTCCCAAAGAGAGAGGAAATACACAATGGTACTCGTCAAATTAGTTAACTAAAGAGGCCTTGTATGGAGACCACCTGTGACACTCCTCAGGAAGATATTTTGGGAAAAGCTGCCGTAAAAGGAATGATTGAGTCTTCTCAATGTCTAGTAGCAATGTAGCCTGAGCCACAAATGCGAGCCACATTTGTAATGTTAACTTCCCAGGCTGGATGCAATGGCTTATGCCTATAATTCCAACACTTTGGGAGGCCAAGGTGGGAGCATCACTTGAGTCCAGCCTGGGCAACATGGCGAAACCCTGTCTCTACAAAAGAATACAAAAATTAGCTGGGTGTGGTGGTATGGAACAGCTGGGTGTGGTTTTAGCTACTCTGGAAGCTGAGCTGGGAGAATCACCTGAGCATGGGAGGCAGAGGTTGCAGTGAGCCATGATTGCACCACTGCACTTCCAGCCTGGGCAACGAAGCAAGACCGTGTCTCAAAAAAGAACAAAAACCAGGTGAAATTAATTTTAATAAGATATTTTATTGTGTATTATAATATGTCTTATAAAATTAACTTTTCCTGCCACTTGCCTCTTTTTACTTTTTTTTTTTTATTGTGGCTGCTAGATGATTTAAAATTACTTAAGTGGGTTGCTGTAGGTGAGTTGGATGCACGCTGGAGCATGAGAACTGCTGACCTAAAGCTTAGGAGTTGCAGGAACTTTAGAAATACCAGGTATCATTGCTAGGATTGTGCTGCAGGCCAGGAAAATGAAGGGGGAGTTGCTTACTCCCTAGGAAACAGGTCAGAGGGGCAGGAACTTGAACTTTTCATTTTATGTCCCTTTGCATTTGTTTTGCATCATTAAACTAAATAAAATGAATTCAAACTAAACAAACACCAAAACAACAAATACAATAAAAGTTAGAAGAATTGAGGCAATGGGCATTTTCAGCATTTCATTGATGGGGAGAGGAAGGAAAGCAACCCATTTTCTCACTGCTGACTCAAGTGGCAGACACTCCGTAAATTCCACCCATCTCTATATAAATTTACATAGATGCAAGTATCTTGCTACTGCCATGCAAATTGGTCCCATCTCTTTAGAATTAATGCCTTTGGTACTTACATAAAAACAATGCAATTTGGGGGTAGTCTGAGCCTTCCTTTCAGTTAATCATATCAGCCCCACGCATTTTTATATGTAGAGAGGAAGACAAGAGTGTGGAAGGCAGAGGTGGGTAAGTTTTCATTGGGTTCACATTTTAGCTGCGCTTGTGCCAGGGGACTGCTATAAACTGAAAAGAGGTGGCAGAGCTGAGCGGGCAGATCTCCCCCTGCGTTGTTGGTGTGTTGATCATGGAGGCACACGTGGCAGAGGTTGCATCGCACCCGCATCACTGGGCACCAAGATCCTGCCAATAAAGAAAGCAGGTTCATGATCACAAGAATGGGAACATCGCGACAAGAAGCTCTCTTACAAAGCCTAAAAGAAGTCTCATTTTGTTTTCTGTTCTTTATTTTTTATTTTTTGCATTTATGGGAGAATGAAATGGAAAGAAGTGTTAACTGAGGGCGTGTGCGGCTGAAGGTGGAAGTCATCGTCCAGGATGATTTAGGAATAGGAAGATGGACAGAATCCTGGTGTGGAAGGAAGTCATACATGATTGAGATGCTCTTTTCATCTCTAAATGATCCTCTCTTTCAGATGTGTAGACTTTAAGAGCAAGATCTTTAAGTTTTGGAAGAAACCAGACTTTTCCTATCGGGGTGCTAAAGATGAGACAGTAAGGGGCAGCTTGTTTTTCTCTTGACTACTGCCTATTTAGAATTATTATTATTATTATTTGAGATGGAGTCTTGCTTTGTCCTCCAGGCTGGAGTGCAGTGGTGTGATCTCAGCTCACTGCAACCTCCATCTCCCAGGTTCAAGCGATTCTCCTGCCTCAGCCTCCTGAGTAGCTGGGATTACAGGCATCCACCACCATGCCCAGCTAATTTTTGTATTTTTAGTAGAGATGGGGTTTTGCCATGTTGGCCAGGCTGGTCTTGAACTCCTGACCTCAGGTGATCTGCCCACCTCAGCCTCCCAGACTGTTGGGATTACAAGCGTGAGCCACTGCGCCCAGCCTAGAATCATTTTTAAAAGACTTGCTGGCAACATGGTGTTTTCAAAGAACAGTAAGGGAGGGTGCTTCAGTCCAACAGTAAGCCAAATGCTTTTAGGTGTGAGGTTGTCTGTCTTTTGTAAGCCCGGTAATGCGACAGACATTCCCAGCTAAGCTGAGCCTGCAATCTTGGAGCTGCCCTGTATTTCTATTCTCTAAAAACATGTGTATTAGTCACGGTTCTCCAAAGATACAGAACTAATAGGATGTGTGGGTTTGTATAGACAGAAAGAGATTTATTTCAAGGAATTGGCTCACATGATGATGGAGCTGGCAAATCCAGACTCTGCAGGAAGGGCCGTCAGGCTGGAGACCCAGGAGAAAGCCGAGGCTGCAGCTCAAGGCTGAGGGTTGTCTGCTGCAGAATTCCTTCTTGCTTGAGGGAAGTCAGTCTCTTTGTTCTGTTCGGACCTTCAACAAATTGGATGAGGCCCCCCTCCCACATTAGGTAGGGCAACCTGCTTTACTCAAAGTCCACTGATTTCAATGTCAGTCTCATCCGAAAACAGCCTTATAGAGAGACCCAGAATAATGTCTAACTACCTGTCAGAGTGCCCTGTGGCCCAGCCAAGTTAACACATAAAATTGGCTATCACATGGTATGGCCTGGTATATCACAGGAGAGGCTCTTCAAACAGAATTGTATTTAATCCCTTCAGGTTTGAGGAAATGGAAACTTGGCATGTTGAAGCCACTTGTCCAAGGGCCCTCAGCTTGGCCCTCCCAGGCCCAATGTGTCTCTATGTTGGGAGGTCACCTCCACTAACCAGGTCCGTGATAAGTGGGAGAGCCTGTGCGTGCAAGAGGTTTGCTAGTCTTGCTTCCGAGGAGGGCTCAGGTTCTGCAACAGAAGGAAACTACTGCGAGGGTCCTGCCACTTTTCAGGAAGCAAAATATCAATGAAACATACTTTTTCAATTGTTAGTGTTTTTCAACCTTAAGTTTTTCTTTTCTTTCTTTCTTTTTTTTTTTTTTTTTTGAGACAGAGTCTCACTCTGTCACCCAGGCTGGAGTGCAGGGACTCGATCCCAGCTCACTGCAACCTCCGACTCCCGGGTTCAAAAGATTCTCCTGCCTCAGCCTCCTGAGTAGGTGGCATTGCAGGCACATGCCAACACACCCAGCTAATTTTTGTAGTTTTTAGTAGAAATGGGGTTTCACCATGTTGGCCAGGCTGGTCTCAAAATCCTGACCTCAGGTGATCCGCCCGCCTTGGCCTCCCAAAGAGCTGGGATGACAGACATGAGCCAGTGTGCCCAGATCAACCTTAAGTTTTCTTAAAGCATTGGCATCTGCCTCTGCTTTCCTGCTAGTGGGTGCTAACAGGCCATGCAGCCATCCCGCAGAAGCAAGCCCCCACCACAGCAGCACATTAAACCAGTAAGCCTCTTCCTCTGGAGTTGTTTGAATCCTGGCCCAGCCACCTCTTGGTCACATGACCCTGGGCACGGTGCATAGCCTTGCTGTGGCTCCCTCTCTTCATCCACATGAGTCCCCCCTTCCAGAGGGCTGTGGGGAGGAGACAAGCCCTACTTCACATGGACCCAGCTCAGCCTTGGGGCTACTCCAGGTCCAAAACTTTGCCTTGCTTTCTGGCCAGAGGGCCCAGTATTTTGGGATCCAGTTGGTGAGAAACACCTGCAGTGGTGGCTCCTCCTGATCCTTCACGCTGTGGGTAGGTGTGGCCTCACAGCTCCCTGCTCATACCCACACCTCTATCTGCCTGTCTCCCACCCCTGGCATCCCCTGTTCCCACTGAGGTGCCAGACCCCACGGGAGATGTGAAGTGTCCAAGCCTGGTGTTGAGGAATGGGTCAGAAGGCTCGCAGAGGCGGGATATTAGGGTGGATGCGCCACATAGGATCTGAGGGCTTAGAAGGACCTAGAGGACACTCCCTTCAGAGCTAGATAGGAAGTGCCCAGGAGGAGGGCTGCTGGCATCTCAGAGGGGTTTGGAGGAGGCTGTCCTCCATGGTTGGGGTTGACTCAGAGAGGCTCTGGTAGAACTGGCTCCCTTGTAGGAATGGAGCCAAGGGCACGTTACCAGCAGAGACAGAGTAGTGCAGGTGCTCCCAGGGGTGGCACCGAGGCCTCAGTGCAAGCAGAGAGTGCTGAGCCTTGGGGATCTGTGCTGATAACAGTGAGGTTGTGATGGTTTTCTCAGGGGCGAGAGAGATGAAACAGCCAACCAGAGTGTTGCTTGCTTTCTAGGATAAAAAATTGTGGTGGCTGGGCGCGGTGACTCACACCTGTAATACCAGCACTTCAAGAGGCCAAGGCGGGTGAATCACGTGAGGTCAGGAGTTTGAGACCAGCCTGGCCAACATGGTGAAACCCTGTCTCTACTAAAAATACACAAATTAGCCGGGTGTGGTGGCGCCTGTAGTCTCAGCTACTCTGGAGGCTGAGGCAGGATAATCACTTGAACCTGGGAGGCAGAGGTTGTGGTGAGCTGAGATTGCTCATACTGCCTGGGAGGCAGAGTGAGACTTTATCTCAAAGAAAAAAAAAAATTGTGGCTGGAATTGTATTCTTCAAAAAGATGTAGAAGCCCTCACTCCTGGTCCCTGTAAATGTGAGCTTTTTTCTTTCTTTGCTTCTTTGGAGATAGAGTCTTGCAGATATCATCAAGGTAAGATGAGGTCATACTGGATTAGGGTGGGCCCTAAATCCAATGCTGCTGCCCTTAGGAGAAGGGGAGATTAGGACACAGAGACACTGAGGAGACACGGGGAAGAAGGCCCTGCCCCGTGATGATGCGGGCAGGGATGGGAGTGATGTAGCTGAAGTCAATCAAGAGATGCCTAGGCTGACCTCCGCCGCCACCACAAGCGAGGAGGAGGCCAGGACGGAACCTTCCCTGGAGGCTTCGGAGACAGCATGGCTCTGCCAACACCATGACCACGGACTCCCAGCCTTCAGGACTGTGACGGAAGAGGTGTCTGCTGTGGGCGATTTGTTAGGGCAGCCTAGGAAGCTGACCAACAGTCAAGGCCTGGGGAGAAGGCTGCTGCCTATGGCTGCCATGGAAAAGTGTGCCCTTATCCAGCTCAAACCCGAGCCTGAGCAGGTCACAGCGGGCCTCGGGGTGCAAGCCCACCCTGGTGTAGTCTCCCCAACCTCCTGACAGGTGACTGGGAGAGACCGTCCTAGAAGCCGGCAGAAGCTTCATCTCTGATCTCTGATGTGTGGAGGATGAGTAATGACAGCACTGAGTGCCACATGGAACCATGGAAACACCAGGACTGCCACATGGCAGACAAAGCTCACGTGCCACCCCAGGGCCTAGCAAGGGTGCGTGGGGCGCTGCAGCCGTGGAGCGAGGCTGCTGAGGCCTGCGGTGGTGGCAGCTCTCAACCCCGAGTGTCACTGGCAGGCAAAACCCAGCAGCGCCTCCCTACCGGGCATCACACGCCTCTTTCTTTGCGCTTCGTTATTGTGGCTGAGGTGCACATGCCACGGCCGTCACTTGCCCCGACACATGTGCCTCTGGGATGAGCAGGGAAGGTGACACCCCCACAGGTGAATTTGACCAGTGGGAGACAGGGGCCAGTGGGTACACTTTTCTCTCCTCCCCACCTTGCACAGGTACTTGTTCTTGGAATGTCTCAAACAATAAGGAATGGGCTTTGGAGTGGGGCAGCCTTCCTTCTCCACCACGTACTTACTATTTACTTTGACTTTGTGCAAGTTGCACAACCTCTCTGAGCCTCACAATCATAATTTAATGACAACGGCAACCTGGCAGGGTTGCAGGGTTGTTGGGGTTGGCGGGGAAAGAAGGAACATCTATGAGGCACCTTTTTTTTTGAGATGGAGTCTTACTATCGCTCAGGCTGGAGTGCAGTGGCATGATCTCAGCTCACTGCAACCTCGGCCGCCCGGGTTCAAGCAATTCTCCTGCCTCGGCCTCCCCAGTAGCTGGGATTACAGGCACGTGCCACTGCGCCTCGCTAATTTTTGTATTTTTAGTAGAGACGGGGTTTCACCATCTTAGCCAGGCTGGTCTTGAACTCCTGACCTCGTGATCCGCCCGCCTTAGCCTCCCAAAGTGCTGGGATGACAGGTGTGAGCCACTGCGCCTGGCCTGTGAGGCACCTTCTACAGGGTCTGCACGCCATAGACACAATAGCTGCCATTAAAAAATATTAACATGCTGGGTGCGGTGGCTCACGCCTGTCATCCCAGCACTTTGGGAGGCTGAGGCGGGCGGATCATGAGGTCAGGAGATCGAGACCATCCTGGCTAACATGGTGAAACCCCGTCTCTACTAAAAATACAAAAAATTAGCCGGGCGTGGTGGCGGGCGCCTGTAGTCCCAGCTACTTGGGAGGCTGAGGCAGGAGAATGGCGTGAACTTGGGAGGCGGAGTTTGCAGTGAGCCCTTGGGTGACAGAGCAATACTCTGTCTCAAAACAAACAAACAAACAAAAAAACCCATAAACTTGTCTTGTGCGTTTGAAAATTAGGACTCTTACCAGGAAAATTTGGGTCTTCTAAGCCTCCATCCATGTCACCTGTGACCATAGAGTGGGTCATCTTGAATCTTTTCCCCGTCTGGGTACCTTGCTGATTTCCTTGCCTGCATCACACCTACCTGGTTCAAGGTGAAGTGGAAAGGTGTCAGTTACTCAGTGACTCAGAGACACAGCCCGAATGAAGAGGTATGGAGCTCCTAGTAGCTGACTGCATGAGCTCAGTGGGATGCCTCTTGCCAGCAAATGCTTTTCCCCTCTGCATCTGTGTTGGTGTCATCCACGCCTGAATGATGTTAAGGGAGGCCCCTGGTGGGACCTCAGTACAGCTTCTCTATGAGGGAGATCCCACCCTTTGGCAAAGCCAAGGCCGTGGAAAATGAGTTCATTAAATGAAGGCTCCCAGACACATGTCACTCATAACAACCATGCCAAAGGAGATCATTTCCTTTTCTGTTTCTGTTCACGTGGCCGGCAAAGCCAAAAGAGAAAACTAAGCTCATACAACCCATCAATCTAAAAAAAAAAAAAAAAAAATACTCAAACCACCAGAGGTGTGGCATAATCCTTAGAGTCTAAACAGAATGATCCGGCTGCCGTAAAGGCAGATAAACAGAGGCGAAATAATTTTTACAATCAAAGCCTCTCTCAACATTTTATGCATTATTTATAGTGTGAGGAGGCAGGGGCTTTCACAAAGAGCTACTTTTTGAACATATAAGATAGTTTAATATAAAAATCATCTCTGACTTTATTTTAATTTAGATTTCCATTTATTATGGAAGCAGTAAAATAAAAGAATCAAGCTTGACATCTGATTCAAATATCCAATTTCTTTACTTGTTATTCTCGGTAAAACACAAGCCTCTGTTTTTGTACTAATCCTTTAAAGCATTTCATTGGCCAGCCTTCATTATCTGTTTCCATTTTTTTTTTTTTTTTGAGATGGAGTCTTGCTCTGTTGTCCAGGCTGGAGTGCAGTAGCACAATCTCGGCTCATTGCAGCCTCCGCCTCCTGAGTTCAAGTGATCTCCTGTCTTAACCTCCTGAGTAGCTGGGACTACAGATGTGCTACTGTAGCCAGGTGACCACACCCGGCTAATTTTTGTATTTTTAGTAGAGATGAGGTTTCACCATGTTGGCCAGGCTGGTCTTGAACTCCTGACATCAGGTGATCCACCCATCTTGGCCTCCCAAAGTACTGGGATTACAGGTATGAGCCACTGTGCCTGGCCATCTGTTTCCTTTTAAATGCCCTTAAGATAGCACTGTCAGGCAGTGTGTGTGTTCCTGCAGCAGAGTCAATTCTAGATCCAGCATGAAATGAGATGAGATGGAAGCTGATGAGGCAGAAGGTCTGTATAAAAACTTAGTGCAGTTGTGCGGCTAGGTTAGAAAAAAATCTGTCCCCGGAGTGTGATGTTCCCCTTCCTGTGTCCATGTGTTCTCGACTGTTGTGGGGTTGGGGGAGGGGGGAGGGATAGCATTAGGAGATATACCTACTGCTAAATGACGAGTTAATGGGTGCAGCACACCAACATGGCACATGTATACATATGTAACAAACCTGCACGTTGTGCACATGTACCCTAAAACTTAAAGTATTATAATAATAAAATTAAAAAAAAAAGAAAAATAATCTGTGTAAGTTTTGCCAGCCTCTCATTTCCCCCCTCACTCTAAGCTCTGCTTTTCCAATGTCCTGTTGCCCAGGTGGAAGGAAATCAAATATGCATAAGCAATGCTGCTGACTGTGGTGGAAAACCTGAGGAATGTAGGTATTGCGCTGTTTGAATAAGTTAATTAGTAAACACAGTATTTGTAAATTAGCATCTGTTTGACTTTTTCCCCAGGGATAGTATGGGTTTGTCTTGATCTCTCCATATTAGCTGGCTCAGTCTCTTTGGACCGAGGTTCCTCAACCTCAACACGAAGACATTTTGAGCGTGCTGATGGGGGCTGTCCTGTCCATTGGAGGATGTCTAGCAGCTTCCCTGGTCTCTACCCACTAGATGCACCCACTACCCCCAGCTGAGATAACCAAAGATGTCTCCAGAAGTCTCCAAATGTCCTGGGGGCACAGTGAGTTGTGTTTAGAACCACTCTTTGGACCACAAGGGCTGTGCTGCTTTTCGAGGACACCCTCCCTTTCTTTCCCCTTGAGGAAGAGTAGGTTTCAAGGTCAGTAGGGTCAATCTATTGCTCTCTTTTTTGCAGAATTTGGATAGGAGAGGTGGGCAGAGAAAGGACAGAGAAGATAGGGAGGGTGTATGTAGTTCTCTACTCCTCCATTTTTAGGGGGGATATGAGAACTGTGTGACTCCCCTTGGAGAGGCTGCTCTCAATCTCTTGGGCTAAGGAGTCCAAGTGAAGCCAGGGGTGGGAGGCAGGGCTGGGCGAGGAGAGAGAGTAGCTGTGTTTTATGTTCATGTCCGAAGCACCCCGCACAGTTTCTGGCACATGGTGGGTGCTCAGAGGCTGGTCTGTCTCCTGAGCCTGTGTAGAAGGTGTGTACTTCCATCTAGAACACTACATTACCTGGAAGCAATGGTCTCCCTCCTGCATTCACAAGCAGAAGGGGCTCAGGAGCTTACAAAATCGTGGGTAAAAGCCACCCAGCAAGTGTTATGTCTTTTTGTATAACCTGACAGGAATGTTCCATTTTTATCACCTTCTTTCCCACTTACTAATGTTTTTGCTATTATTTTTATTATTACTCATTAATTGACAGATACATTTCTTTTTTTTTTTTTTTTTTTTTTTGAGATTGAATCTCACTCTGTTGCCCAGGTTGGGGTGCAGTGGTGTCATCTTAGCTCACTGCGCCGACCTCTGCCTCCCAGGTTCAAGTGATCCTCATGCCTCAGCCTCCGGAGTAGCTGAGATTATAGGTGCCTGCCACCACACCCAGCTAATTTTTGTGTTTTTAGTAGAGATGGGGTTTCACCCTGTTGCCCAGGCTGGTCTTGAACTCCTGGGCTCAAGCGATCCACCCGCCTCAGCCTCCCAAATTGTTGGGAAAACAGGTGTGAGCCACCACACCTGGCCAACAGATAAATGTCTTCCGAGTTTTCTTGTACAGTCTTGACAGTCGGATGGCTGCTAAAATGAACAATTCATTTGTTACCAGGACAGTGCTGAATACTGACAGGGGACTTTTCCTTGTGGTACCAGGACTCTGAGGATCGATTGGAGATGCAACTTTGGATGGGTAGATTGCAGCCACCAGTCTTACAGCAAGGTGATGCCGTAGGCCTTTAAAACATTTTACATGGCACGTGATTGGTTTTTGTGAGTATGTGGCACTGTTCAGGTCAAAGGAGACTGCAAATGAAATTCCCAAAGCACAACATGACATGAATTGTGGGTTTGGGTATACCATGTTGTGATTAAATAGAGCATATTCATATAACATAGCAGAGGGTGAAACATTATCGACGGAAGCCAGGTGGGTGTTTGTTGAGGTCTGTCTAGAGGCTGAGACTCTAAAATGTACATCTCTAGCCTCATCCTTTTTCCTGAATTCCAGACTTCAACTTGACCTTCCCACTTGGTCATCCAGCAGACATTCCAACCCAGTCCTGTCTAAAACTGACTCCCCAGTGCACCCCTCCTAGCTCCACCAGCCTGCCCCCTTCCCAGTGAATGGCAACTACAGAATTCCAGAGGCTCCTGCCAGAAAACTTGGCAACTTCCTTCACTTCTCTTTTTCTGTCTTCCCCCCACCATCAAAACCATCAGGAACCTTCCTGACACTTGACTGGCTTCAGAATAGATACAGAAACTGATTACTTCTCATGGCTCTGTAGCTACTACCCCGTTTATGCAGTTGGCATCTTTCTCCTTTATTATTGGGCTGGTCCTGCTCCGATCCCTGACCTCCTCTCCCTTTCCCTCCCCCACTCTTTTCTCAACACAGTTGACAAGAGTGGTCCTTTAAAATTAAATATGATCAGAACACTCCTCTACTCAGAAACGATCTCATGGGGTAGTTTTTCATTAGACTAGAAGCCAAAACTCACAACGCCCTCCAAGGTCAGCACGAATCTCCCTGCCATGACCCCCACCGCCACCCCACCCCCAAGCATTATCAGCCACCACTCTCCCCTCATCACCACCACCCTGGCTGCCCTGATGTTCCCTGACCCTGCTGGGCCCTCCTGAGCCTGGCCACTGCATTCGCTGCTCCTTCTGCCTGGAATACTCTTGCCAAATATACCCACACTCATTCCAGGCTTTGCTCAGAGATCATCTTCTCAATTTGGCCCACTCTGGCCATCCTATTTATAACTTCAACCTGCATCCCTTGCTCCTGGGACTCTCAGTCCTTTATCTGCCATTTCTGTAACATTCAGTCTTTTTTTTTTTTTTTTTTTTGAGACAGTTTCACTCTGTCGCCCAGGCTGGAGTGCAGTGCAGCATTGCAATCTTGGCTCACTGCAACCTCTGCCTCCTGGGTTCGATTCTCGTGTCTCAGCTTCCTGAATAGCTGGGATTACAGGTATGCACCAACATGCCCGGCTAATTTTTGTATTTTTAGTAGAGATGGAGTTTCACCATGTTGGCCAGGCTGGTCTCGAGCTCCTGACCTCAAGTGATCCACCTGCCTTGGCCTCCCAAAGTGCTATGTTGGGATTACAGGTGTGAGTCACCACGCCTGGCCCCCTAGTCTTCTATAATAACTTTTGGTAGCCTCCCTTTAGGGTCTGTCTGCTCCAGCTAGAATGTGACATGCTCAAGGCTGAGATCTTTGTCTTTTTTGTTCACTGATGCATCAAAGCACTGAGCACAGAGTCTGGTACACAGCAGTTGCTCAAGTGTATGTTACCTGAATGTGCATGCATGAACGAAACTCTCAGTTCTTCTCTCTCCACTCCCATCTTTTCTTTTTCTTTTAGTTCTGGAAGCATTTTTCCATCTGTTCTTTTAGGTTGTTTGTTTTCTACAATATACAACCAATTGTTTGCTGCCCCTGTGAAGTGAAAAGATTCCATTGTCCTATTTTTCATGTCTTTCGTTTTGATTTTAGGTGGCTCTTATTTCAAGATGGCTGGCTATGATTTTAAAGATGTAAAGTCCTTTCAAATCATATTGAGAATATAGTAGAGTTAAAAAAAATATGTTCTTGTACTTGCAGTAACTCTTTTCCTGGGCTTAAATTTGATTGACTTGCTCTTTCCTTGGGAACTGGCAAAGTCTTTTAATATGCTCAGTAGTCGTTTTCTCTCTGTTGACACTTGTTTGGGATTAGTGGCTGAGATGGGCTGCATCAAAAACTGTTGAGGTCACTGTTCTCATCTTTCGATCACTGTCACAAGGGAAGGGAAATGTTTAGACTGATCACAATTCTCCTTGACTGTTTAAACAGCTGATCATTTTTTTCTAAAGAAGGGCAGAGCTGTAGGAGAGAAAGGTAGCCCAGTGCTGGGAAACTGCCCTCCCAGCCAGTGGAGGTTGGTGCCTCCCCCAGCAATGCCCTCCCCCTTCCCTTACCCCTATGTCTCTGCTGTCTTCCAAGGATCATCTCTGTCTCTTGCAGCCTCAAGGAGCAGGCTTTAGGTGTTATCCAAACTCTCAGGTTAGCACTGAGGCTGGACCAGAGACCACACTGCCATCTTTTCACCCTTGACTGTACTTCATCGTTGCCATCCCTCCTTACTCAGGTCCACATGATTGCAGTGGCTTTCCAGGATAAGTGTGGGGAGGCGGGGATGGCCCCATGTGTCCTTCCTGAAGACTGCTCCACCCCACTTTTTTTTTCTTTTATTTTTTTTGAGATGGAGTCTCACTCTGGCACCAGGATGGAGTGCAGTGGCAGGATTTTGGCTCACTGCAACCTCCAACTCCCTGGTTCAAGCGATTCTCCTGCCTCAGCCTCCCCAGTAGCTGGGATTACAGGCACATGCCACCACGCCCAGCTAATTTTTGTATTTTTAGTAGAGACGGGGTTTCACCATGTTGGCTAGGATGCTCTCGATCTCCTGACCTCGTGATCTGCCCACCTCAGCCTCCCGAAGTGCTGGGATTACAGGCGTGAGCCACTGCGCCCGGCCTTCCACCCCACATTTTGCACAGAGGTAGGAGAGTGTCCCTCTTACCCCTCCCCATTCCTCTTTCTGGCGAACCCTTGGCTGCATGACATCATTGATATTTCAAAAAAGTAACAGAGAGCCCTTCCTCATTTCCAGTAGTATGTTAGCATTTCTTCTGTGGTGCTGGGTGGCTGGGAGAACTGAGGTGAATAGGTGGGCTTAGGATGCCTTCCTGGTCCTACACTGTATTTTAATTATTAACTACCCTATGTAAGTTGTGGGTTGTTAATAATAGTTAACTAATAATAGTAGTTGTGTGTTGTACATTGCAGGGTACCTAGAAGAATAAACATGATCCCTACACCCAAGGAAACCATCATCTGCTTGGGCATAGAAAAAACATCTCGCAGAGGCCATTGGCCCGTGTGCCTTCCATAGCACCTGACCCAGTTTCCCAGCCCTTCCTTTTGCCCCTGTGACTATGTGCAATCCTTGTTGCTTTCCAACGTCTCATGTTTCCCAAGAGCAGGTGTCTCTGTCTTCCCATTCTCATTCTCCTATGCTCCTCTCTCTGTTCCCACCCATGGACCTCCGTTTACCTTTATGGTGTTGTCCATCTCTGGAGTCCCCATCCTTGTCTGGGTGGAATGGTTTGTCTACCTCCTTATTCTACAGCTCCCCTGCCTGTTGCCTCCTTCATTCAAACACTTAAAACCAAATTTCCATGATGCTCCTCCAGTCTCCATGGACTCAGCTTAACCCGCTCTGCCTCTCCCCCTTCCAATTCCCGTGTCCTCTCAAAGCCTTTCTGGCAGCACAGGAGTTATTTTCTCTTTTTCCATCTCCCCGCTGTGGCTGTGGATTAGACCCTTGCCACTTCTCCCCTGGATGGTTGTGTCTTGTTTTAACTCTTGCCCCCGCCCTGGCTTCACTCCAGTGGAACTTAGGCAGCAAGGCTTCAGTTTGACTTCCCCAGACCAAGCTCAGATCATGTCATTTCACTTGCCCAAAAATGTCTTGCCAGTAACATGAAACTCACACTTCTTAGCTTGGCAGGGATCTGATGAGTTTGCTTCCTCCACGTCCGCTCGGAGTGTTCTTCTCCCTCCACTGCCCTCCCGCCACACTGGGCTCAGTGGCTCCTGTGTGTGCCCCAGGTTTCTCCACCATTGCTCCATCTCTCATCCTTCTGGGGTGCCTGACCCCCTAACTGTGCGTGTCTCATCCATCCCTCCTAGTCCTATCCCTGATCACCTAGCTGCAGAGTCCTTGGCTGCCTCTCCATTCATCTAGAGCTTCTTAACCCACACACTCTCGTGAACTATCTTTGTTCCTGGCATCCATGCACATGGCTTTTCGCCCTAAAGACTGATTCTTAACTCATTGTGTTGGGGACATAGTGCATTACACAGTATAGGCCTCAGAAATATTTCCTGAGTGAATGAATGTCAAATAATGGCTCTAGGTCACTCTTGACATTGTGGTGATTGTGTGGAGACCTGTGTTATCCATTCTCGTATTGCTATCAAGCACAACCTGTGAGACTGGGTACTTTATAAAGAAAAGAGGTTTAATTGGCTCATGCTTCTGCAGGCTGTACAGGAAGCATGGCTGGGGAGGAAACTTAAAATAATGGCAGGAGGCAAAGGGAAAGCAAGCACATCTTACGTGGCTGTAGCGGGAGGAAGAAAGAGAGGGGGAAGTTGCTACACACTTTTAAACCAGATCTTGCAATAACTCACTCTTGCCATAATAACACCAAGGGGGATGGTGTTAAACCATGAAAAACTGCCTCCATGATCCAATCACCTCCTAGCAGGCCTCATCTCCAACACTGGGGATTACAATTCGACATGAGATTTGGGTGGGAACACAAATCCAAACCATATCAAGGCCTTTGAGTGCTTATGGGCTGTCGTTATGAATATGAGTTTTCCAGTTAGACAGACTTGGGCTTAGGTACTAGCTGTGTGCTCTTGCAAGAGTTACTTAACCCCTCTGAGCCATAGATCCTTAAAGATAATAGCTCTCTCACACAGCTTTTGTGAGATGAGGCATGCAAGGCCCTCAACACAGTATTTGGCATGTAGTAAGTGCTCAGCATGTGGTAATTATTAATATTACTGTCTTTTACCTCCATCCAAAACCAAAACCCTTAAAAGGCAAGGGACCCTTCTGACCTGAACCCCGTAACAGTAGAGTGTAAAGCGAGCTGAGAGGCTCCAGGTTTTCTCATTAGCAAGTGGTCTCTCTGCACATGCTTTTCAGGGCGCCCAGACCTTCCCCGAATGACCAATTATTCACATGTCTTTGACATTTGGAGGCCCTCAGGAGTATCTGAAATTGAGTACTTTAAATCAGTGTCAGGCTAGGCACAGGCAAGGATGCCTCTTGGGGTTGCAGCAGGGAGACCAACTAATTCCCCGTTCTGATTTCTCCGAGAGCGCTCCAGGTGGAAGCTGCCCAACACGTCCAATGTGACCCACAGCTCCAGGACCACCATGATTTGTGTGTGCTGACCTGCTCCAAATTGCCAGGAGCCAAGGCCAGCTCTGGAGACTCCTTTCTCTTCTTTATTTGTCTACAGTACAACCTTATCTTCCTAGGTGTCAGCCTTCTGTGCAAGAGGAGAAAAATTGCTTTCCGAAGGCAAAGCATTGTTTTATCAATAATGTTCCAATAAATCATAGCAGGCTTGAGTCCCAGTAACGAAACCAGAAGCCGTTGTTCTTTTATCTTATTTTTAGATGTTCTTACATGCAGCACCATTTCTAATAGAAGGAAAGGCAGTTACTTCCCATCAAATTCATAATGACTGTCAAGAATTGGTAAAACGCTCTTAGCTGAAACGGTCAATCGCTTTCTCAAACTCTCATGTGTGTCTCATTTCCTGTTATTAAGCAAGCCTTTGATATTGTATGGAGTTCGCTGATGAAGTATCTTCTTTTGATTTTATGGTTAAATGGTGCCTTGGCTGGTCCTTTTGATGCCTAATGACGATTGTCTTGGAGCTCCCTGGCTGTGCTGAGTCACAGAATCTGGTAATGTTTGAGGTCGCGATGACTCATCACACTCAAGAACACAACTTGATTGGGTTTTCTGTAAAATAAAAAGAAAAATGAGAATTTGTCAAAGACAAAACTTGGCAGTAAAGTCTAGGATTAGCGAGACTTCTGGGAGATTGGGGATTGGCTTGAGGAGTGAGGGCATCTAGGCTTTGGTTGTGGGTGTGTGGGTTTGGGGCCGGAGTCACCTGTGAAGAGCTCTGCATGGCGGTGGAAACTCATTAGAAGGGAAGTTACAGTGGAGACCCAGGAGTCGGCCCGTGGGCTCTGGGGGCTGAGGCCATGCCCTGGAGAGGGTTCCAAGTACAACGATGTCCTTGACGGGGAGTCAGATTTCACCAAAGCCAGGAGCATTCTGTGGGGTATGGTGAGGCTGGGCTGCATGTTTTCAACGGAACAAAGTTCCAGAAGCAGAGCAAAAAGGTCTCGAAAGAGAGGAATGTTGGGAGAGCCGGGACAGAGCAGAAAGGGAGGAGTGGGCCAGAGACGCTGGCCTGGGGTTGGCAAGGATGAGAGCCGTGGCGGGACAGCCACCTTGCAAATTCAGAGTGGGTATAGGTGTGGCTGTGCTCCTAGGAATTGCTTCGATAGCATGTGTTTCCTGAAGCTTGGACGAAATGGAAATTTAAAGATGGAGAAAATGAGAGAGGAGGTGTTTGTACAACCTGATGCATCGGGGGGCCTGGCGAGACACAGATGGGACACTCAGGTCGGGTTATTGGAGGAGAGTTTGATGAGGGGCGATTTACAAAGGTGAGAGAAGGATGCAGGGATGGGGTCAGGGTCGGTGCACCCCCTGGGGCTAGTGTTAGTCTGGTGCTGTTACCTCTCTGCTGAACGTTTGTGTTCCCAAATTCTCATGTAGAAATTCTAGCCCCCAAGGTGATGGTATCAGAAGATGCAGCCTTGGGAAGTGAGTAGGTCCTGAGGGTGGAGCCTCATGACTGGGATTAGTGCTTTTATTATTAGAGACCAATGAGGGCTAATTAGTCCCTTGCACACAGCAAGGATAGAACGAGAAGGCACCGCCTGTGAGGAACTGGCCCTCACCAGACACCAAATCTGCCAGTGCCTCGACCTTGGACTTCCCAGCCTCCAGAACTGTGAGAAATAAATTTCTGTTATTTATAAGCCATCCAGTTTGTGATATTTTGTTATCACAGCCTGAACAGACTGAGACGCTAAGGTAAGGCTTAATAAGCTCAGATCTTTGGTCAGCAGAAAAGGGAGGCAGCCAGCTGGTGTGACTTCACTATGCTGGATTGGCGCTATTTGACATGAAGGAAGTTCCGTAGGAGGAGAGTGTCTGATGTTCATAGCATGCCTCACGTGGCCCAGCTATGAAGTTTCTCTCCTGCAAAGGAAGGGAGCTTCTTGTTGGGAAGTGAGCTCTTCTGACATTTCAAAATCTAATGTGTTCATAGAAATGGATGAGAAATTTTGAACTTTAATCTGCCCTTAAATTTCATTTGCTGATGTTGCTCAGAAGTGTATTGATTAGATCATTTCTACTTCCAGGAGAAAAGTTCACCTTTGAGTTAAGGCCAAGCTGGGAAAATGACAGTCAGAGAGAAAATTCGAAAAAATGGGAAAACCTGAAAATGGGGCTTCAGAGAGAAATTTCCTTCTCAGTCATGGCACTGTTGATCTGAATGTCGTTGTTTTCCTGTGTACACACACGTGCAACCAGACACACACCATCATGTGCATGCACACACACACACAGTACCACACCATACCATATACACCATACCCCATGCACACACATCATACCACATACATACATATCAAACACACACAATCACACATATGCACAACCACATACATAACCATGCACATAACCACACACACCACAACACACACACAATCACACACACCACAACAGACAACACAACCACATGCATGCACACACACAGCACCATACTACATACACCATAGCACATGCACACAGATCATGCCACATGCATATGTATTAAACACACATAATCATACACATACACACACAAATACAAACCCCACACAATCATACACAATCACATACACCGTAAAATGCACAACCACACATTAAAACACACAACATAACCATGCATACACAATCACATGCGCACACACGCAACACCACACCACACACAGCATACCACATGCATACACATCGTACTGCATACATATCTATTAAACACACACAATCACACATATACACACAACAGACAACACAACCATATGCACGCACACACCATGCCACATGCACACATCACGCCACATACATATATAAAACAAAACCAGACACACAAACACATACATACAACCCCAAACACAATATCACACAATCATCACACACATAATATGCACAACCACACATTACAACACACAACACAGCCATGCATACACAATCACATGCACACACACAACACCATACCACACACACCATACTGCATGCACACACATCATGCCACATACATGTTATATCTACACATACAATCACACATATACACAGTCACATATAACCACACACATACGCACAACCACATACATAACCACACCTATCACCATACATAATCACACACAACACACAACACAACCACATGCATGCACACAAACAACATACCACACACACACATATCATGCCATATCATGCCACATACACATATATCAAACACACACACTCATACTCACATCACATGAACACAGCAGCCACTTCCAGCCCCATCTCCACTTCTCCCTTAAGTCAGGCTGCTTTGACAGGAGTTAGATTTCAGTGTGGAGTGGAGCCATCTTTCTCTACTAGAGCACAGGCGACCGCAGACAAGCTGTGTGCCTGCCCTGGGTGGGGGACTCACAGTTGGCCCTGGGCAGCCCTTACCAGAGGATCCACATTGATGGCACAGAGGTGTGAGTAGGCGTTCTATTTACTGAAGCTCAGGGGCAACTTTGACCTTCATCTTCTTCAGAATTCTGCAGTTCTGTGTGTGTGTGTGTGCGTGCGAGTGAATGTGTGTGACTGTGTATGACAGTGTGCGAGCATGGTGCTTTGTGTGTGTGTGTGACTGCTAGTCAACGCATGTGATTATGTGAGTATGAATATGTGTGTAAGTGTGTCTGTGTGTGTGTGACTGTATGACAGCGTGTGAGCATGGCTGTGTGTCTGTACACAACTGAATGCGTGTGACTGTGTGAGTGTACGCAATGTGTGTGTATGCAACTGAATGCATGTATTAGGGAGTGTGTGAGCGTGCCTTGCAAGAGCTGGTGTGTGTGTGAGTGTGCCTGTGTGTGTGCCTGTGTGAGAGTGTGCAAGTGTGTGTGAGTGTGCCTGTGTGAGTGTGGGTGTGTCTGAGCATGCCTGTGCAAGAGCGTGCTGGTGTGTGTGAATGTGCCTGTGCAAGAGTGTGCAGGTGTGTGAGAATGCCTGTGTCCTAGCGTGCAGGTGCATGTGAATGTGCCTTTGTGAGTGTGGGTGCCTGTGAGCATGCCTGTGCAAGAGCATGCTGGTGTGAGAATACCTGTGTGAGAGTGTGCAGGTGCGTGTGCCTGTGTGAGTGTGCAGGTGTGTGTGTGCCTGTGCAAAAGAGTGTGTGTGTCTGTGTCTGTGTGAGTGTGCATGTGTGTGTATGTGTGTGCCTGTGTGTGGGTGTGAGTGTGCCTGGGCGAGAGTGCACTGGTGTGTGTGAATGCCTGTGTATGAGTGTGCATGTGTGTGTGTGTGAGCTTGCCTGTGGGTGTGGATGTGTGTGAGTGTGCCTGTGCGAGAACGTGCAGGTGTGTGTGTGAGCGTGTGGGCGGGTGAAGGGGCGGGGAGAGATGGTAACCCCGTGTGTGGGAACAGAGCCGAGGACAGTCAGCTTCATGAATGATTTAGTGGAACTTGTCGGTTTCCAGGAATGTGTCTTGAGTAAATGCTGCAATCCATGCTCTCCTTGAAAATCTGGGCTTAAAGGCCCAGAAGCAGCACGCTATCAAACTTCCGGGTTTAGGCTCTTCCCACGCCCTCACCCCAATTTGGTCTTTCTGTCCGGACTCTGTTTTTAGGCTCTCCGCGTGGGCACTGGATACAAGTGTTCCTTGTGGATGTGGGCATCTGGGCAGCTGCTGAAACTTCCGCCTCCCCTGCTGCGATTCTCAGTGGAAAGAGCAGAGGGCCACTCCCAGCCCCCTGAGGTCCCCAGGGGATCTCTGGTTTGCAGGGGAGGAAGGCTTTGTACTGGGTGAAAGGGCAGAGAGAGCCCCTGGGTCCCTGACCTCTCCCCGCCTCTTCCCTGGGGTGATTGATGTTCTTGGGGAGCCTTCCTCAGTCTCCAGGCTCCCAGGAGAGGGTGGCACTCAGGCGACGGGAAGGATGCAGAGGGCAGCTCCTCAGTGATTCCCAAACTGGGTGAGCATGAGCTGATTTCAGAAGCAGATGACCGGATGTGCAAACATCACTTCCAGAACTGGGTCCCAGTGTGGGTATTTCCAAGCAGCTCCCCCAGGGAGAGGGAGACAACCATGAATGTATCTTGAGGTTTTTCTGAGGTTTAACCTGGCTCACCAGGGGAGGAAAGGACGGACTTGGGGCAGGAACTCGTCTTTTAAAAAGTGCTTTTTTAGGCTTGTGCCCTGTTACATGGCTTCTGGGGTGAGACTTTGTTACTCCCACTCATTAAGTTTCTGTTTATACTTCGCTGCCTTGGCTGACCTCATATCCCAGCTCAGCTGTCCCTTCTGTTTGGTGTCACAGCATTCTGGCATTTTTCTATAATAGTCCCTAACTTATTGAATTATTTACTCTTAATTTATATATTCCCAGGGCCTGGCAGAGGAGTATCAATTAAGATTTTTCCAGAGATTAAGTGGTGGGGGGATGGGGAGAACCTAAGCACAGAGGACCAGAAAGGAAGTAGATGTATGGACATAAATCAAGGACCAATGGTTGACACCTGAAAGGCTTCCCTTATTTTCAGTCTTTTACTCACAATATCATCATTGTGACATGTATCAGTCAGTGATTGCCACAGTAATGCTGTGTAATAAGCTACCCCAGAACTCAACAGCTCAGAGCAACAAGCATTTACCCTTACACTCATGGGTTGACTGCAACTCGTCTGGGCCAACCTGGACTTTTGCCTTCCGTTTGTAGTCTGAGCTCAAGTTCATCCGCATTCTGACTCTCAGACTGCAAGGGTAGTGGCTACCTGGGGTGTGTTCTTCTCCTGGCAGAGATCAGAGGCCTCCAGGACCAGCCACGCTATGAGGGCATGTGGAAAGCCTCTGCATGCATCATGACCACAAACATCCCATTGACCAAACAAAGGCACACGGCTAAGCTCAGTCTCAATGGGGCAGGACAGCACACTTCACCCACCCCTTGAAGGGAGAAGAGTGAGCCTTTTCTGAACAATAATTTGAATTATCAAATAACTTAATTCTATCATCTTAACATTTTGATTAATCTTTGCTAAGGAAGAATCACAATAACAATATTTAACGTTTGCGGAGTCCTTATTAGTGTCAAACATAAGTTCTGTGGACTCTAGATACATTTTCTTATTTAATCCTCCTAAAAATCCTGTGAAGTGGTGCAGCGTTTATGGGACTTGCCGGAGTCACAAGCTGGAAGAAACAGATGAGGCCCAGCACTTCTGACTTCCAAGCCCGGGTCCTAATACTACTCAGCGGTTCCCTCTCTTTCTTCTTCAAGAGTGGTTCTGATGGGAAAGAGTGAAAACAAAACAAAAGAAAAAAAGAAAAAAACAAAAAAACAGGTTCTGAGTTGGAGGTTGGGGGCATTCCTGAAACCCAGATTGGGAGGCTGGGGAAGCCAAAGGCAAGCTCTCCTTGTTTCACTTTTGAGCTAACCCAGAATGAACATGTACCTTTCCAAAACAACTAATGGCAATTACCAAAAATGTATGCTGTGGCAGACGGCAGGTGCTGAGTGTTTAACTAGTCCCACCTCCTCATTTTACAGATGAGGAATTAGAGTCTGAATGGGGGAAGTAACTTGCCCAGGACATATGGCTCATTCACGGCAGACCTCGATGAAAACTAGATTTGCCATTCCAAATCCAGCACTCTGTTCCTGCCTGCTCAGTGGGAGCCATGAAGGTGGTGTTGGGTCACACTACCCTGGGAGGTTTTCCTGGATAATTGATCATGACAGAACATGCAACTGATTCTACAGAAGCAGTTGAAGCATTTGCGTCGGTATGTCCAACATGGCCACTTGGCATCTGGTAGGCACCGCTTTGATGATTTTTATTTAACATGCTGCCACCTGGCATTTGTGCAGTCCTACCAATTACTTAGTGGCGGTGATGTAAATATTAACTGTTGGCTGATCTGTTCTATTTTATTTGAGAGTGAAAAAAATGCAAATCCAAATGAATAATAGGTTTAGACAGGCAAAACTATCTAGAAATATGGTTTATTGTTAATATTTTAACATATTTAATATTTGTTATTTTCAACAGATATCTGTATTTTATGAAGAGTGAGATAGTTGGTGGGTTTTAATTGTGGTTTTTAAGGGCAAAGAGGATATAGGGGAAAATAAAAGGAACAAGTGTGGAAAGCTTTGCAAACTCGAATAGGTGGCAAAGTTAAGGTTACATAAAAATAGGGGATTAGGAAAGAGGCTGGGTGTGGTGGCTCACACCTCTAATCCCAGCACTTTGGGAGGCTGAGGCAGACAGATCACTTGAGGTCAGGAGTTTGAGACCAGCCTGGCCAACATAGTGAAACTGATCTCTACTAAAAATATACAAATTACCTAGGTAGGTGGCACACGCCTGTAATTCCAGCACTTTGAGAGGCTGAGGCAGGCAGATCACTTGAGGTCAGAAGTTGGAGGCTAGCCTGGCCAACATGGTGAAACCCCGTCTCTACTAAAAATACAAAAATTAGCCGGACATGGTGGTGCACACCTGTAATCCCAGTTACTCAGGAGGCTGAGGCAGGAGAATCACTTGAACCTGGGAGGCAGAGGTTGTGGTAAGCTAAGATCGCGCCACTGCACTCCAGCCTGGGCAACAGAGTGAGTGGACTCTGTCTCAAAAAAAAAAAAAGGATTAGGAAAGAAACAGTAAAAACAGCATTGAATGTATGTTAAAAAATCACCCACTTGTAACACAAATCAGGTTCATTAGATTCATCAAAACTTGCTCTGGAAAGTAGCAGGTCTTAATCACAGTTTTTATATTTATTTTAATTTAATTTATTTATTTAAAATTTTTTTTGAGAGACAGAGTCTTGCTATGTTGCTCAGGCTGGTCTTGAACTCCTGGCTTCAAGTGATCCTCCTGCCTTGGCCTCCCAAAGTGGTGGGATTACAGGTGTGAGCCACCATGCCCGGCCCTACTTTAAAAAATCTTAATCATGGTTTCTGACTCTTCTGGAAGCAGTGCTGTGGTATCTTGAGGTTCTGGTATAGAGTTTTGATCATGTCTTGTATTCACCACTGTATTCTAAGCAATAGGGTCTGCTCCATAATAATCGATCAACATATGTTTGTGGAATGAGAGTTTCCTCCTAAGATTAGGATGCAGAAGATCACCTCGTCATAAAAAGTAGAAAGAAAAACTTACAAAAGTGAAAAAATAGTGTATTTAAAAAATCTATCCAAGAGACTACAAAGAAGTCTAAAGGAATAAATTTTCAGAGACAAATGATTCCTATAGGAACTGAGATCAGCAAACCTTTTCCTCTCTGAGGGCAATTGGTAAGTCTGAGGACATCAGAGAGAGACAATTTCTGAGAGTAAGAAGGAACCAGAGGCACTTTATAGGCCATGTGTGCTGATCATATGGACAGAGTCAGGAGCAGACTCAAAAGCAGCTGGCTGCTCCTTGTCTACTCCTTTATTCTCCTGGGATTGCTCAGTGCCTGGTGTATGGAAAACTGAGGGAAGGTGGGGGGTAGGGAGAGAGAGAGAGAGAGAGAGAGAGAGAGAGGAGAGAGAGAAATACTAAAGAAGGGTTTAGAGAAATTTATAGCCTTAAATATAAGTAAATAAGAAAGTTTAAAAATCAAATTTTTAAGCTTTCATCTCAAAAATTTCGACTTTATATTTCTAGCTTTAAATAGAAGTAAATAAGAGAGTTTAAAAATCAATTTTAAGCTTTCATCTCAAAAAACATAAAAGTAAGAGAACGTGAAACAAAAGAAAGAAAAGAAGGAAGGAAATAATGAAGGTAAAGTCAGAAATCGATGAAATAGAAGATGGAAGTATAGTTGAGAAAATGATGAAGTCCAATGCTGGACTTTTTGGCAATATTCATAAATCGATATACTTCTAGCAAGATTGAGCATGAAAAGAAAGAGAGGAAGCACAATCATCAAGATTAGGAATGAAAAAGGAGAAAAACACTACAGATTCTTACGTTTAATGGATAATAAACTATTATGATACTATGTATAGATTTTTATAATGAATTTGACAGAATAGATAAAATGGACAAATCATTGAGAAAGACAGCTTATCAACTTTGAAACAGAAAAGATATAATACACTTGCTGAATGAAAGAACATTTCATTTTATACAGTTGTGAACTTTTTCTAGAGTTTTGACCCAGCTCTTACTGGTTTGACACATAATGTCTTTTACACTTGAATTTTCCCTTATGTTGTTTCCACACGTCTCATCAAAAGGCTTTTTACCATTCAGGCATTTCTGGCGTGGTTGTGGACCTTTGGAATACATGTTTTGTAGCCTTATTTTCTGTCAATACATTGAGCAGTTTGAGCATCAACATAACCTTTCCATATTACTCCATTGATGTGACTAGGTGTGTCTCTCCATTAATGAGAGAGGGAAGTGAAATTTCTTGGAGTTCTCTAATATTCCTGGATCTGTGGTTTAAAGTCTTTCATGATTTGTGGAAAATTCTCAGCTATTTTCATTTCAAATATCTCTTTTGCCCACTTTTCTCTCTTTTCTTCTTCTAGTATTGTAGTTATCTGTGTGTAAGTCTACTTGGTATTGTCCCACAGTTCTTTGGTGTCCTGCTCTTTTTATTTTCTCACTTTTTTTTTCTCCTTGTGTGACAGTTGGGTAGCTTCTTTTGATCTGTTTTCAAATTCAATGATTCTTTCCTTAGCCATGTCAGGTCTACTGATAGGTCTGGCAAAGGCACTCTTCATTTATGTCACCATGGGTTTAAAAAAAAAATGTTGCATTTTCTTTGGGCTCTTACAGTTTTCTTTTTTTCCATTGAAAGTCTCCATCTGTTCATACATGAAAGTTTTGACTTATTAATCATATGCATTTTACATTTCCCACCTGACAATAACAATATCTGGGTCATCTCTGCATCTGCTTTTGTTGATTTCCTTGTCTCTTAGAAGATGATTGCTTCTTTTTCCTTTTTTCTGTCTCAGAATTTTTGTGTTATTGCTGGACATCATGTATAGAACAGTAGAGACTGAGGCAAAAGTATTATGCCCGGAGTGGGCAAACCTTTTCTCCTATACTGTTAGTGTGGGGTTGAGTCACTCTGGTCAGAAGTTCAGCTGGGTTTGGGTTTTCTTGTTGGTCTGGTTATGTTCAGTGCACCCCCATCCTCACTGAATTCTTCTAGTCCTACCTTCTACTTATGGAGGAGTCTGGGGTGCTGAAGGGTTTTTCTCAATGTTCCTGCTCCATATTCAGCTATAGACCTTCTCTGTGTGCCTCTGTTACAGACAAGGGTCTTTCTCTATGCTCATGGCCCTCTTGCAGGAGTAGACTCTTGTTTCTTGTTACTTGGTACGTGGTAGCCTGGTGATTGGAGTTATTGGGTTCTCTGTTGTCCTGGCCAAGCCTCAGCTTTGGGTGGGCCTGTGTGCCAGTGTCATTAATCTGCAACTTTCAAAGTGATGGTGTCCCTCCTGCCCATGGTGGCCAAACACTTTGTGTCTTTGGCTGGACTCTTGTGGGAGAGGTCTTCAATAGTATTGGTATAGGATCCTGGGCCCATTCCCTACCCCTGGGACTGAGGCTTTTTATTTTTACTCTTCTCCTAGCCCCAGTGGGTCCTCTCTTGTGCTCTATGGAAGATAGTCCTTGCTGTGCCTCCTCCAGAGGCTTAAGACGGTTTTTTCCTAATGGAGTAGGGTCCAGGTGGGACTTATGTCTTTCCTGCATCTGCTCCCTTTCTCAAGGTCTGTGCCATCGTTTTCATTTCCTCCCCAACCCCTGACCTTTCTTGTAAATATTTGCTGGAACTCTGTGGAAAAGAGCCTTTAACTGGGTGCAGACCTCCTTGTGTCTGCTAAGGTTGTATATTCTCATGCAAGCCCACACTCAAACATTTGCAACTTTTTAGAATTGCAGCTGAGTTCTTCTTACCTGCCTCTGTGATGCTCAGCACCTCCTCCTCTTGTGCGCCACAGGCGGGCAGGTGTTTATGTCCTGCATTGGAGCTACCCTCATTTCTTCGGGTTTCAGGATACTTGGTTGCCCATACCCTCAGATCTCTGATAGGTCCAGCAAAGTGATGATTTTGTAATTTGTCTACCTTTCATCATTAGGGCAGGGGTGGTGGTTTTTTTCTAGCTTTCTGCAGCCCAGGTGGAAGAGGAGCACCATAGTTTTTCTCTATTCAATTTTTGTCTTTCTTTGGGATTTTCCTCTAAATATTTCTGAAAATAATCTTGATTTCTTCCCAAGTTTGATTTGTAATCCAGGGGAAGTAGTTTTGATTTTCAATGCTGGGGCTAATGGGGTTGGCAGAACAGCTTCAGGTTTGCAGGCCCTCTGATTCTCTGTGCTGAAGAGAGAAAGGTCCACTTGGTTGGGTTGAATTTTTGAAAATTTACAGCAAATTGAACCTAGTAACGAAAGGACTTAGGATAATCCTTTTTAAATTATTTATAGGGCTTAATTTCTTTTAAACCCTATTGATTGGCTTGACCTATTTTATTGCCTCACTGTGACAAGATCTGATTAACAAATATCTGAAATTGTTCTCCTTCGTGCCAGTCCCCATATCTTGCAAAATAGTTTTACTTTTATTTTCTAAATTTGTCCTCTTGGAGCTATAGATATTCTGGGAAACCTAGACCAAAATTAACTACCCAGAAATCAGAATCCTTTGAGGACTCACTGACCTAGCTATTCTGGAATTCCAAAGCTATGGTTCTGGGTTTTTTTTTTTTCCTTTTCTTTCTTTTTGTTTTTTAGATGGAGTCTCCCTCTGTTGCCAGGCTAGAATGCAGTGGTGCGATCTCAGCTCACTGCAACCTCTGCCTCCCGGGTTCAAGCGATTCTCCTGCCCCAGTCTCCCAAGTAGCTGGGACTACAGGCACGCACCACCATGCCTGGCTAATTTTTGTATTTTTAGTAGAGACGCGGTTTCACCATGTTGCCCAGGATGGTCTCTATCTCTTGACCTCATGATCCACCTGCCTCAGCCTCCCAAAGTTCTGGGATTACAGGTGTGAGCCACTGCCTGGTTCATGTTCTTTAAGAGAAAATGGCTTCTCCTTGCAATTCTCTCTGTTTGCAATGTTTTCTCTGTCGCTAAAGCACAGACTACTTCACTGTATCTTCAAGCAGGGAGTACAAAAGGGGAACATTGCCCAGCCATGCTCATGTGCTGATGCCAGGCTCAGATCCTCTGATCCTCTCGTAAAACACAGCCTTGATGAGCCTTGCTCAAGTCTAAATTTCATGGCCACTGGAGTCATTTCCAGAACTGACTATTTAGAATGGCAATTAATTTATGGTAATTAACTCTAGTGTTAACCACTTGTTAGGCTTGGCAATGATGCTTGAAGTTTAAAGAGAGGGAGAGAAAAGGAGAAGGAGGAGGGTTTATCCAGGCAAATGACAAAAATATAGCTGGAGGACTCACAAAAGTAAATATGAAGAATTTGTTTGCGCAGGAGTATTTTATATCACCATTCTGTGAAAGAATCCTTCTTTTAAACTAATGCCCATAGTTAAAAGTGACAAAACAAGCTTCTTTTGTTTGACTAGGGTCTTGGCTTCAATCAGCAGTATTATTAAGAGCTGAGCAATGCTCTTCATTAGGCAGTGAGACTCATTAATAATACCATTCATTGGTCTAGGGGTTCCTCTGGGAGGGGACGGACTTTGCAGCATGCACATTCTCATCCAAATGGTTCACGAGGACCCTACGTGGTCTGACAGTGCTGGAGGACACGGTTCAGGGTAGAGAGGGGTCAAACCTCACCCCCAGCTCCTGAAGAGTGCAGAGGAAAGGGGCTAGCCCAAGACGGAGTTGATGAGGTGACAGCTATGGCTCTTTACCACCCGAAGTGCTTGAGATGATGTCTGTTCCGGAGACTAAGACGTCTTGTTGCTCATTCATCTCACATTGTCAGTAAGTGAGGAGCTCCTCAGTATGAATGGTCTAGATGGGGGTCAGAAAATGATAACCAGGGACCAAACCTGGCCCACTTCCCAATTTTGTAAATAAAGTTTTATTGGGAACACGGCCACGTCTATTTACATAGTGTTGTTTATGGCTGTTTTCATTTAGCCCACAGAGAAAGAGCTTGCCAATTCCTGTTCCAGATCATGGAAGCAGCAAAACATTGTCATGATTTCAGGGGGAAATATTTCCAGAATATCTATGTTGTCTGTTTTTAAGGTGAGAATACATGAGTAATAATTTGACTTATGAGAAAAACCTCAGCCACTGGGCATTCAGTGTAGGGACAAACATCTTCACACCACCAGGAGTCCTGAGGACATGATTGTGTGCTGTTTCCAACGACAATCTTAAGCCACCAAGATAATAATTTTGCCCTTTTTTTCCTTGTTTTAATATTGTTTTTCTTACCATCAGGCTGTTAGCATTGATGCTGTTGTTACTCACACCTGCTTCTGAATGTCCTAACTTTTGTTAGAGGACTGATACAATGCTTCTAACCACAGCTGTTGAAGAAAAAAGAAAATCATCCGGAGGAAACTGTGTCTAAAGTCAGTGGGAAAGGGCTGCTTCTGATCTGTTTATTCCAGGGCCCACCGTGAGGGCTGTTGTGGCAACTGTCTCACTGAGTCAATATCGATGAAGGATGACTTTGTGCAGGGTCCGCTCTGCATCTGTCCCGGGTCTCACTGTCTAGTGGGGGGAGCCAGTCGCTTACCTGTCACATGGATGCATCTTAAATACAGACTCAGGAGCAGGCTCTAGAAAGGAGTGTGGTTCTCCCTCGGCAGGGAACTGAGGAATCTGACCATGCCTGGAAGGCTTCTGTGGGCAAGTGGTGGCAGGGAGCAGGAGGAATTGCCTTGAGGAGGAGTCTGGGCTGAGGGTGAGCAAGCCATCTGCAGGGCTGTGTGGTAGGGGAGTCAATGGGGAGGGGAGGCCCTCATTCCTGCAGGGCTGTGTGGTTGCGGGGGCATGGGGAGTGGAGGCTTTCATTCCTGCAGGGCTGTGTGGTGGGGGACCACGTGGAGTGGAGACCCTTGTGTCTGCAGGGCTGTGGGGTAGGGGGCTGTGAGGAGTGGAGGCCCTCATGCCTGCAGGGCTCTGTGGTGGGGGGCCATGGGGAGTAGAGACCCTTGTGCCTGCCAGTCTCTATGATAATGGGGGACCATGGGGAGTGGAGGCCCTTATGCCTGGGCCTGTGAGGCGAAAGTGTCTGCCTATGGGCCAGATCATGTAGGACCCTACAGACCATGGAGAAGGGGTGGAAACGCTTGGAGGGTCTTGGGTGTGTCTAAACAGGGATGGTGGGCAATGAGATCGCTAGGATTATTCTTGCATTTTGCCACGTTTCCTGGAGCATCAGTTCAGAAAGGACCAGAGGGAGGGAGGAGCCCAGGAAGGGACCTCGAGGTTTTAACCGGTAGAGACTACCTTATGTCCCTTGAAGGCCCTTAGATCAGGCCCTGTGCTGATCACATGACCTCCTCGTTGTGACCTTTCGAGTCTCATGACTTTCCTTGCTAGCACCCAGACATCGAGAGAAACCAGTGGAGAAAGTGTTGCGCCTAGGTTCTGATCTCAATTGTACCACTAGCTCATTGTGTAAAACAAGGAAGTACCAAATGTATAAGACCCCTTTTTTCACCCAGAAGCCTTGTCACTAGGAGATTCTCGTGCTGGGCCAATCACATGCAGTCACAGGCAAGACTCAGTCTAGATCCAGATACTGAGCCACAGTCCACAGATCATGAGCCCTTCCTTTCTTTCTTTAGGCTCATCTGAATTCTTAAATTGTCACATGTTTCTGCTTTTAAAAAACAAACAAAGCTTCTAGGTTGTATTAGTGCTATCGCAATTCCAAGTTCACAGGTGATGAGATGAAAGATTTGCTGGTACGTCGCCTTCTGGCCACTTAGATAGTCCCATAACATTGAGACAGAGACGGGGCTTGGCTTCAGCTCACCTCCAGTAGAGCATTCCCATTGCTCACAAAACCCACACCAATATCTCACGGACACCATAATGTTTAACTGTGCCTTTTACTTAAAGAATTCCAGGAACTGGCCTTAGGAGATAACCAAGGTCGGTAGTGTCCTGTCCTGGGAAGGAATGCTAAACAATCGATTTATAGCCTTGTTGCTGCAGGCCAGACTACCAGGTGGCCCATTGCTCAAGAGAACCACGGCAGCCAGATAATGCTGACCTGCATCCCCTACCCCTCACGTGCTTTGCCCAGCCAGCCTGCATACCCTACTCCTGATGTCAATTCCTGAGTGTTGCCTAATAAAAAAGCCCTACTGACTCTTTCTGGAAAGTCAGTCAGGGAATTCTCTCTCCCTCTCATGCTGCCCTCATTATGTCCAGGAGTCAGCTCCAATAAAATCCTGTCTGGGGAAACTTTTTTGGCCTCATGTCAAATTCTATGGCATTGAGAGCCCAAGAACCAGTGGTCGGTAACAAAATGGCAAGTGAATTTTGGCTTGTTCACTAATGTCCTGGGCTTACCCTCAACTTGGCTTCTTCAGAAACTCAATTTTGCCAATGCACCTAGGGGTGAAGTTTCCTTAGAGGCAGATGTGCTTGTCTCTCCAAGGCTGGTGCATGTCTCTACCTGTAGTGAAGGCTGTGGGATGCAGACACACATAGGTGCACCCACTGTACCTGCATGCATGTGCACATATGTTAACAAACCTTATGCTGGTTTGTTAAGAGTTGGGTGAAACGTGCCTGCACAATAAATGCTTGGGGCAGCCCAACAAGTGTGTTCTCCTACCTGTGCCTGCCTCAGGGGATGCCGTAGGCAGATGGTTTCCTGGGAGCATAGAGTCAGCACAAGGGAAGCTGTTGGTCTCAGGAAGGTGGCCTCAGGGGAGGGTTACCACACATGTTGGTAGGGTCTATATTAGTTTTCTTGGGTGGCCTTAACAAACTACCGTGGGCAGGGTGGCATAAACAACAGACATTAATTTTCTCACAATGCTGGAGGCTGGAAGTCCAATGTCAAGGTGTTGGCAGGGCTGGTTTCTCCTGAGTCCTCTCTCCTTGGCTTGCAGATGATGTCCTCTCCCTGTGACTTTACATGGTCTCCCCTGGGTGCGTGTCTGTGTCCTAATCTTCCCTTCTTATAAGGACACCAGTCATATTGCGTTAAGATCCAACCCAATGGCCTCATTTAATCTTAATTACCTCTTTAAAGACCCTATCTCCAAATACAGTCACATTTTGAGGTACTGGGGGTTAGGACTTTAGCATATAAATGGGGGGGGGCACAATTCAGCCCATGCCATGATTGAATCTAAGATGCCAACAACCTTTGTTCTAAGAACCTGCATTTCTTGCCATACTGCTATTGCTGACAAACTCCTTTTTTCTATAAGCATGCTATGACACAAATGCATAGATTTCTGCTTATTACATGCCAATCACAATGTAATCCTACCTTCCTGAGATTTTTCTCAGTTGGTCTCTGAGTGTCCCCAGACTTTTCTGTCACACATTAGCAACCTCTTGGTTTGTTCCTGGGGTTGACCATTCACATGCACTGTGTGACAGTTTTACTGAGCTCAGAGAGGGGTCATGTGCAAGTTCTTTGAGGGCACCTTTCTTTTTTTTTAAGATAGGGTCTCACTCTGTGGCCCAGGCTGGATAGAGTGCAGTGGTGCAATCTCAGCTCACTGCAACCTCCGTCTCCCGGGTTCAAGTGATTCTCACGCCTCAGCCTCCTGACTAGCTGGGACTACAAGCACATGCCACCACGCCCAGCTAATTTTTATATTTTTACTAGAGACGGGGTTTTGCCATATTGGCCAGGCTAGTCTCAAACTCCTGACCTCAGGTGATCCACCTGACTTGGCCTCCTAAAGTGCTGGGATTACAGGTGTGAGCCACTGTGCCTGGCCTGGGGGCAACTTTCTACCTCACTCTTTCATCCTCTCCACAAATTGCCTATAGATATGACTATAGTTCTTGTACATAAGAAATGGAATATAAAGAATTATTGGACTGAAGCCAAGGAAATTGTAGAGAGAAAATCTGAACAAAGAAAACATTTACTTCTGTGGGTAACACAATATTGGTAAAAATCCAAAAATATCTTGACAGCCTGGAGCAGTGGACTGACTGTAAAAAGATGACGTCTGATTGGGGATAATTGTACAGTTGGGTATTTGCGTTAAGATGATTCAGCTGTGAAACGTAAGATGGAGGAGATGCGGCTTCTCAGCAGGAAGAAGATGCCGAGGCTTTGGTTGCCTGTGCGTTTGCTGTGAGTCACTGTGTGTGTGTTGGCTTCCAGGAGTCAATGCCAGCTTAGCTCGGGCAATGACGGGATTTTGTCTAAAACGAGAGAGGGAACAATCTCATTTTCTCTTGGGACAGATCAGATTACTGTGGGGCTAATTCTTCAGATGTGAGCACCACATTTTAAAGGGGGGAGAGCAAAGTGAAGTAATAGTTCTCGAAACACTGTCCTGGAGGAAGAGTGATGAAGGAATGGAAGGCATTATAGAGAGAAGACCTAGGAGAGGAGGAACATGCTGGACATGTCAAATATCTGCAATGTTGTCAGGTAGATAATAGATGGGACTCGTTCTATGGGGATACAGCATGAAGATCCCTAGGTGGAAATTAAGGGGAATTTGATTATTTACCTACATAATATCTATTAGCTATCTAAGGTTGGTGCCCTTAAATTGTATATATTTAAGCAGAAGCTAGGTTTGGAGAGAAACTTGAAGATGATGTAGAAGAGATTCAATTATTGAGAATAAAATAAAAAACATGGTTAAATAATAGAGAACAATCAGGAAGAAACAAGTTCAAAATATGTCTAATTAGAGCAAACATGAATGTGTGAATGCAGCTATTAAAAGATGCATAATCCGGCTGGGCACTGTGGCTCATGCCTGTAATTCCAGCATGTTGAGAGGCCGAGGTGGGCAGATCACAAGGTCAGGAGTTCAAGGCCAGCCTGACCAACATAGTGAAACCCCGTTTCTACTAAAAATACAAAAATTAGCTGGGTGTGGTGGCATGCACCTGCAGTCCCAGCTACTTGGGAGGCTGAGGCAGGAGAATCATTTGAATCTGAGAGGTGGAGGTTGCAGTGAGCCAGACTGCATCACTGCACTCCAGCCTGGGCGACAGAGCAAGACTCCATCTCAAAATAAATAAATAAATAAATAAATAAATAAATAAATAAATAAATAAAGCATAATCCAAATATATGTTGTTCACAAGATAAAACATGAGCTCACCCAAAACGTTTAAAATTTAAGAGCTAGAAAACGATACACCAGATAAATATTAAGAGAATGGAAGCTAGCAGTTGTAGCTAGAAAGTAGCAATACTAATAATAATAATAATAAAAAAATCTCTGATTGTATCACTGGACTCCAGCCTGGGAAATAGAGTGAGACCCTGTCTCATAAAGAAAAAAAAAAGGAAAGAAAATAAAATAAAAACTGATATAATTCAAGGTTGCATTTATTTCTCTCTTTTAATTCTCTGCATAGCACCTATCATTTATATTTTCTCTCCCCCTCTACTCCACGCTAGACTATAAATTTTGTGAGAACAGAGATCTTGTTTGTTCTGTTCAGTGCTGAATTTTTACTGTCTGGAACATTTCTTTGGTCATAGCAAGTGCTCAGTAGATATTTGTTGAATGAAGACATAACCCCTAAGACTTCTTTGAGTTCTGAGATTCTAGGATGGAGGGTGTGGGAACTGGCCTTGTTCAGGTTATCTAGTGCTGCATAACAAATCACTCTAATGCTACAGGCTCAATTATACTGGACATCCAAAATGGTGCACTCATTCGGCTAGCAGATGATGCTGATTGTCAGCTGGGATCGTGAGCATCTTTACAGATGCTCCTTGACTTATGACGGAGTGACATCCTAACAAATCCATTGTAAGTTGAAAATATAAGTGGAAAATGCATTTATTACACGTAACCTACCAAACATCATAGCTGAGCCTAGTCTATCCTAAATGTGCTTGGAATGCTTACATTAGCCTACAGCTAGGCAAAAATCATCTGGTAACACAGTGCACTGTAGAGCATTGGTTGTTTACCCTGGTGGTCTCATGGCTGACTGCGAGCTGTGGCTCAATACAAGAGAATCATGCTGCAGATTGCTAGCCTGGGAAAAGGTCAAAATTCAAAATAAGGTTTCCATTGACTGGGCATGGCTTTCACACTATTGCAATGTTGAAATATTGTTAACTTGAACCATTGTAAGTCAGAGGCTGTCTGTAAATGGCCTCTCCCTGTGGCTTGGGCTTCTGGTAGCTGGGTGGCTGGAATCCAGTGGTAAGTGTTGTAAGAGATAGGAAATGGAGCTGCCCATCTCTGAAGGCCTGAGCCTGGAAATGAGACAGTGCTACTTCTGTCACAATCCCTGGTCAGGAAGTCATGGAGCCACCTGGGACCAAGGGAGAGGACATGGAGCCCCTCCTCAATCCCCTTCTCAATGGAGAAGAGTCAAAGAATTTGTGGTCATCTTCAATCTGCCACAGACATACAAATGAGGAGAACTTTCTGTTTTATCACTACAGATGACAGTAACTGACAGGTGTGATTTGCTGAGTGTGATGGTTAATGCTGACTGTCAACTTGATTGGATTGAAGGATGCAGAGTATTGATCCTGGGTGTGTCTGTCAGGGTGTTGCCAAAGGAGATTAATATTTGAGTCAGTGGGCTGGGAAAGACAGACCCACCCTTAATCTGGGTGGGTATCATTTAATCAGCTGCCAGGGAGGCTAGAAGATAAAGCAAGCAGAAAAATGTGAAAAGACTAGACTGGCCACCCTCCCACCCTCCCAGCCTACACCTTTCTCCCGTGCTGGATGCTTCCTGCCCTTGAACATCGGACTCCAAGTTCTTCAGTTTTGGGACTCGGACTGGCTCTGCTTGCTCCTCAGCTTGCAGATGGCCTATTGTGGGACCTTGTGATCGTGTGAGTTAATACTTAATAAACTCTCTGTTATGTATGTATCTATCCTATTAGTGCTGTCCCTCTAGAGAACCCTGACTCTATTATTTATCCTATTAGTTCTGTCCCTCTAGAGAACCCTGACTGAGTGTGAGGCACAGCTCTCCCAAGGGAAGGAAAAGCTCACCATGGAAGAAAAGAGTGCCATTCCAGAATCACTGCAAAATGTGTGGGCTGGACCAGGTGCCATCTAAAATCTTTTTCATTCTTTTTTTGAGATGGAGTCTCGCTCTGTCACCAGGCTGGAGTGCAGTAATACAATTTCAGCTCACTGCAACCTCTGCCTCCCAGGTTCAAACGACTCCTGCCTTAGCCTCCCAAGTAGCTGGGACTACAGGCACGCGCTAGCATGCCTAGCTAATTTTTGTATTTTTAGTAGAGTTCACCATGTTGGCCAGGATGATCTCAATCTCTTGACCTAGTGATCTGCTGCCTTGGCCTCCCAAAGTGCTGGGATTACAGGCGTGAGCCACTGCGCCCGGCCTCTAAGACCTTTTTCTGGTGCTGACATTCTTAGAGGGAAACGTCAACAAACAGACCAGGGAGGAAGTCACAGTGATTCAGTTAAACCTCAGAAGGTTGCAGGTTTCATGAAGGGAAAGAATTTGAGGTCTGCCACTAGTAATCACACATGTCCACTTTTACATTATGGAGCACTTTTTTTCTGCAGCTGCCCTTCTGGAATCTGGTGCCAAGAACAGTGTCGTAAGTCGTACAACACCTGTCTTGGGGACTGTAATACCTCAGGGAAGTGCCGTATACGTCATGAAGATGCTAACACCTACCTGTCCCCTGAGTGACGGAGTCAGCCTCTGTGCTGCATGGTACTTCTCCTCTCTAAAAACAACGCTGAAATAAAAAGCAATGATGGGCTTTTCAGTGCTTTTGGCCACGGCAAATTTTTAGATGTTAGACACGTTTGGGAAATGGTTAATTAATTTCTCTTGCTTTCTTACCTCCTTTTCCAGGGTGGTAGAAGCCCTCCCCTTTATCTAGGGGTCCCTGAGAGAAGCCCTCAGGTCCTGAGTGGGGTCACAACCCCCTTGCCAGGCTAGGGCAGAGGAAAAACAGGTGCTTCCTGACCTTGACCCATATTCTGTTGTCATGGAGCAAGACCCTGGAGCCCTTCTAGAAACCCATGCCGCTTTTACACATGTTATCTGGTTCCACAGAGCCTCCTACAGCACGGAACAATGACAGGGACAGCATGGGAGCCTGGTGGAGGCCTGGGGAGGCCTGGGGAGGCTCAGAATACCAGTTCAGAGGCTCCCTTTGCAAGGAAAAACCAACCCTGCTCTTTGCCTTCACTAATTGCTGTGGGTCTTTGGAACATGCTGTAATTGGATGAATTATTTCTCTCAATCATTTCATAAATGTTCATAGACGGCCCCCTGCTTTGCTCCACACATCAGGCACTGTGGACCATGTATAGGGGGAAACTGGCAATCAGTGCTGTGTTAATTTCCTAGGGCTGTAGTGAAGTACAGCAGATTGGGTGGCTTAAGACATTGGGTGTTTATTTCCTTTCTGTTCTGGAGGCCGTTCCTTCTGGAGGCTTTCAGGGAGAATCTGTTTCATGCTTCTTCCAGCTTCTGGTTGGGTTTGTAGATGCACCACTCCAGTCTCTGCCTCTGTCTTTGTTGTTGTTGTTGTTAATATTTATTTGTTTATTTTTTATTTCAATAGGTTTTTGAGAAACAGGTAGTATTTGGTTACATGAATAAATTCTTTAGTGGTGATTTCTGAGATCTTGGTGCACCCATCACCTGAGCGGTGTACACGCTACCCAATGTGTAGTCTTTTATCCCTCATCCCCCTCCCACCCTTTCCCCAAATCCCCAAAGTCCATTGTGTCATTCTTATACCTTTGTATCCTCATAGCTTAGCTCCCAGTTATGAGTGAGAACATACGATATTTGGTTTTCCATTCCTGAGTTACTTCACTTAGAATAATGGTCTCCAATTCCATCCAGGTTGCTACAAATGCCATTATTTCATTCCTTGTTATGGCTAAGTAGTATTCCATGTTGTGTGTGTGTGTGTGTGTGTGTGTGGGTATGTGTGTATGTATACACATATATATACACATATACCCACACACATATAAAAATCACAATTCTTTATCCACTCATTGATTGATAAGCACTTGGACTGGCTCCATATTTTTGCAATTGCAAACTGTGCTGCTGTAAACATGCGTGTGCAAGTATCTTTTTCGTATAATGACCTCTTTTCCTCTGGGTAGATACCCGGTAGTGGGATTGTTGGATCAAATGGCAGTTCTATTATACTTTCAGTTCTTTAAGGAATCTCCACACTGTTTTCCACAGCGGCTGTACTAGTTTACATTCCCACCAGCCATGTAAGTGTTCCCTGTACACCACATCCACGGCAACATCTATCATTTTTTGACTTTTTGATTATGGCCTTTCATGCAGGAGTGAGGTGACGTCGCATTGTGGTTTTGATTTGCATTTCCCTGATCATTAGTGATGCTGTCTGCCTCTGTCTTCAAGTGGCCTTATTACCTGTGTGTGTCTCGGTGAGTTCTCTCTTATAACCCCAGTCACTGGGTTTTGACCCCACCCTAATCCAGTATGACTTCATTATCACTGATTTCTTAACTAATCACAACTACAAAGACCCTATTTCCAAATAAGGTCACATTCTGAGGATCCATGTGGGCATGAATTTTGGGGGATAACACTCAACCCACTCCATGTACCCTAATGCAAATGCTATGAAAGAGCAGAAAAGAGACCACGTGGAGGCAGGAAAGGCTTTGGGGAAGCCAAGCGACATGGAATCCTTGGACATAGGTAGCATTTGAATGAGAAAGGAAGAAGGAGAAAGGGCCCTCAAAGAAACAAGAGCATGCACGGTACCCCAAGCTCAGGTTGCCTGCTCTTGCCGGGATAGGGGCTGGGGCAATGGTGGGGGAACAGGGAACCTTAGAAAATGAGGTTCTAAGACCAGCTGGGAGCAGGCAGTGGGCAGCCTCAACTGCCAGGCTGGGTTGGGCTTTTCTGGGTCTTGGGCCCTTTTCCATAAGTGGAGACAAAGACCGTCCTCTCCTGGTCCCCACGGGCTGCTGCTCCCGCTGGTGCTCTGTACCTCCAGGGGCAGCTGGGCAGGAACAGGCAGGTCGAGGCATGCACAGGTGACTTAGGTGACACCAAGCCTGTGGAATTCAGTGAACAAGACTCCCCTCCCCCATGGAGGCTGCCAGAGCTGAGCTGCTCCTCGACCTCCCAGTCAGTAAAAGGGTTCTTGCATGGACAAACCCCCCAAAACAGAGACCACCACGCTCCAGCCACAGTTTCCTCTGGGCTGGGGGAGGGAGGGGAGAGGGCGATTAACATACTCAAAACTTTGCATTCGCTCAACGTGCTACACCACGGCACAAATATCAAATCACAAATATCAAACCACAAAGACGTGAATTTTCTCAACAACACAACAAGTCATCATTCTGAACCTAAAGTCCACATACAAACAAGTTGTTCGATTTCAAATGGACAGTTTCACTCCATTGTTGTCAAAAATGGAGGAACAGCAGGAAATGTAGGAGAACACTTCACACCCAGAGTGCTTCCAAGCAAAGCTACTGCCCCGCAAAAGGCATTTATTAATCTCATTACTGGCCCTAATTTACCCCATTTTGACAATTAGTTTAAACTACTGAGAAAGAAGGGGCCTCCCACGGCTTCAGGGAAGGGAAAGATAGGAAGCACCCATTTATCACGCAGTCATCGTGGGAGCCTCCCTGGTCCACCCTCCCCCAGCCCCAGCTCCCTCCTTTGCAGAGACGCCTGCCTGCCTTTGATCCCTGGGCTGGACCTATGGGAACTTTCTCCCTGCGTGCCTACTTGAGGGCAGGGGCTCTGCCTGCCTCCTGCAACTCGGGCGCTGTCCATTTACCTCCAGCCCTGTGCTGGGGCCCCGCAAGGGCTCATTCAGCCTGGAACTGGGATTTCTGGCTGTCAGTGGGGATCTTGGTGATGTCATAGCTGTTCATCTGACCTCTGTCTGACAACAGCTGCTTCAATTCGTTTGTGGAAATGGGGAACCATCCATCTTTTCCATCTTTTCATACCCATGCTGACACTGACAGCCTCAAAGAACTCGGGGCAGTGAAGTTGCCTTCCGTCAGCCCTGGAAATGTAATTGAGGGAGCCGTTCCATAACACTAAGAAGAATCAAACCCCGAAGTCTGTGGTTCTGCATGAATACAGCAGGCAAAGTGGATTGCTTCCTCTGTGCCATATGAGGATGGCATGTGAGGATGTGCCATATGAGGATGTGCCATATGAGGGGCTGTTCTGGAAGACTGAGGGCTCCATTCGAAGGGGCGGCCCTCCTGGTGACAGATAGGGGTTCTCCATCAAGGTGAACCTTAGAATCACTTGGGAAGCATTTCAAGTTGCAACCAGACCCCACGTCAGACCTCAGGGGCTGAGCTGGGGAGGGAGCTTGGACTTGTGGGCAACCGATAGTGCACTCTTGTCTTTTTGGAACTTTTATCACATTTTCTGAATACATGTAAGTTATGTTCATGGTTTTTTAAAAATGGGGCCAGTAAAGAATAAAGACAGCATAAGGAGGACATTAAAGTGAACTGTAGTCCTCCCAACCTCCTTTAAAATGCTGATGTCTGTCCTTCCAGACTGCTTTCCAGAAAAGAAAGGCAGATTATGAAGGAAGTGCCAATTATGGGAAGAGCAAGCCCCTACCCACAACCCTGGGGGTACTGTACCCGTCAGGAATGGAACTCTCAGAAGTGTATGAAATTGCACAATATAAGGCATGGACTCATGGACTTATTTATGCTGCAAATGTGTAAAAATTGTTAAAAAAGAATTACTTCAGGATAAAAAATAAAATCCTGCTGCTGCTCCCAAATCATCACCTCTCCCCAAATGTTTTAGCTGTGATACCGTAGATAGTATATATGTTTTTTTTTTTTACTTAAGATTATGCAGAGTATACTGTTTATTACCTACTTTTCTTACTAAACTACAAATTATGAACATTGCCCCATGTCATTACAAAATTTTTTTTAAGAGATAGGGGTCTTGCTCTTGTCACCCAGTGGTGCAATCATAGCTCACTGCAGCTTTGGACTCCTGAGCTCAAGCAATCCTCCTGCCTCAGCCTCCCAAGCAGCTAAGACTACAGGCTTGAGCCACTGTGCCTTGCTCAAATTTTTTTATTCGCTGTATATACAAGGATGAAGAAGATAAGCTGGTAAGTCAAATCAACTGGGTTTGAATTCTGGTTCTCAGAATTACTAGCAATATGTCCTTAGGTGAGTTAATTGACATCTCTGTGCCTTATTCCGTCCTCTGAAAAGAAAAAAGATAATGCTAGCATACACCTCATAGAGTTGTTGTGGGAAGCTGAAACCAAGTGCTTTCAGTTTGCAAAGCAATGCCCAATACATTCTATTATTATTTTTCTTTTAATGTAAATTTTAATGGCTGCTTAGTAGCCCACCACATAGATATTCTACAAATTATTTTACCATCTGTGAATTTTGTGTTTCCATTTATTTGCCACTATAAAAATGATATGATGAATAACTTTTTTTTTTTTTTTCCTGAGACAGAGTCTTACTCTGTTGCCCAGGGTGGAGTGCAGTGGCGCCATCTTGGCTCATTGAAAATCCTGGCTCCTGGGTTCAAGTGATTTTTGTGCCTCAGCCTCCCGAGTAGCTGGGACTACAGGCGTGCACCAGCGCATCTGGCTAATTTTTGTATTTTTAATAGACATGGGGTTTTGCCATGTTGGCCAGGCTGGTCTCAAACTCCTGACCTCAGGTGATCTCCCTGCCTTGGCTTCCCAAAGTGTTGGGATTACAGGCGTGAACCACTGTGCCTGGCCAATGTAATGAATATCTTAGTGCCTACCACTTAGACAAAATTCCTAGATTTATAATTTTTTTGTTTTTTTATTTTGTTTCTCCATATATAGTGAACTATGGAAGTGGACTTTTTGCAGCATAATTTTCATTTATAATGCAGTCTAGATAAAGTTCAAAATAGTCAAGTGGGGTGGGTGTTTGTTGCATAGGCTTGCTACTTCGATGTATATAAGAAAATACACTCATCATTATCAACCAAACAGAACTACTTGTGATGCTTGGGATATCCTACTTGTCCTCAGACAGTGAGTGCGTAGATAACTCTCTGGAGAAGGGGTGACTTGGTGGAGCCAAGTGTTTGCCACTGGGGTCACACCTGGGCTCTGTCTTCATCCCCTCTTCCACGGGGTCTCTTCTTCCAGGTCCCAGGCACTAAATCTTGGATTTCAGGCCTGCATGGCCGTCTTCTTGACTGTGTGGACCCCACCGGGCACTGCCGTATCTCTCTGGCCCTCATGTTACAGGACAGGGGTCCCGATCCAGACCCCAAGAGAGGGTTCTTGGATCTCATGCAAGAAAGAATTCAGGGCGAGTCCATAAAGTGAAAGCAAGTTTATTAAGAAAGTAGAGGAAGAAAAAATCGCTCCTCCGTAGACAGAGCAGCCCCGAGGGCTGCTGGTTTGTATGATTATTTATTGATGATATGCTAAACAAGGAGTAGATTATCCACGCCTCCCCTTTTTAGACCATATAGGGTAACTTCCTGTTGTTGCCATGGCATTTGTAAACTGTCATGGCGCTGGCGGGAGTGTAGCAGTGAGGATGGCAAGAGGTCACTCTTGTCGCTATCTTGGTTTTGGTGGGATTTGGCCGGCTTCTTTATGGCACCCTGTTTTATCAGCAAGGTCTTTATGACCTGTATCTTGTGTCAACCTCCTATCCCATCCTGTGACTTAGAATGCCTTAACCGTCTGGGAATGCAGCCCAGTAGGTCTCAGCCTCCTTTTACCCAGCTCCTGTTCAAGATGGAGTTGCTCTGGTTCACACGCCTCTGACACTCACAACACACCTGCTTAGCAGGACTCCTTTCCCCAGGCTTCTCAAGGCTTTTGTGATTTCGTCCTCCTCTGCCCACCAGGAGGGATGAGAAGGAGCCAGGTCTGAAATGGCAAGGGGAAAAGGGTTCCAGGCGTTGGAAAGAGCAGGAGGGAGGCAAGACCAGGTACAGAAGAGGGACTTTGTGGCTGGACACACAGGCAAATGCCACGGCTTCAGGGGGAGGCAGCACCCCCACAGCCCCCGCACTGGCCAGCAGGGAGCCATCAGGCCACCTGGCTTCCTTCTCCCTAGAGGAGTTTGCTTTTCATGCCTTTCCCAAGTGTCTCTTTAACTCCATTTATCTACAACTCGGCCCTGCATTGCAGTTATGGCTAATTCGTCCACGAATCAACCAAACCAAAGGTTAGCATTTTAAAATCAGGTTTGAGTTGTAATTCAATACAAAATATAAAAGGGAGAGGAGCATAGGCCCTTCGCAGAGCCAATCCCTGCTACTTCTCATGGATCCCGTGTATTTGAGATGTCAGGGACATCCTGTCTCCATTGGTTTTGCAGCCACTGTGACTGGCTCCCAAGCCCACCTCCTCCCTGAAGCAGCAGCACTCGCCCTTCATCCAGCCATACAGTCCCCCTTCTATACCTGGAGATCCCGTCTCCCTCCTGCTGTTTGCTCTGTCATTTCATATGTGGCTCTTTCTCATCCCTCCAGGTTCATCTCAAGTGCCACCTCCTCAGAAAGGCCCTCCTTGACTGCCCTCTAAGAGCAGTCCCTCCGTAGTCACCGTGAGGTTACTCTTCTTGTATAAAGGATATGTAGGAAATCATCTGAAAACATCATGTTTTAGGTGGGTCCTCCCCAATGGACTGTAAACTCAACAACGGCAGGGAGCTCGTTGTCTTTTTCCTAGGGCTGTGTCCCATGCAACAAATATCTGCAGAGCGAATGTAGGTGCGCAAGCTAGTAGCTTTGCGGTGGAACAATACAAAAATGACTCACATCTATAATCCCAGCACTTTGGGAGGCCTAAGCGGAAGGATCGCTTGAGCCCAGGAATTCAAAGCCAGCCTGGGCAACATGGCCACACCCTGTCTCTACAAAAACATACAAAAATTAAGTGGGTGTGGTGCTATGCACTTGAAGTCCCAGCTAATCAGGAGGCTGAAGTGGGAGGATTGCTTGAGCTCGGGAGGTGGAGGCTGCAGTGAGTAGTGATTTTGCCGCTGCATTTACCTGGGTGACAAGAGTGAGAGCCTGTCTGAAAGAAAGAAAGAAGGAAAGAAAAAGAAAGAGACGATGTTGGTTTCCTATAAGAAATTACAGCAAACTTAGCTTAACCAACACAAATTTATCCTTTTTCAGTGCTGGGTCAGAGGTCTGCAAATAGGTCTTACAATGGGGCTGGTTCCTTATGGAGGCTGGAGGATGGAGTCTGTGTCCTAGCCTTTTCCAGCTTTCTTACCTCTATCTCCATCTTTCTCTACCTTTCCTCCTGATCAGGTGTTTCCTGGGGTAGAGAGGGGAGAGGGGCTGGATTTTGCTCAGAAATATTGGTGATCTCTGTTAAGTCTCCATTGCCTCCTGGGCTAACTCTATGTCATTCTCTGGCTTCCCATGATGCCACCTATGTTTTCCCAGGAAGCAGCTAGTTGTGGGTTTTGCTTTCTGGTGGGTGACCCAGCGGCCCCCTCACTGTGCAGAAACAACTGGGGAGGTTAATCAATTCTCTGGCTATGCTGATCCCTGGAGGCTGCCTGTGATTGTTGCGGAAGGCTGAACAGTAGGACTACATGGCCGGGCTAGGCCCACAGAGTGCCTTCTTCCCCATAGCTTTGCCTAGGAGGCTGTGGAAGGCTGCAGTGCCCACCTAGGGCCATCTGTATACGTGTCATTTGAACAGCAACAAGAAAGATCGCTGTATACCTAGATTATTGACATCAGAAATGACAAAATGTATCATTGATAGCTTTGAGGACATGAAACCCAAAAAGAAAAGCAGAAAAATGTACGCTTGTTTCAGGGAAATTTACAATAAGAAGGAGTAGGCAGCTGTTGCCTTTACTGCAAATTCCACAGGGCATGGGGCGTGGATTTCTTTTCTCCACGGCACTTATTTCTTTCAATGTACAATGTGGTTTACTTATTTATTATTATTACCTTATCATAAATGCAAGCTGCTCAAGGCTAGGTTCTCCCCTCCCCCATAGATTAATCCCAAGCACCTAGAAGAGTGGATGGTGGATACTCAGTAAATATTAATACAGTGAATAAGTATGGGTGGGTGAGTTTCTCAGAAGCTGTCAGGTGACACGGATTTAAAGAAAACAAAGCTCTTACCACCTGCCTGGCCCTTATAAAGGTGTGGCAGTTTTCAGAAAAAAAGCGAAGCAGGAATGTAAGGAAACAATCTAGTAGAGGAATCCTCACTGGAACATCAAATACAACTGTATACAATTAGTTACTCTTGCATGGATTAACTGATCCACAGTCCTATGAAGAAACCCTTACACCATGAGCAGGGCAGGTATGCAATTCACAGTTCACCCAATTTGATGTTAGGTTAATTTCTCGCATAGCTGTCATTGATCTCCTGGGAACAGATCTTCCTACTGTAATACTATTTCTAGGATAAAATCAGTTACCACTAAACTTTGACTCCTCACAATTGGCTCCAATGTGAAACTCTGCTGCAGGATCTAATTCACTTTTTTTTTTCTTTTGTGACAGAGTTTCGCTCTTGTTGCCCAGGCTAGAGTGCAATGGTGCGATCTCAGATCACTGCAACCTCCGCCTCCTGGGTTCAAGCGATTCTCCTGCCTCAGCCTTTTTAGTAGCTGGGATTACAGGTATGCACCATGACACCTAGCTACATTTTTTTTTTTTTTGTATTTTTAGTAGAGACGGGGTTTCACCATATTAGCCAGGCTGGTCTCGAACTCCTGACCTCAGGTGATTTGCCCACCTCAGCCTCCCAAAATGCTGGGATTACAGGCCTAAGCCACTGCGCCTGGCCTCTAATTTACTTTTTAGCTCTTCTATGGAGGTTTAATAACATTGTTAGTGAAAGCTAATTTCTCGCTTCAGACCTATCCTTGTTTATTTCAGAGTCTAGTTCTTTTCTTGTAATTTTGACTCCTCTTACTGTTGATTGTGTCTGTGGTTTGATGTGGGATATTGAAGTGCTCATTGCTGAGTGTCTGTTATGGAAGATTGCTTTATGGTTTTTGGATCCCAAACTCATGTTAAGTGTTGTTGTTTTTTTTTCTTTTTTTCCTGTGGAATTCATGAGGTTTTCTGTTTTTCTTCCTCCTGCTTTACTGAAATATAATTGACAAAATTGTATATATTTAAGGTGTACCATGTAGTGATTTGATACGTGTACACACTGTGAAATGGTGACCACAATCAAGTTAGTTAACACATCCATCACTGCACATAGTTACCTTTGTGTGTGTATGTAGATCTTGCTAAAAGATCTATTCTTTTAGCTAATTTCAATGGTGTGCATTAACTATAGTCACCATGTGATATGGTGTGGCTGTGTCCCCACCCAAATCTCATCTTGAATTGTAATCCCCATAATGCTCACATATTGAGGGAGGGAACTGGTGGGAGGTGATTAGTTCATGGGGGTGGTTTCCTCTATGCTGTTCTTATGGTAGTGAGTGAGTTCTCATGAGATCTGATGGTTTTATCAGCATCTGGCATTTCCCCTGCCACACACTTCTCCTTCCTGCCACATTGTGAAGCAGGTGCCTTGCTTCTTCACCTTCTGCCATGATTGTAAGTTTCCTGAGGCCTCCCCAGCCATGTGGAACTGTGAGTCAATTAAACCTCTTTCCTTCATGAATTACCTAGTTTCCGGTATGTCTTTATAGCAGCGTGAGAATGGACAAATACACCATGCTGTAATTAGATCCCTAGAATTTATTTATTCAGTTAGTTATTTTTTTGAGATAGAATTTCACTCTTGTTGCCCAGGCTGGAGTGCAACGGCATGGTCTCGACTCACTGCAACCTCCGCCTCCTGGGTTCAAGTGACTCTCCTGCTGGGACTACAGGCATGCACCACCACGCCTGGCTAAAATTTTGTATTTTTAGTAGAGACGGGGTTTCACCATGTTGGCCAGGCTGGTCTCGAACTCCTGACCTCAGGTGCCACCAGCCTTGGCCTCCCAAAGTGCTGGAATTACAGGTGTGAGCCACTGCACCCAGCCCAGAATGTATTAATCTAACTGAAATAGACCATTTTACCAATATTCCCCCATTTTCCCCACCTCCCAGCCATAGGCATCCATGGGGTTTTTTTGTGCCTCAGGTGTGTCACTGCTCCTGCATTATTATTATTTTTAACCATTAACTTCACAGCTTGGAGTTTCCTGTGACTATGAAATCAAACTCCAAACCGGCAGGAGGCAAAGGTGGTGTTTTATTTTTGAAGGGAGGCATTTCTCCTGTCCCAGATTCTAGCGAGTCACAGGCTTCCTGCTTCTTTTCTTGGGCTGGTCAGCACATTTTTTTTTCTAGCTCCACATGAAAAGCCCTGACGAAGCGTGGATCTCCACTCTCCCATTTCACCTCCTGCATAGACTCACCTAAGCTTGTCCTCTGTGGCTGGGTTTGTCTCCATGCCCCCACCCACCACACTCCATCCCTTACCCAGCACTATTGTTCCTGACCTAACTAGGCATTGTTGTTTTTCATTTTAGTTCTATTTTTTCCTGCCTTTTTAGTAGAAGGATTTTCACATTCATTTTGTCAAGCATCTTGCAAGAAACAGAAGTACCTTTAGTTTACATCCCACTATCCCCTCTCTTAGATGCAATAACTGAGGAAGGTGGGGAATGGATCTTCTCGGTGTCTTTTTCTCTTATTGTTGTAGCATCAGAAGCCTTGACCTTATCTCATTGCAGTCTATTACTATAACCCTACAGCAGTGGTTCTTGGCTTAGGATGATTTTGCCCCCCAGGGTTCAATCAGCAATGTCTGAAGACAGTTTTAATGTTGGGACTAGGGGGCTGCTGCTGTCATCTGGCCTGTCGGATGCCACTAGACATCCTATGATGCCCAGGAGGATCCCACAACAAAGAATTATCTGGTCCCAAATGTTCGGAGCGCCACAGTTGAGGAACCTGGTCCTAAAGGAATGGCTCTTTCTTTCTTTCTCTTTCTCTTTTTAAGTAGAGATGGTATCTTGCTATCTTGCCCAGGCTAGTCTTGAACTCCTGGCCTTAAGCAATCCTCCTGCCTTGGCCTCCCAAAGTGCTGGGGTTATAGGCATGAGCCACCGCACCTGGGCGGCACTTTCTTAATTATTAGTCATCACTGCGTGTGGTATTCTCTGTCTCCTCCCTGGCCCCAGCCATCCTTCTCACTCCTCTGCTCTGAGATCCCTCCCAGATCCACAGCTTCCGTCTCCCTGCCTGCTGGCTTCCTGTTGGCTTGGGTATTTGGGAGGCACTAATGATTGACTATTGAAGCAGGGAGAGATATCTGAATGTTTCTTTCCAGGCCTTATTTTGGTGATGGCTGTATCCCTGCGTGTCTGCAGTTCTCCTGGGCAGCCCCCTCTCCACAGCTGCCACTCTTGCTGGGCTCTTGTTGGGCCATGACCACCCCTAGGCTATTTCCTCTCCTGTCATTTTGACTCAGGTGTGTGGCAATGGCTCCCACTGTGGCTGGGCTCTGGGCACCTCAGCGCTTCTTTGCTGTGCTTACTCTGCCCACAGCTCTGTAAACGGGAACTTCATTAATTTTGCTCTTGAACCATCTGAGCAGGACTCTGTGTCCTGCCAGGATTCTGACTGTTACAGTCACCATGGTTTCATTAACTGGAGGGCACGGTAACCTCATTTAATGCACCAAATTGTCTTTCCTCTCTATCCTGTGTCTCTGCTACACTAGGCTCATGTAGTCCTGTCACCCAATAAGGTGACCTCTGTCTCTGTACATTATAGTGATATAGTGGCGTCCATCCACCGAGAGGCCTTGACCCAGATTTCTATGCTTAGGAACAACTGCAGAGATAGAGCTGAAGACAAAAGTGATTTGACTTTTGAAGGTTGGCAGCCAGATGCTGAGCTAAGGATGCCTTCATTTGTTGTTTTTAAATTATATATATATAGTTTTTTAAATTTAAATTTATTTTTTTTTTCGAGACATGGTCCCACTCTGTTGCCCAGGCTGGAGTGCAGTGGCACAATCTTGGCTCAACCGCAGCTTCCTGGGTTCAAGTGATCCTTCCACCTCAGCCTCCTGAATAGCTGGGACCACAGGTGTGTGCCACCATGCCTGATTAATTTTGCTTATTTTTCATAGAGACGGGATTTCACCATGTTGCCCAGGTTGGTCTCCAACTCCTGGGCTCAAGCGATTGTGCCATCTCAGCCACCCGAAATGTTGGGATTACAGGGGTGAGCCACAGGGCCTGGGTATTTTTTTTTTTAATGTATATCCCTTAATGTAGATATTTCCCATATTTATGTTCTCTTTGTTCTTGTTCCAATTTCTCCCCTCTCCTTGGGAATGCCTCACTCAAAGGCTTGGACCGTGTTCGCCTCACCTCTGAGAGCGGCTGAGCCCTCGCTATGTGGGTGTCTATGGGAAGTGTAATCCGCAGCTAAGAGAAGAGTGGGCCTTTTATCCCAGCTTTGCCCTGGAGTACAGTTTTATCTTCCTTTGGCTCAGGGTTGTGGGACCGAGTGGGTATGGCCCTGAGCCATAGAACTGGAGACCCGCAAAGCTGGGCAATGCCTGTGCTCTAACAGTCCATGATGGTGTTTAATGAACTCCGGGCAAGAAGCCAAGCTTGTTTGCAGGAGAAGCTGAGTCCCTCTCTGACTCTGACCTCAGAAACCTTGCCGAATGGCTCCTCCATATCCCCGGGTAGGCCACAGCTTATGATGATACTGCAAAGAGGAAGCCGTGGACAATCACGCAAGAGCCAGAAGGAGGGGCCGCTGCAGCACCGCTTGGTGGTGGGCAGGTGCCATGAGCCCACAAATGACACTGAGCCAGCTTTGGACACAAGCAACTGGAAGGGGAGGGAATGAGCGTGCATCCTCATTTTTGTGTGGGATTTGTGTGATTTAGGCTCTTTTAGAAAGACTGCTCCAGTGACAATGACAGTGAACGGAGTTGTGGACTTGCATTGTCCTGTCTTTCACCAGGGACACTAACCAAATTCTGCTCACTTGGGGGTTCTGGGTCACGTTAAGTCTCCGGGTCTCCCCCACTGTGATTGTGGGGGGCATGGTCTGAGTCTCCTTGGGGTCAGGGTTAGGTTGTGGTATAATGGGAATTTTGTGTCCACTGGAGTCCTAGTCCTACAGGAGAGTTTTGATGCCAGGGCAGGCTGTGTGTAGGAAAGATGGCACTCGATCGATGCCTCAACAGAGATGAAGTCTGAGTGAGGGCAGCCACAAAATGCTGGCTGGACCCAGGGTCCTCCCCAGGGCTGAGAGTCTACCCCTCAGTGCAGGGCACAGGTGTGCAGATTCCCTGGCTCTGTGTGGCTCCCTGACTGTAGAATTAGACCCCTGGGCTATCGGTGGAGGCTGGGGTGAGGGCCTTGCTGGGACCAGTGTGGCTGCAGACAAAAGCTATGCTTCCCCATTCTCCCGGACATTATTCAGCACTAGCAGGCAGGAATCTGTCAGAAAGGGGAAGGGACAGGCATCTGGGGCACAGGGTCCTTTGGCTCTCACTTGGGTAAGTCCCCTAGGCTGAGGGCCGGGGCTGCCTGTAGTCTCCTCTCCTGCCTCAAAGCTACATCCATTACCTGTACCTTATTGGGATCCGAGGTTTTCATGACCTTAGTCTTGGGTTGACTCTGGGATGTTTGCACTGTTTTCTTGATACTTAATAATTTTCATAATATGGTACTGCTTATTTCACCTGACTTCTAATTATTTTTGAATTAGGAAGCTTGAGCTCTTGTTCTTCCATATTTTAAAGGGAAGGATTTTACTTTAAATTTTTTATCATTTCTTTTATATTTTATCTTGTCATTTTTTTAATGTCAATTTTTGTGCCTTTTAAGTTTTAAAAATTACCTCTTAGTTTGTAACATTTCTCTTTAGAATATTTTCTACTTGATTTTCATCATATAATGATTTATTCTTATACTGGCTGATAAAATATTTAAATTTCATTTTGCTACCTTGTTCTTTACCACTGAACTATAAAACTTCTTTTCTTTTTCTTGAAACAAGGTCTTACTCTGTTGCCCAGGCTAGAGTGCAGTGGTGTGATCTCAGCTTACTGTAACCTCTGTCTCCTGGGCTCAAGTGATTCTTCTGCCTCAGCCTTCCGAGTAGCTGGGACCACAGGCATGCACCACCACAACTGGCTTATTTTTGTATTTTTTTTTTGTAGAGATGGGGTCTCACTATGTTGCCCAGGCTGGTCTTGAACTCCTGGGTTCAAGCAATTGTCTCACCTTAGCCTTCCAAAGTGCTAGGATTATAGACATGTGCTGCCATGACTGGCTCTTTTTTCTTTTTTTATACCTTTATTTATTTATTTATATCAATTCTTATGTTGTTTCTCTGTAGTGTCCTTTTACATTTTTTCAAAGTGGCAAATGGCCTAAAGTTGCATTTTTCTGAGCTGAGCAGCTTCATCTCTGCAATAACTCTTTGTCTGCAGGTTTGCAGGTACATGTTGAAGGAAAACAGAAAACAGAAACAAATACAACCTTCTTCCCTTAAACAGGAAGTTGTATTTGTTTCTATTGTGGCATAACAGCTTACCGTGCACTTGGCAGCCTCCAAAGGCTCTCATTTCTTAATGCATAGTGCTGTAGGTCAGAAGTCAGGGTGGGGCATGACTGGCTTCTCTGCTCAGGGTCTGGCGAGGCTGAAATCAAGGCATCAATGGGCTGTGCTCCTCTCTGGAGGCTCTGGAGAAGAATCTGCTTCTAGGACCATGGAGGCTGTTGGCTGTTCCTTGTGTTTGTAGGACTGAGCCTCCTGTTTCCTGGTGGTCTGCCTTCTGCTGCTAGAGGCGGCCCCCGTTCCTTTTCACGTGGCTCCCTGTCTTCAAAGCTAGCAACAAACCCCTCTCATGCCTTGAACCTCTTTCCCCCAAAAAAGCCAAGTGCCTTCACTTTCATTTTACTTATTCATTTATTTTAGAGATGGGGTCTCACTTTGTTGCCCAGGCTGGAGTGCAGTGGCACAATCGTGGCTCACTTCAGCCTCAACCTTCTGGGCTCAAGCAGTTCTATTGCCTTAGCCTCCCAAGTAGCTGGGACTATTGATGCATGCCACAATGCCTGGCTAAGATTTTAGATTTTGTAGAGATGGGGTCTGCTATGTTCCAGGTTGGTCTCAAACTCCTGGCCTCAAGCAACCAGCCTCCCAAAATGCTGAGATTACAGGTTTGAGCCACTGTGCCTAGTCCCCCTCCACTTTTAATAACAGCTTTATTGATATATAATTCACATACCATATGATTCATCTATTTAAAGCAGGGGTGTCCAATCTTTTGGCTTCTCTGGGCCACATAGGAAGAAGAAGAATTGTCTTTGGCCATATATAAAATACATTAACGATAGTTGATGAGCTAAAAAAAAATCTCAAAAAATCTCACAATGTTTTAAGAAAGTTTAAGAATGTTAGGCTGAATTCAAAGCCATCCTGGGCTGCATGTGGCCTGCAGGCTGTGGGTTGGACAAGCTTGATTTGAAGTGTAGCATTTAATTATTTTTAGTATATTCACACAATTGTGTAACAATCACTACAATCTAATTTTGGGACATTTTTATTACCTGCAAAAGAAACCCCATACCCCCTTATCAGTTCATTTCTCCCCAGTCTTCAACCCTAGGCAGCCACTGATCTACTTTATCTCTCTATAGATTTGTTTATTATGGACATTTCAATAAATGGAATTATTTAAGATGTGGTCTTTTGTGACTTGCTTCTTTCATTTACCATAATGTTTTCAAGGTTCATCCACCTGGTAGTGTGTCAGCACTTCATTCCTTTTTTTTTTTTCGAGATGGAGTCTTGCTCTGTCACTCAGGCTGGGGTGCAGTGGTACAATCTCGGCTCACTGCAACCTCTGCCACCCAGGTTCAAGTGATTCTCCTGCCTCAGCCTCCTGAGTAGCTGGAATTACAGGCATGCATCACCACTCCTGGCTATTTTTTTTTGTATTTTCAGTAGAGACAGGGTTTCACCATGTTGGCTGGGCTGGTCTCAGACTCCTGACCTCATGATCCACCTGCCTCGGTCTCCCAAAGTGCTGGGATTACAGGCATGAGCTGCGGTGCCCGGTCAGCACTTTATTCTTTATTGCCAAATAATATTCCACTGAATGGATATACCACCTTCTTAATCCGATCATAGGTTGCTGGACATTTGGATTGTTTTCACCTCTTGACTATTATGAGTAATGCTGCTCTGAACATCCATACACTAGTTTTTGGGTGGACATTTGTTTGTCCTTCTCTTAGGTATGTTCTCAGGAGGAATTTCTGAGTGAAATAGTAACTCTATGTTTAACCTTGTAAGAAACTTCCAAGCTGTTTTCCACAGCAGCTGCACCACTTTTTACTCCCTCCAGCAATATATGAGGGCTCCAATTTCTCAACATCTTCACCAAGGGTTGTTACTGTCTTTTTGATTATAACTGTCCAGTGGGTATAAAGTAATATCTCATATTTGATATGCATTTTCTCAATGACTAAGATATTGAACACTTTTGCATGTACTCATGGTCATTTATACCTCTTTTTAAGAGAATAGTCTATTCAAATCTTTGGCCTATTTTAAGATTGGGTTATTTTTCTTTATATTGTGGAGTTGTAAAAGTTCTTTATATATTCTGAATACAAGACTCTAATCAGATACTTGATTTGCAAATAGTTTCTCCCATTCCATTGTCTTCTCTCTTTCTTGATAGTGTCTTTTAAAAGACACAAGTTTTTCATGCTTATGAAGTTCAATTTATCTAGCTTTTTGACCAGGCGTGGTGGCCCATGCCTGTAATCCTAGCAGTTTGGGAGGCTGAGGTAGGTGGATCATTGAAAGCTGAGAGTTTGAGACCAGTCTGGCCAATATAGCAAAACCCTGTTTCTACTAAAAATGTAAAAATTAGCCAGGCATGGTTGCACACACCTGTAGTCTTACCTACCCAGGAAGCTAAGGCATGAGAATCACTTGAGCCCGGGAGAAGGAGGTTGCAGTGAGTGGAGATCGTGCCATTGCATTCCAGCCTGGGTGACAGAGCGTGTCTCCATCTAAAAAAAAAAAAATATATATATATATATCTAGCTTTGCTTTGGTTTTTTGTGCTTTTGGGGTCTGATCTAAGAACGTTTGCCCAACTGAAGGTCATAAAGATTTACTCCTATTTATTTTCTAAGAGTTTTATAATTTTAGCTCTTACATATGAGTCTGTGATTCATGTTGAGTTAATTTTTGTATATGATGTAAGATACAGGTCCAACTTCTTTCTTTTTCGTGTAGATATCCAGCTATCCCTGCACCATTTGTTGAAAAGACAAGTCTTTCCCCATTGAATATCTTGGCATCCTTGTCAAAAATCAATGGACCATAGATGTACGGGGTTATCTCCAGACACTCAATTCTATTTCATTGACCAATATGTCTGTCTTCACACTAATAACACACTATTTTCGTAGCTATCCCTTTGTGATAAGTTTTGAAAATGGGAAGTATGAGTGTTCCAACTTTGTTCTTATTGTTAAAGATAATTTTGGCTACTCTAGATCCTTGCATTTCCACATGCATTTTAGGATGAGTTTTTCTATTTCTGTAAAAAAGGAAGCTGAGATCTTGATAAGATTTGCATCGAATTTATAGACTGTTTTGGAGAGTATTTCCACTTAAGCAATAATAAGTTTTCCAGTCCATAAACACGGATTAGAAACGGAATTATTTTTCCATTTATTTAGGTCTTCTTTAATTTTTTTGCAATATTTTATAGTTTTTGGTGTTCAAGTCTTTCCCTCCTTCTGCTAAATTCATTCCTGAACATTTTATTATTTTTATGCTATCGTAAATGGAATTTTCTTCTAAAATTTCATGTTGACATTGTTCATTGTTCAGTGTAGAGAAATATAATTGATCTTTTAATATTGATCTTGTATCCTGAAACCTTGTTGTATTCATTTATTAATTCCATTCATTTTTTTGGGTAAATTCCTTAGAATTTTCTATGTACAAGATCATGCCATCTACAAATAGAGATAATTTTACTTATTTCTCAATCTGGATGACTTTTTTCTCTTTCTCTTGCCTAATTGCCCTGGCTACAACCTCCAATACAATGTTGAATAGAAGTGGCAAGAGCAGACATCTTTGTCTTGTTCCTGATTTTATGGGAAAATTTTTCAGTCTTTCACTATTAAGGATGATTAGTAGTGTGTTTTAATAAATGCTCTTATATTGTTATTTTCAGGAGACCTTAGTTTTTGGAGATATCTATTGAAATATTTACAAATTAAATAATGTGATGTCTTAAATTTACTTTAAAATAATCCAACAAAAGGAAATGGGGGACATAGATAAAAAGGAATTAGTTATATGTCGATAACTGTTAAAGCTGGGTGATGAGAACCTAAGAGTGCATTCTGCTGTAATGAACTCTAATTTTGTGTATGCTTGAAAATTTCTCTAATAAAACTTAAAAAAACCCATCAGACACACATTCTCCACTCAGTTCCCAGGCCCCTACAGATAATTGACTAAGGGCTTTAGAATTGAATGGAGCCTCAGTTGGGTATGACTACTCATTAAATGATGTAACCAATGCCCTGCCCTAAGTTCCCATGCAGGAGGAACACTGGCTGGAGTATACAGTCACTGTATCTCAGCACAGGCCTGGTCCCTTTAGGAGACCGGGGTGCACAAATGATCAGGCCCTGGATGAGCAAAGTTTCAGTGAAAGAGTAGATGGTCTTAGTCCATCTTCCCTGGATGCAGGCTTTGGGTGGAGAAGGGGTGGAGTGGCCCCAGTAGTTTGTTTGAGAGGTAATCCTAGAAAACAGTAGTAAAGAGTGGGGAAGTGAAATAGGGAAGAGAGGAAGGAAATCCAATACTGGATGCATTATCAAGCCAATGACAGTGTGGGACACTGGCCCTTCAACGAGCTGGGGAACTCTCCGTGACAGTGTGGCGTATGCCTCAGAGGTATCCTAGCATAGGCTCTGGGACATTTACACACTAAATCCTGCCAGTCTTTGATGGAGGGTTGCTCCCTGGGGGCTTAGATTTTCTAGCAGAAAGCCCTCAGGCAAAAAGATGCAGCTACTGGGTTGGAAGTAGGGTGGGCATTCATTGCATTGTAAGGCCCATGGCCATATGGGGCTGGGTGTATCGCTACAGTGAGAGTATGCACAACACAGGATATTTGTCTTTAATGTATTTTCACCATCATCCCGTCCTGCAATTAACCTTGGGTGTTATTTAAGCATTCACCCAGAAATTCACCTCTTTCCCAGGAAATGGAATAGAGAGTGACCTTATTAACAGTTTACTTCAACTGCACCTTTTCTTTTTTTAAAAATTAAAAAAACCTTTTTTTATTATTATACTTTAAGTTCTAGGGTACATGTGCACAACATGCAGCTTTGTTACATATGTATACATGTGCCATGTTGGTGTGCTGCACCCATTAACTAGTCATTTACATTAGTTATATCTCCTAATGCTATCTCTCCCCCCTCCCCCACCCCAAGACAGGCCCGGGTGTGTGACGTTCCCCATCCTGTGTCCAAGTGTTCTCATTGTTCAATTCCCATCTATGAGTGAGAACATGCAGTGTTTGGTTTTCTGTCCTTGCGATAGTTTGCTCAGAATGATAGTTTCCAGCTTCATTCATGTCCCTACAAAGGACATGAACTCATCCTTTTTTATGGATGCATAGTATTCCATGGTGTATATGTGCCACATTTTCTTAATCCAGTCTATCATTGTTGGACATTTGGATTGGTTCCAAGTCTTTGCTATTGTGAATAGTGCCACAATAAACATACGTGTGCATGTGTCTTTATAGCAGCATGATTTATAATCCTTTGGGTATATACCCAGTAATGGGATGGCTGGGTCAAATGGTATTTCTAGTTCTAGATCCTTGAGGAATTGCCACACTGTCTTCCACAATGGTTGAAGTAGTTTACAGTCCCACCAACAGTGTAAAAGTGTTCCTATTTCTCCACATCCTCTCTAGCACCTGTTGTTTCCTGACCTTTTAATGATCGCCATTCTAACTGGTGTGAGATGGTATCTCATTGTGGTTTTGATTTGCATTTCTCTGACGGCCAGTGATGATGAGCATTTTTTCATGTGTCTGTTGGCTGCATAAATGTCTTCTTTTGAGAAGTGTCTGTTTATATCCTTCACCCACTTTTTGATGGGGTTGTTTGATTTTTTTCTTGTAAATTTGTTTAAGTTCTTTGTAGATTCTGGATATTAGCCCTTTGTCAGATGGGTAGAATGTAAAAATTTTCTCCCATTCTGTAGGTTGCCTGTTCACTCCGATGATAGTTTCTTTTGCTGTGCAGAAGCTCTTTCATTTAATTAGATCCCATTTGTCAATTTTGGCTTTTGTTGCCATTGCTTTTGGTGTTTTTGTCATGAAGTCTTTGCCCATGCCTATGTCCTGAATGGTATTGCCTAGGTTTTCTTCTAGGGTTTTTATGGTTTTAGGTGTAACATTTAAGTCTTTAAAAGCACTTTTCTTTCAAGGCCATTGATATGGTTTGGCTGTGTCCCCACCCAAATCTCATCTTGAATTGCACTCCCGTAATTCCCACGTGTTGTGGGAGGGACCCGGTGGGAGATAATTTGAATCATGGGGGCAGTTTCCCCGACACTCTTCTCATAGTAGTGAATAAGTCTCATGAGATCTGACGGTTTTATCAGGGGCTTCTGCTTTTGCATCTTCCTCATTTTCCCTCTTGCCACCGCCATGTAAGAAGTGCCTTTTGCCTTCTGCCATGATTCTGAGGCCTCCTCAACCATGTGGAACTGTCAGTCCAATTAAGTCTCTTTTTCTTCCCAGTCTTGCTTATGTTTTTATCAGCAGTGTATAAGTGGACTAATACAGCCATCCCGTATAATCTCAGAGAAGCAATATTGAAAACAAAAGAAAATGAAGATGCAGTCTTTCAAGCTGTCACAGACATCTCTTATGCCATCTTACTCTATGAAAGGCAGCAGAAGTGACTCATGTTTCCAGGTGCCAAATGGAAGAATATTTCTGATATAACCTCTGGCTTCAATCATCCTTCCTTCTGAGAAATCTCATCTCCTTCGGTACCATCTTTTTGGGCTTTCCAGTAGCCTGTGAAAGCAATTACGAAGTCTGTGTCAGGTTCTCCTGGTAGCCAAGTTGTGACCCAGCCGCAGTGGTATGCTGGTAAATGTTTAACAATAGTTCAACGGTGGGGTCTATGGAAAAAACAAAAACAAAAATCCAAAGCCCCAATTTTAGCATTTGCTGATTTCGATAGTGTAAATGATTCCACTGTGGCTGATTTCAAGCTACCAGTGGTTTGCAGACTGGGCTGCAAAATTTCAATTGGCCCTCAGGAGCTGTCACAAGCTGGACCCAGCATGCCACACCTCTCCTGGACCCCTGCGGTTCAGAGCCCAGTCTCTGCAAATCCTGCCCATGACATCCACCGCAGGAACCATCCTAGCCCTGAAGGGACCGCAGGAAATCAGTGCTGGTCCACACCCCTGAGCTGAGGAGATCAGCGGCTCATTGCAGCCCTGCACAGACTATTCATAGACCCTCGCTGGTTCTGAAAACCAAGCTGGCATGACAGATGAGGGTTGGGAAGAAGCTTGTTATGACCAGCAGAGAATGCAGAAGTCCCAGCTCTGCAGACAGCCCCTCAGGCTAAAAGGCAGGTTGCAGATAGTTCGGCATCCACGGTTGTAGTTTAGAGTCCCACTGCTCCTTGTCCTGGTCAGCACACTCTGTGGGAGGTCACTGAACCTCAACTAACTTCACCTGAGTTTGGTTGTCCTACAGTCACTCTTCATGAATCACTTTTCATTTTCTTTAATAGAGGCCAAATTAACTTCTGGGTACTGAAATAAGCCCAGTGTCTGGTGGGATAGGTAATGGAGCTAAAGAGAAGTGCCCCTTGGCAAGTGAGAGCGGCCCCTTTTGCCCAAGAAGACAAGAAGTCCATACTCTAGGAAACCTCACATTCAGCTGAGTTAATTAGTTGATATTTAAGTTAGCTAACTATTTTTCTAAATTGATGTTTCAGTGGAATTCCAGGAAAATGTAGATGGAAGGGAAAAAACAGAATTACGAGAGAGAAATTTAGGATAATTTGAAAATTTATTTTTGGAGAGTCACTGGAAACATTTTATAATTACACAGCAATGTTCTTTATTTCAGCCTAAGTTTTCCAGGTAACCAACGTATTTGCACCACAAGACAGTATTTTCCATCAATAGATCAGAATATTTGTTTTGTTTTGTTTTGTTTTGAGATGGAGTCTCACTCTATTGCCCAGGCTGGAGTGCAGTGGCATGATCTTGGCTCACTGCAACCTCTGCCTCTGAGTTCAAGTGATTCTCCTGCCTCATCCTCTTGAGTAGCTGGTGTTACAGGCACCCACCACCACACCTGGATAATTTTTTTATTTTTAGTAGAGATGGGGGTTTCACCGTGTTGACCCGGCTAGTCTCGAACTCCTGACCTCAAGTGATCCGCCTGCCTCGGCCTCCCAAAGGGCTGCGATTACAGGCATGAGCCACCGCACCTGGCCTAGATCCGAGTGTTATGTGCTTCTTTTGAATGCTAAAAGGACTTATTAATATCAGATGTATAATCTTGGAAAGCTTCATTGTTCCCGGCTGAGGAAAGAGCACCTTGGCTAATCAAGCCACTTTCCCCTGTTACGTTTCACTACTGAAGTGAGAGCTTGTCATTTTATTAACAGTCCTCCTCACTAGGAAGGAACAAGTTGCTGTGTTCATTTTTCATCTATGATATGGCATTTCAGTGCTTACAGACTGGAACAAAACAATATGCAATAAAAGAGGGAAAGAAATTCTCTCCACTTATCCTACAAAATTCCTGGAGATGACAGTTATGCTGTTGATCTCATATGACACATAGATAAAGATGTGGTGTGTCAATACGGCCCAAAGGGATCCTACTTAAAGTGATGTATTTAAACATTGATTTTCAACGCATAAAAGATCTTTTAAAAACACGGTCCTTCTTGCATGTATATTCTGCCTGATCAATTTTTGCATTATTGCTAACCAATGAAACCAGTCATCGACGATGAAAGATAATTAAAATCTTCTCAAAAACATTCTCTGATGCATCCTCAAGTATATGTATATTGAGAGACTATTGAGAGAGGCAGAAATACTATGGAGAGAGACAAAGAGAGTGAGGGAGAGATCGAGTCACTGAAGGTTCGGGAAAGAAAAGTGCCAGTAGGGGGTGCTCTTTGGGGACAAGGACTTGGCAGTGGCTCGCGGTGGAATGCGGGTAGCAGTGGGTGCGGGGAAGCCTGGTCTTGTGGAACTGATTTCTTTGAAACTCGATTCTGCTCCCCAAAATGTTCCCTTTTTCTTTTGGGTGTCTGGAGCAGGCTGGCAGCTGTGACCTGGGGAGAAGGTGGCGTCCGGAGACAGCTTTTGAAGAGGTGTCAGAGGAGCCAAGGGACGGTGGGCAGCCAGGTTTTCTGTCTCTCTTTCCCCCAGGTCTAGACCAGCCTTCCCCCAGATGTGGTCTGGGGCCACTCTCAGCCTGTAACTGGTCTCCCTGTGGCTGCTCTTGCCTGTTCCCATCAGTTCTCACCCAGCCCCTGAGGGCGCCGAACACCTAAATCGGCCCACGTGCTGCCCTCAGAGCATTCCCACTGCACCTGGATGCAGCCCTGCCTGATATCCCCTCCCATCTGCCACCTTCAGCTCATGGCCTGGCCCCATAGTCTCTTATAGTCTAGTGCCTTTTCTGGCCCTTAAACGTGCTATTCCTTCCCATCTTCGAGACTTTTTTTGTCCCATTTCCTCTGGAATGTTCCTCCTGTGGCTGTCTCTCTCCTTCACATTCAGTTTAAACGTTGTTCCTTTACAGAGGCTTCCAGAGAAATGGGTGCTGCGTATAATCCCCCATCTTAGCCCCCATTTTCTTCAAAACTCTGCACCCTTTGTCTGACCCCCGGTGTGAGCCTGTTCACCTGCTTAGTTTTTATCTCACATTAGAATTGAAGTTTGGCTGGGGCTGGGCAGTGGTTGTCCTGTCCAATCCACGTCTATGGCACTTCACAAGGGTCATTTTGAGACTCTGACGAAAGCTAAGAACTTCCTAGAGAAATGCGCACACATTTCTAGATGTAACAGCAGCAGTGCCGTGGCTCTCCCGGGCAGTGACCACGTGAAGAACCACCACCACCCTGGAAGGTCTTTTCCAGCAAGACTGAAGACGGGCTGGGTACAGAAATTGTTTTGCTCAGAGAAACTGTAAACTACCTAAGGTGGAAAGAACTTCATTATTTCTTTCTTTTTTTTTTTTGACAGAGTCTCGCTCTGTCGCCCAGGCTGGAGTGCAGTGGCGCCATCTCGGCTCAGTGCAAGCTCCGCCTCCCAGGTTCACGCCATTCTCCTGCCTCAGCCTCCCGAGTAGCTGGGACTACAGGCGCCCACCACTACGCCCAGCTAATTTGTTGTATTTTTAGTAGAGACGGGGTTTCACCGTGTTAGCCAGGATGGTCTCGATCTCCTGACCTCGTGATCCGCCCGCCTCAGCCTCCCGAGTAGCTGGGACTACAGGCGCACCACCACGCCCGGCTAATTTTTTGTGTTTTTAGTAGAGACGGGGTTTCACCGTGTTAGCCAGGATGGTCTCGATCTGCTGACCTCGTGATCCGCCTGCCTCGGCCTCCCGAAGTGCTGGGATTACAGGCGTGAGCCACTGCGCCCAGCCAAGAACTTCATTTTCTAGAGCAGAAGCCAGAGTGACAGAAAACACATTTTTCCATTTTTAGGGGAGGGCCCTTTGGCTGCTCATGGAGATGGTCAGAGGTATAGGAGGGACTTTGGCCGGTGTGCACTGAGGTGGTAACTGGGACACTAAGAACTGTGTGACCTACTCAGCGTGGAAAGGTACCAGGAAGGCTCCACGGGCCGCAGCGTCTCAGGGTGTCCTTTCATGTTGTTTCCTTCACTGACTTTGTGAATTCCTTCATTCTGATGTTGATCTTTGCCAAACTTCTGCTTCCAGGGGAGAGCTGGGAGCTGGGGGAACAGGAATGGGCCTTGATGGAGGAGGAGGGAGAAAGAGGAGGGAGGAGGAAGAGGGAGGAGGAGGGAGGAGGGGGGAGGGGGATGAGGAGGGAGGAGGAGAAGAAGGGGAGGAGGGAGGAGGAGGGGGCGAGGAAGAAGAGGAGGGAGGAGGGGGGAGGAGGGAGGAGGAGTGGGGAGGAGGGGAATGGAAGGAGGAGGAGGGAAAAGGAGGAGGAGGGAGGAGGAAGAGAGAGAAGGGGGAAGGAGGGAGGAGTATGAAGAGGGAGGAGGAGGGGGAGGAGGCAGGAGGATGAAGAGGGAGGAGGGAGGAGGATGAGGAGGGAGGAGGATGAGGAGGGAGCAGGAGGGAGGAGGGGGAAGGGGAGAGGAGGAGGAGAGAGGAGGGAGAAGGAGGGAGGAGGACAGAAGAGGAGGAGGGAGGAGGAGGAAGAAGGAGGAGGATGAAGAGAAAGGAGGAGGGAGGAGTATGAGAAGGGAGAAGTAGGAGAGAGGAGGGGAGGAGGTGGGAGGAAGGATAACGAGGAGGGAGAAGGAGGGAGGGGGAGGGGGGATGAGGGGGAGAAGGGGGAAGGGGGAGGAGAGAGGTGGGAGAAGGAGGGAGGAGGACAGAAGAGGAGGAGGGAGGAGAAGGAGGGAGGACGAGGTGGAAGGAGGAAGAAGGAGGAGGAGGTCCTCACACCCAGCACCTTTCCACCCATGTCTGGGAACTTCACTCACTGTCCTCTGTGTCGCTTCTGGCTCCCCAGGACAGCTGCCGTGAGAGGACCCTATGACCCCACTGCAGCTGCTGTGGGCTGGATCATCAGTTCACCTGGATCACCGGACCCAAGGGGGGCAAGAGTGCTTTGTGGGGCTTTAGAACTTGGAACTGAGAAAGTCAGCCTCCTTTAGGTGCTTGAAGTTTTAACACGAAACTGGTTTCTGCCACATGGGCTAAAGAAGGGAAGGGAGCTTGGTGGGGTGGTGACAGGGGAGAGAGGCTCCTGAGAGCACCCCGCCTCCAGCTTTCTTGAGGTTCATTGATGCCTGAATCCTAGATGGATTCTTACTGTTGAGTTATTGAGACACTTCATGATTCTTTAAATACATCCCCCTTTTTGCTTATACTTGAGTTGGGTTTTTGTTATTTGCAACCCAAAGAATTTGCAGTGTTGCAACTTCAACTGATTCAGAGTCAAGTCTGCCCAGGGCGCGACCCTAGCCCCATCTAGAGGAGCACTCCCCATCGGGGCCCCTGAAAGCGGAGGCACCGTGGGGTGGATCTGCAAGGTCTCTGAACCACCGAGAGTGGGACAAGAAAACTGGAGGCGCCAAAGGCCAGGAGTGGGTCAGCTGTCTTGCCTAAAAAGGAGGTCAGGAGAACACATCTCGGGAGGCTTCGACCCAGGATACAGCCCTGAGATGCCAGTGTTTCTGCTTTGGTACCAGAGTGTCTGATCAGCTACAGTCCCTCTGTGAGTCAAGGTGTCCCTGTGTGAGCTGCATTAAAGGAATTACATTGCTTTACAGGAAGAACGGGTGTAAAACGATCAGCTGAAACCTACGTCTGATGAGTGTCCTTTGGATTCATGGAGTTAGTTAAGGACTCAAGAATAGAACCAGGGGTAGTGACTACCAGAAAGCCTTAGCTACGAAAACAAAGTGCATAGAGTGCCAGGTGGGCATAATTTAGAGGGGAAAAAGTCAAGCTCACACCAGGAAAAAGAAATAACAATTTCAAAACATGGGAATACTTGTGGTCTCAGAGAAGAACACAAAGCATGCCTGGCAGCAGGCCGAGCCCCACAGCCTTTCCTGGCATTGTGCCCTCTTCCCCACAAGTCTCACTTGAACGAGACCCAGGAGAGGTGTGAGAAGGGTAGGCTGCTCTTTTTTTTTTTTTGTTTTGAGACGGAGGCTTGCTCTGTCACCCAGGCTGGAGTGCAGTGGAGCGATTTCAGCTCACTACAACCTCCGCCTCCTGGGTTCGTGCCATTCTCCTGCCTCAGCCTCCCGAGTAGCTGGGACTACAGGCGTCTGCCACCAAGCCTGGCTAATTTTTTGTATTTTTAGTACAGACAGGGTTTCACCATGTTAGCCAGGATGGTCTTGATCTCCTGACCTTGTGATCCGCCTGCCTTGGCCTCCCAAAGTGCTGGGATTACAGGTGTGAGTCACTGCGCTCGGCCGGCAGGCTACTCTTTAGGGGCAGCTGGCAGCTTGATACATCCACATTTGGTTTCCTCCTCCAAAGAGGCACCTTCATCTCGGGATGACTACATTTAAGAGTTGGCAGAGACCTAAGAGGTCACCTGGGGTCCTTTAGCAAGGATTCTAGAGTGGACTTTCCTTGTTCCACAAGTTCCTGACATTGTACGTGAAATGTCTGTGGAGCTCTAATTAGGGAAAAGAAGTCAGGCTGGTGGGACCAAGGGAAAGCAAGAAGAGAAAGCAGGTAAGCTGTAAATCTGCCCTTTCTCATGGTCCAGGACACATGGTCCTCCTGCACAAATAACTCAGTTGTTTTCTGCGCCCAACTTATCACCAGACTCTTGGGTGACAGAAAAATGCAAGTTATGAGGCCAGGAGATCAAGACCAGCCTGACCAACATGGCAAAACCCTATCTGTACTAAAAATACAAAAAATTAGCTGGGCATGGTGGTACATGCCTGTAATCCCAGCTACAGCTACTTGAGAGGCTGAGGCAGGAGAATCACTTGAACCCGGGAGGTAGAGGTTGCAGCGAGTGGAGATTGCACCACTGCACTCCAGCCTGGGTGACAGAGTTTCAAAAAAAAAAAAAAAAATGCAAGTTAGCTCACTGCAACCCTGATGTTACCAATACTGGACAAAGCCCTCCCCAGCACACAGCATAAGCACCAGCCTGTAAAATCTCCAGCAAGCCTTTGTCTCTTTGCAGTCTGCTCCTCTCTTGCTAACTTGCTCCTTGTACCCTTGCAACGTATTTTTATACTTACTTTTTCTAGTAAATCTGAGTTTTGTTTTTTTTGAGACAGAGTCTTGCTGTGTCACCCAGGCTGGAGTGCAGTGTGGTGTGATCTCAGCTCACTGCAACCTCCACCTCCTGGGTTCAAGCAATTCTCGTGCCTCAGCCTCCTAAGTAGTTGGGACTACAGGCGTGTACCATGAGGCCTGACTAATTTTTGTATTTTTTAGTAGAGACGGGTTTTCACCATATTGGCCAGGCTGGTCTTGAACTCCTGGCCTCAAGTGATCTGCCTGCCTCGGCCTCGAATCTGCCTTTCTTTACCTACAGCTGTCTTGGTAAATTTTTACCGCCTACACAATACTGGCCTCAGATAGTCGCTACCCGCGACAATGTTGTGTGTCACATTACTGGGGAAGAAGGTCTGTGGCTTTCATCAGGTAGTCCCAGGACTTGTCACCTTCAGCTAGTTCAAATCCACTCTCCAACCCAGTCACTGGGGATGAAGAGACGGAAGCCTGAGGAGAGTAGGGTGGGTGAAAGGTCTGTGGGTGCGTGACAGCAAGGCCTAGATGAGGAACAAAATATGCTAAGACCTGGATTGCTGTTTCCGCTATTATTGTGTCTTTTGAAGAACCACTGGGAAGTCCCCAAGGAAACTTAATTTTTGAACTTTAGAGAAGTATGACAGCTGTAAACCATGCTTTTCTTAACTGAGAATTAATGAGTAAACAAGAATTCCCCAGCTTCCAGAATGGAAGAGGGTATTAGGATACTCCTGGTTATGACTTTTCATTTGAAAATACTACTTGCCAGTCTTCTCAAACAAAGTTTTGTGTAAATATTAACTCATTAATCTTCATATTTGTTCCATAAGACAGATTTTTTTTGAGCTTGAGAATTACACTTCTACTTCCATTAGCTTTAAGGGCATCTTGAGTGTTAAAACTCATTATGTAAAACAAGATACCTAAAAATAAATTTAAAAATATATCTAACAGGAGGAAAAGAATCTAAGATGCTGAATTTGGCATTAAGATTCCTACTTGCAAAAGAAAAACAAAAACAAAAGCAAAACCCACAGCTTTCATTTTCCATTTATGTACCCAAGAAAAACTAGCATTATCCATGTTGCCACAGAAGAAACACAGGAGCTTCTTTAACGTGTGTTCTTAGGTGCATAACTTGGCACTTCTCCCTTGGTTTCCTTGGTCATAGAATGAAGGTAGAAATGGGTGATGCCCTTTCCCAGGGAGAGCAGGAAGCACAGTAATTAGCATAGAAGAGGCTTCATCAGCATGATACCATGCAGGTGAGCCCTCTGGAGAGATGAAGCACAGTGGGGAAATTTTGTTCCAGAGTCATGAGAATTATTTTCAGTAGCTTCTTTCCATCTTCCCAGAGGCATCTGCAGAGATCAGCCCTCATCTGATCTCAATTTCTCATGAACTACCCTTTCAGCTCCTCCTCTTATTGTGGTAAATGACTCCTCCTGATATGGTTTGGATATATGTCCTGTCCAAATTTCACGTTGAATTGTAATCCCCAATGGTGGAGGTGGGGCCTAGTGGGAGGTGATTGGATTTTGAGGGTGGATTTCTCATGAATGGCTTAGCACCATCCTCTTGGTACTGTCCTCGTGATAGTGAATGAGTTCTCACAAGATCTGATTGTTTAAAGTGTGTGGCATGTTCCTCCTCTCTCTTGCTCCTACTCCAGCCATGTGATATGCCAGCTCCCCCTTCACTTTCTGCCATGATTGTAAGTTTCCTGAGGCCTCCCCAGAAGCCAAGCAGATGCCAGCATCATGCTTCCTTTACAGCCTGCAGAACTGTGAGCCAATTAAACCTCTTTTCTTCATAAATTACCCAGTCTCAGGTGTTTCTTTATAGCAATGCGAGAAAGACTTAATACACCTCACCAGTGCCTCAGCCCTCCTGTTTTGGTGCCTGAGCACTGTGACCCCACACTGCAAACCTGCCATGTGTCAGTCATGGCCCTGGAAGATAACACAGATGTCTCATGTGGTCAGCATAAAAACTCTATGAGGAAGTAATGTATAGTCATGTTGCCAATCAGGGAATTGATACCTAGCAACTCCCTTATTTCCTTTCATCTTCTGTCAATTCTTGCAACTCTATCTTCTCTAAGATCACCAACGACTGCAAAGTATGGTGGGAAACGTGCCAAACTGATCAGTTAACTTTTATAAAATACATATTTAGGTCTTCTGAATATACAAGTAATACACATCCTTTGAGAGGACATAAAAACTACAACAAGAATATAGATAATTATGAGAACACCTCTAATCACACCATGATTAGATAATTATGAGAACACCTCTAATCACACCAGAGATGTAGCAACTCTGGAGGTGTTTTCTTTAGTCTTCCTTCAAGAAAAAACTTGCCATTGAAGGGCAGTTAGCAGATGGACTCCGTCTTCTGCTGTCAGCATCTTCAAGACCTGCCTCAGCGTTGGAGAAGAAGCCATATTCTTCCTGGATGGCCCTCAGCCAATGATTGATCATGGCTGGGGATACCATGACTGATCAATTTCTGCCCAACCTAGGACTCTTCTAATGGACAGACTTCTCTTCAGAGCTCCCCTTAGGTTGGCAGGGGCCAGAAGACTTCACTAGAGTGTGATATTCCCTGTTGCATGGGAAGGCCTGGGGACGCCCTGTTCACGAAGGCCATGGGGAACGTGCGGTGGAGGGGCACCAGCATCACAGAGAATTAACTGATTACTTTTTTGGCAAAAATGGGAGCAACTCTAAAAAAGATTGTATTTCAATAGAAAACTATAGTGCACCCATTATCAAAGTGTAGTCCTGCTCATTTTCTTTGAGGTTTTATTTCTCTGTGAATTTAACTAAATCTATCGTAAACCAAAATAAAATTCTAAGCCCCCCCAATCATCTGAGCGGACCCCTCCTCATGGCCAAGGGCATTCCAAAGTTGGTTCAGGCCATGATGGGAAAGGGGTGTCAAACCTGCCTCATTATACCCTCCTCCCTTCTGGAATTCGGGAAAAGCTGACCAGCATTAACATCAACACAGACCTTAAGTCTGATAAGGTATATTCACAGTCTATTCTCTCTGAAGCCTGCTATCTGGAGGCTTCATCTGCATGATGAAACTTTGGTCTCCATAACCCCTTATCATCATAACCCAGACATTCCTTTCTATTGATTCCAGGTCTTTAGATAATAACTCTTTCAACCAGTTGCCAATCGAACTGCCTTTCCAGATGGAACCAATGTAAATCTTACAAGTATTTGATTGACATCTCACGTCTCCCTAAAATGGATAAAACCAAGCTCTACCCTGACCACCTTGGGCATGTGTTCTCAGGATTTTCTGAGGGCTGTGTCACGGGCCATTGGTCACTCATATTTGGCTCAGAATTTCAATTATTTTACAGAGTTTGACTCTTTTCATCAACACAGGAAACATTCAACCGCCATCTTCATTCCACCACCTAAAGATGCTTCAATCTCAAATCTAAAATCTTGACTAGCTGTCTTTTGGCAGATAAGAAAGACCATAATTTGCTTCAAATGTTAACCTTTGTTTTTCTTTTGTTTTCATAGAATAATACTTTGAATTCCGATCAAGCAATGCAATCTGAAATGAACAATTTAGCCTCAATAGTACTCCAAAACAGAAATTCTTGATACCTTAACAATTTAATAAGCAACAAGTTTGTGCTATGATGAAAAAAGTTGTTGCTATGTTAATCAATTAGAAATTGTTGCCCTATATCTAAAAGATCTTAAAGAAAAAATATGAATTTTTTCTTTTTTTTTTTTCAGACGGAGTCTCGCTCTGTCGCCCAGGCTGGAGTGCAGTGGTGCGATCTCCATTCACTGCAAACTCCGCCTCCCAGGTTCAAGTGATTCACCTGCCTCAGCCTCCTGAGTAGCTGGGATTACAGGCGCCTGCCATCGCACCTGGCTAATTTTTGTATTTTTAGTAGAGACGGAGTTTCACCATGTTGGCCAGGCTGGTCTTGAACTATCGACCTCGTGATCCACCCGCCTCAGCCACCAAAAGTGCTGGGATTACAGGCATGAGCCATCGTGCCCGGCCGAATTTTTTTTCTGAATCAGAAAAGCACTGCCTCTTCTATTGATTTATTCAGCTGGTTAAATCTTGACTCCCAGAAATCTTTGCTCAGAGGAAGTTTTTCAGTCCTCGGCTATTATTCTCTGTATGGCTATTGGGTTTACCCCTGGTGTATCGTATGCTCCCAAGGGTTTTAAATGCTCCCCAGCAGCCAATTGAACATCAAATGATTGCCATCCGGCTCAGACAACTTGAGGAAACCAACAACGACTATGTAATTGCTGGCAGTGATGTGACTTTGAACCCAGCATATCTTTTGATAATGGTAACATCTTCCTGACTCTTCATCCCAGCAAGTGCATCAATAGTGCTAAGCAAGAGGAAAGCTGTGCGATTTGGTCACACTCTGGGCTTGCTGAAGGAGTGACCGAAGTGGGAGAAATGTTAAAAGAACAAAATTAAAATGAAGACTGAGGCCTGAAAAACTTCTGAGCAAACAAAATCAGGTAGGTCTTACAAATATCTTCAATTTTGCTTAAATTGCAAGCCTAAGCAAAACAAAACTTGCATCATTTCTGATAAATGCTTGCGTTAGAACTAAAACATAACCCCAGCCAACTAACGTATGATAAACATCCAACTAACATGATTTTGTGACTTTCCATCAAGATACTTAAAAAAAGGGCAATTTTGTAATTGCAAACCCATCACATAATTTCTTTATTTTGCTTCCATATTTACCCCATAAATACTTGCCCCAGGCAATTGGCCACTGGAACACTAAACCTTTTGCAGTCTGGTGTTCTCTAATTCAGGAATTGCTTCTTAAGTAAACTCTACAATTTTATTATGCCTCACATTTTTCTGAAATGCTTTCTGAGCTTAAAAATGATATCTAAATAAATAAAAGTTAAAAAAATTGTGACTATAAAAACTGCAAAAATCAAAAGGCAAACAACAACAGACGGGGGCAAAGTAGTTCTAACAAATACTAAACATTTGTTTTCTGACACTGGGGCTGTGACTAATATTTTCTATTTTCCATGTTTTCTGCAATATGGTTACACAACTCTTCCAAGACATTTATATATTCATTTAGAAAGAAGAGGAAAAAATAGCATTTTTAATTTTTCTGAAAAAAACATTACTTGTAAAACTGGCAGTTTAAGGAAGTAATGAGAGAAAGGACTTCAGAACACTAAATAAAAGAAAATCTATTTGAACACTATGTCCACTATGTCTGAACTATATTCATGTGAAATTAAAAGAAAAATTTTAAGTTTTGAATGCTTTCTTTCTTTCTTTCTTTTTTTCTTTCTTTTTTTTTTTTAATTTGGTGAGATAGAGTCTTGCTCTATTGCCCAGGCTGGAGTGCAGTGGCGTGATCTCGGCTCACTGCAACCTCCTCCTCCCAGGTTCAAGCAATTCTCCTGCCTCAGCTTCCTGAGCAGCTGGGATTACAGGTGTGCACCACCACACCCAGCTAATTTTTGTATTTTCAGTAGAGATGGGGTTTTGTCATGTTGGCCAGGCTGGTCTCAAACTCCTGACCTCAGATGATTCTCCCGCCTTGGCCTCCCAAAGTGCTGGGATTACAGGCATGAGCCACGGTGCCTGGCCTGAATTACTTTTCTTTCTACAGTCTAGAAAGAAAGTGCTGCTGTTATGCACATTGAATATGGTTTTACTTCTCTCAAAAACGTAAGAAGGAAAACTCTTTAAGTAGACACACAAACATTTCAAGAAGCTAAACATAGAAGTAGAGTTTTCATAGTCCTTTTGCTAAACAGATGGTAACCAGTGACTAGACAAGAAAATGGAAATTTTGATTTGACAAATGAACCAAAACAAAACCGCCATCCTTCCTCTAAGAGGCAGTGCTGCTGGTTATGAGACACAAAGGGGTTGCATGGTAACCTGCAATTCCCATTTCTCTCTGCTGCGAATCTCTTTTCCCAGTTGTAACAACTGAGTATTCCGCCAGGGTGGATCATTAATTGAATTCCCTACTAGGCTGACTTCAGGAACCGGGAAGCCCTGAGCTGGGATTAGCAGCAGGGGTGCTTATGGTTTATGTGATTAAAATGATTTAGCCAGGTCTGGAAGAATGTCATTATGCTTCTTAGTGTCATTCAGGAGGGTTGCCAGAGACAGGGAGGCTAACCATGCGGTGCGTACCCCACGACTGTCTTGATATGTTTCATTTGAACAGCGACAAGGAACATTTAATGTAAGAAAAATGCTGCAAGTCATAGGAGACTGTGCACGCAGGGACTCAACGCCCGTGGTTTGGGAATTAGAATCGCATGCATTTGAAGAGGCTGGGTTGTTGATGCTAATGAATCCCTCCAACGATTTCCAAGGAGGAGAATCATCTGGGGACTGCTTCAGCACAACGGACCCACTGGCTTTTAGAAGAACCCTGACTTACTCTGTGCCAACTTGCTACCTAGGCTGTCCTTGAAAACAGCAAAACAATTCTACTAGTCTGGTAGCTCATGGGTATATCCGCTTCCACAGCTCCATCAGACCTGTGCTGGGCATCTTATCCGATGTGCCTGACAGTGACAGGGCTCAAGGGGGACCAAAGAGGACAGGGAACAAATAAATCTCTTCCCTGATCAGCCCTCAGCCCTCAGCTGTCTTCCAATTTGGGTTTTCCCAATGGAAGAGCCTTCTTTTTCTGGTAGCTGTTCTATGAGTTATCGTCTCTCTCATTAGGTTAGGCAGTATATCTGGACCATCACTACAGTGAGTGTCACATGGTTATTAATTCACTGCTCATGTCCTGAACCAGAGTTTATCATGGTGGTTGCCAAATGGTGGCTTTCTGACTTCATGATGCCATGTACCTGTATTAGTTGGCATTCCACTGTAAGAAGGAGATTTTATTTTTCCCTTTGTGTGTTTGTATCAGTATTTTATCACTATTTGTTTTGATGCTTAAATTGTCCCAGATTTGGCTAGTGGAATAGACAAGATGGCCTCATGTCCTTTGATAAGTTTTCATTGTTCTTAGTGCACATTCTTATCTCCAGGCCACCAGGCATAGCAGGATGTGCCAGGCTGTGTTGAAGTTTTCCACCTTCAGACCTGAAACCAGCCATTTCTCTAAGAAGCCCTGTTTTCTCTTCTCCCCTCCACTCCTCCCCTCCCCTCCGCTCCTCTCCTCTTTTTCCTTCCCCCACTCTCTTTCTTTTTCTTTTTTTTTTAGTGTTTAGAAACCAAGATCTTGGTGGAAGGATTGCTCATTACCACTTGGTATCATTGTTCCTAGGCCCTCAGCAGAAGACAGAACAAAATAAATATTTATATCAATATCTATGTATCTATGTATCTATCTATTCAGCCATCTATCTATCTACCTATTTATCTATTTTAAATATCATGTTACCTGATACCTCCAATACCTGACTTCAGGGTTCACTCTAAATTTTCCCAATCTCCTTATTTATAATTTCCTTCTCAGATATTGATAAATATGTCTCCCACAATGCACAATATATTGACTGATTTCCTCAATGCTAATGTATAGAGAGTAGTGTCCAAAGTGCTAACTCATACCACTGAGAAAAACGAAACTTCCAGCTAGAGTTCAGTATTTGTTTACTGTTCTGTCGCCAGCCTAAGGACAGTTAAAGTACTGTGTTCACATGGTATTTGGGTGTGTCCTTCTTCCTCATCCTTCAGTGTGGTGGTGCTATTCGTTTGAAATCACAAAATAATGAAGTTGATTTGTTTCTGTTTGTATTTTATTGGTAGTTTTTTCTCATTTCTAATGATTTTAAGCATATGAAACATTGATACGGTTTTAATAGTCAGAACTAAACTCAGGAAGGCCCACTCCCTTCCCTATCCTTTTCATCCCATTCTCTGGAGGTAACCAATGCCAACAGTTTCCGGTTCCTTCCCGTGTTTCTTTGCACAAATGATCTAATACATATGTATTTTATTCTCCCCTTTCCTTTGACCTCTTTTAAACTTCACCTTTTTTTCTTAAACTTAATAATGCCTTCTGGAAATCCTTCCAGCTCTTTGTACGGAAATCTTTGATTCTTTTGTACAGCCTCATGGTACTCTGTTACCTGGATGTACCACAGTTTATTAATCCACGGTCTTAGGTGTGGGCATCTGGGCTGTAATATTTGGCTATTACAAGCAGTGCTGTAAAGAATCATCTTGGCTTAGATTTATAGTTCAAAAGGTAAACACATTTGTATTTTTGTTGGATATTGCCAATTTCCCTTCCATAAAAGTTGTACCAATTTTCATTCTGATTACCAATATCAGAGAGAGCCTGTTTCCTCACAGTTTTGCCAATATAATGTGTTGTCATACTTGTAAATTTTTGCCACTCTGATGTATGAGGAATGGAAATCTTAGTGTAGTCTTATTTATTTTTATTTTGGGGACTGTATATATCTTCATTTATTTAGATCTTCAAATTCTTACAGCAACATTTTGTAGCTTGAAGTGCAGAGGCTTTGCACATATTTTGTTAAACTTATTACTAAGCATTTATCTCTTTGTCTTTATGTCTTGCAAGATTTCCACTTTTCTACTGATGAGCTGCAGGGTGTCAGCCATGTGCTTTGAAGGAAGTGGTTTGACAGTTTTCTTTTTAGTCTTTGCATAGGTAATCAATTTGTTTTCCTCCCTAATAAAAAAGTGGTTCCCACCCCTGCCCCTGGCAAATATTCATTCTAGTGATGCATTTAGGGTTATGGGACACCACTTCTAATTCTCTAATTGGCTACCTATCTCTTTCTAATTTATCCTTAGTTCTCACTGTATGAATATTGCTGTTTTACCAAAATATCTGATTTCTCCTTTTTCAGCCCCTTTAGACAACTTAAAAAATCTCTAAATTTACCAGAAAAATCATCCCATGGGGCCCAGTATCAATTCATGCTATATTTTTATTGCTGCATTTCACTTATTGTTGTGTTGAATCTACAGATCAGCAGAGGGATAGTAGACATATTTATAATATAAAATCTTTAAATCTCTAAATGGTGTCTCTCCTTTTTCTTAAGTATTCCTAAATATCTTTCTGTATAGTTTCGACATTTTATGACTGAATTTGGAGGTCATTAAGAACGTTTCCATGTTGAGCTTCCAATGCGTGATTATGATGATTTTTTCTACTAATTAACGAGTTTTAATTATTTTTTATTTTCGAGGAAAATTTTGCTTTCTTTTTAAAGCTCTATTGAGGTATGCTTGACATAAAAATGCATGTATTTAATGTATACATTTTGATGAGTTTGGACATATGCATACACCTGCGATGCTGTCTCAGTGTAGTTTTTTTTTTTTTTTTCAGATGGAGTCTCACTTTGTTGCCCAGGCTGGAGTGCAGTGGCACGATCTCCGCTCACTGCAACCTCCGCCGTCCTGGTTCAAGTGATTCTCCTGCCTCAGCCTCGCGAGTAGCTGGGATTACAGGTGCCCGCCACTATGCCTGGCTAATTTTTGTATTTTTAGTAGAGACGCAGTTTCACCATGTTGGCCAGGCTGGTCTCGAACTCCTGACCTCGAGATTCGCCTGCCTCGGCCTCCCAAAGTGTCAGTGTAGTTTTAATTTGCATTTCTCTTTTATGAGAATGAAAGCATTCTCATTTTTGTGGGTCATTTTTGTATCTTTTTGTAAATTGTGGCTTTTGCCCATTTATCTATCAGGCTTTTGGTCACTTTTCTCTTAATTTTAAAGAATTATTTATATTAGGACTATTACACTTTGTCCTGATATACATTATGAATATTTCCTCCTAATTGTCATTTATCTTTTGACTTTATTTACAATGATTTTGCTATGCAAAAGATTTTTTTATATTTATGGAGTCAAACGTAACAATCTTTACTATGATTGCTTTTACAATTTGTATCATAGTTAGAAAGCTTTTCCCTATACTAAAGTTGAAGAATTCCCCACTTTTATATGTAATATGTGTGTAGCTTCAAGATTTGCATTGAGATCTCTGATCCATTTAGAGTTTCTTCTTGCATATGGTGTGAGGTGTGGATCTAATTTGAACTTTTCCCAAGTGTCTCCCTCATTGCCCTAGTGCCGTTTATTTAAAAGTTCATTTTTACTCTGGTGATTCAAAATACTATCTAACATACGCTAAATTTTCACATGCACTTGGGTCTATTTCTGGACTTTTAGTTTGATTTCACCTGTCTGGCTGTTTATTCATGCCCCAGTCCTCCATCGTTTCACTTACGGAGGACTGCTAGCATGTATTCACACCTGGAAGGCCAAGATCTCATCATGGTATTTTTCTTTATCCTCGGTTTCCCTAGCTATTCTTGCATGTTTAATTTGCTACATGAACTTCGGTATCAACTTCCGTAGCTTCTTAAAACCACCTATTGATATTTTAATTGGAAGTTTGTTAAATTTACCAATTTAACTTGTGGGAGAACTGAGATCTTTATGCTTTGAATGATCTTTTGCAAAGCTCATCTTACCACCTGCTTCCTCAGACCCTCCTGGTAGCAGTGTGCTAGCTGGGAAGCAGAAACTGAGACAGAATTAGGAGATTGGGGCCGGGCGCGGTGGCTCACGCCTGTAATCCCAGCACTTTGGGAGGCCGAGGCAGGCGGATCACGAGGTCAGGAGATGGAGACCATCCGGGCCAACACGGTGAAACCCCGTCTTTACTAAAAAAATACAAAAATTAGCCCGGCGTAGTGGCGGGTGCCTGTGGTCCCAGCTACTCGGGAGGCTGAGGCAGGAGAATGGTGTGAACCCAGGAGGCGGAGCTTGCAGTGAGCCGAGATTGCGCCACTGCACTCCAGCCTGGGCAACAGAGCGAGACTCCGTCTCAAAAAAAAAAAGAATTAGGAGATTTAATTAGGAGTGGAAGAGGTTATTGGGAGGTTCATGCTTGTGAAAGGGTCCAAAAATAATAATTTGACACTGTTGGATGAAGGGAATGATATTCTGAGATACATCATAGCAGAAAGCCACCAGCAAATAAAAAGTTGACAAATCAGAGCTGAGTGGTATATGCATAATATTTAGACATAAGGGATAATCATCAGGGAGAAAAAATCAAACAGTGCTGCCTCTGGAGCAAGGGTTGAGGAGAAAGGAATGAAGCAGGAATTTGTTGCTTTTATTAAAACTCTTGCAGAAGTTTTTGATTTGTTTAAACCAATGTGCAGGTTTTATTTTGTTAAACAATAAATCAGTTAAGACATAAACTTGTATGCAGACTTATAATGATCATAAATTATCTCTTCCTAGATAGATAACCCATTAAGGCCCAAGTGATAGCACTGCTGGGAGTAACCTCTAAAAATGCAAGCAAAAATGCACCAACAGTGACAAAGAGGGGAAGTGAAGGAAATGGTTAATTTGGACGCTGGTTAAGAATACAATTTATTCCATGCATCAGTGTTCCAAAGTGAGAGGGGGATTTGTTAACCCCATCAGCTGGCTTCTTAATTACATCCTTGCCTATCCAAGACCCGTGGAGGCGTCAATCACTCTTATCCACAAAGTCATTCTCAGCGCAAAAAAAAAATCCATTATTTAAATAACTCGCATCCTTCTTTGCGAAGGCGCTTCCTAGGCTGTCAGTGGACAAAACAACCAGTTAAAGGATAAAAAACCACACTTGCTCAAACAGCTGCTTTGTTTTTAGTTGTTTTGCTGATTATTTTTTGAACGGGATGGGTTATTTTGATGTCCGGTAGCTGTGGCCTCAGAACCCCTAAGTGGCTGGAAGTCAAGTGACGTCAGTGGAGCTTGGCAGCTGCAGCTGACGCTGTGGGAGTCAGATGCTCCCAGTTGGGGTGGCAACAGTCAAGGAGGCTCAGATGTAACCCAGAAAGACACTGTGCAGTGGTGACAAGGACCAGCTAATTACTGTCTTCTCTCCTGGAAGTGTCAATCTTATGATTTACTCTAAGAACAATCTTCATATAGAGATGAGTTGGACATACTCATTTATATATTCCAAATATGTCTGGTAGATTTCATTTCCAGTTCTAACATCATTCAATTTGCAGTGACCCCTGGAGTGCACATTGAAAAGGATCTGCTGTTGGTGTGTGGTAGGCAGGATAATGGCTCCCAAAGCTGTCCACACTCTAGTCCCCTGGAACTTGTGACTACATTACCAGACATAGCAAAAAGGACTTTGCAGATGTTCTTAAGGATAAGGACTTGGAGATGGGGAGATCTTTCCTGGATTATCCAGGTAGACCAATGTAATCACATGAGTCCTTAAAAGTGGGAGAGGAGGCAAAAGAGGTCAGAGAGATGGCAGCATGAGACAGACTCAACCCTCTGATGCCGAGCTGTAAGGGGTTATGTGCAAGGACCTGAGAGAGACTTCTGGGTGAGAAAGGCAGCCACCAGCTAAGAGCCAGCAAGGAAATGGTGACTTCAGTCTTACAGCAGCATGGAATGCAATTCTGCCAATAGCTAGAGTAAGCAAGGAAATTCCCCTGGAGTCTCTAGATGGGAGCACAGCCCTGTCAACACCTAAATTTTAACCAGAACCAGATGAGACCCGTGTTAGACTTTAGACTCACAGAGCTGTAGCTAATACATTTATGTGGTTTACACTAGGTTTGTGGTAGTTATCTCAGTAATAGAAAATGAATACAGCCAAGGCTGCATTTAGACTCAGATCAAATAAACCGTGATTGATTAGTGATGTCTGCCATGGGTATGGAACTGGACCACTGCAGCATGTGCCCTGGCCATTTGTCATCTGATGGAAAGTGTCCATCAGTTGCCCAATGAATAAATGAATGATGTGAAACAGTAAATGTGTTCCATGAATAAAAGCGGTGCCTAAGAGATAAAAGCTTAGCCCCCCAGACAACCTCCAGTCCAGGGGAACCAAGCCTTTTAACAAGGTTGGGGCAGTGGAGGGGGCAAAGGAGGAGAGGGAGAGGTTCAGTTTGAGAACAGTCTCCATGTCCCATACTAGAGACCAACAATCTTGATGCTAGTGTTGTCCAGAGTTTTTGCTAAGTAAAGGAAGGGGAGGTGGGGCTTTGTCATAGGGTTCCATTGTGAGGATTTGTTAAAGGGGTCAGAAGGAAAAGAAGGGCAGTTGCTTCCACTAACCATGGTTTCAGTGAGCAAATACACGGAAGAGCAAAGGGACGATATAGCACAGTGCTAGTGCAACGTCTTTATGCTGTCCTCCCGTGATTCCAGCTCTGGGTGGTCTCAGGCACCTAAACCTCTTCATTGGAAGCTGGAGGAATGGCTGGGATGGTTGTGGTTGGCTAGCAATAGAAAAAAAGCCTCCACAGTTCTATGAAATGCCTACATAAAAACTGCAGATGAAAACATTTACCCCATCTACTTTCTTAACTTAGGATAGGTAGCAAACCAGGTGCAGCTGGGATCTTGATTACACAACTGCCCCGAACACACCTATTATTGTTCCCTAGCAAAAGATCCTGACACCCTCTTCCCAGACCACCTACACATCAAGAAAGGCAAGCTTTCTCCTGGCCTATCTCTCCCAACTCCCCATGTTCAGTATAGAAGTTCACACTGAGTGGAGGGTGGTCTCACAGATGAACCCTGTAGCCACCGGCCTCATTGCCTGGCAAGACTGCCTCTTGATTTACAAAATTGCAGATGGAGTCTACATTGGTGCCTATAGGGATCAGTTCAGTCACCCACTGAGGCAAGTGAGAAAACAGTGCTGAATCATGTGTGCAAGCTTCCTGGTCACCAAAACACACCCACGAACGGGACCTAGTACAAGCAGGATAAAGTCTCAATAGAGCGAGTGTGGGGCAGGGTAGGCACTGTTGAAAACCAAGCTAAGGATGTAGAAGAGTAAGTGGAGAAATTCTTTTACCACATAAAATATGAAACATAAAAGTCCATGAAAACGTATCAAAGAAAAGATCGTAATAATAAAAGGGAGAGACCCAGGAGTGGCAATGTCCATGAAAAAAGTCTCCAGTGAGAATTATTGAAAGAAACATCCCACCTGGCCATATCCTGCATTTCCAGTGTAGAGAGAGGATCCTACTTGATTTCAGTTAGTAGAAAAGAGATAGTTTAGAAGGAAAGAAATCAAATTTTCATTAAGCTTCTCAGTCGCAACACAAAATGAAAGGCCAGTGATTTTTACAAGGTTCTAAAGAAAAAATGGTGACCTTGGAATTTTATTCCCAATCTAATTATTCTTTACATGGAAGACCCAGTTATTTTCAAATATTTAAGAGCTCAGAAAATATTCCACAGTTATTCTCATTAAGAAAAGATTATTCAAGGAGGTAGTAGAGCAGAATGAAAAATAAATCAGAATGAAAACCTCACAAAAGGGGAGACAGAATATAAAAGAAACAGGATAAACAAGGAAACCCATCTAATTGTTAAATAAGTAACTTCTGATAATGTAGTGATAACATTTAATGCAATTTTTAAGGAAAGTTTCTTAATAAAGAAAGGTCAGTCTTGAAGGGAAAATCAGAGCATTTCCATGGAACCTGGGCGTAGGGCAAGCAAGGAGTATGGTAGGTGGAGAAAACGAGAAAGTAAAAGCATGACAAAGACCTCATCTGGAAAAAAGAGGAGGCTATTGCTATTTGGTTCTTGATATCAAAACAGAAAGATGGAATTTATATATACACTTGTAAAAAAATTAAATTATGAAAATAGATAGAGGACCTAGTGCTTTCATAAAACTGTAGATAAAACAAGTCAAGTTCCATATCAAAAAACTTAAGCAATTCATGAAAAGTCAGAAAAGGAAAAAAAGGCAATTTTTCAAAACCCAGAAAATAGGAAGCACACACAAAAATACATCCATAGTAAATGCAAACTGGATAAATTGCCTTGTTGGAAGATAGAATTTCACACTGGGTTAAAAAGAATAAAAATTCAGCTCTATTTCGTTCATAAGAGACCCACCAAAAGCACGAAGAAGTTACCGGTAAAGTTGGGCAAAGATATATGAGCCAAAATGTACACATGGGTGTGCATATATGTGTGTATATATATATATACATATATATATATACACACATATACATATATATGCACTCTACTTTGATACAGTCTACTTTGAATTTTAAGTATTGTGTAATACTGGCATCAAAATAAATTTAAGGCAAAAGTCATCAAAAGGATGGAAAGGGCCGGGCGCGGTGGCTCACACCTGTAATCCCAGCACTTTGAGAGGCTGAGGTGGGTGGATTACAAGGTCAAGAGATCGAGATCATCCCGGCCAACAGGGTGAAACCCCGTCTCTACTAAAAAATACAAAAATTAGCTGGACGTGGTGTGCGCGCCTGTGGTTCCGGCTACTCGGGAGGCTGAGACAGAAGAATCGCTTGAACCTGGGAGGCAGATGTTGCAGTGAGCCGAGATCGTGCCACTGCACTCCAGCCTAGTGACGGAGTGAGACTTCATCTCAAAAAAAAAAAAAAAAAAAAAAGACGGAAAGGGATTTTTATGTTAATAAAAGATGCAATTCAAAAACACTTTGCATATATAAACCTTTATACTGATCATAGCTGTCTGACATAGAAAGTATATTGAGAATTAAAAGGAGAATCCGATGAAAGCTTATCATGTTAAAAGATAACACCACACTCTCATGATCAGACACATCTAATAGAAAAAATGGTGCAAGCTCTTGAATAATACAGTTAGCAAGCACACAAATATATAGCATGTGTGATTTAGTTAATTAGTTCTATCAAATTTTACTGAACATCTGCTCTTTGTTCTACAGTCGGAAATCAGCAATGAGTAAAACATGAACATTCCTAGCTCTCCAGGAGCAACATTTGGCAGTTTGGCTCTGTGGGCCACATGGAGCTCACAGAGCCACTTCTAAGTTGTGAGGGAGGCTGGGGTTTAGAATTTCAGTGCTGATGGCCAAGGTTGACCACATAGTTTGCAGGACCCAATGCCAAATGAAAATCCAGGGCCTCTTATTCAAAAAGCAAGGGAGGCCAGGCACGGTGGCTCATGCCTATAATCCCAGAACTTTGGGAGGCTGAGGTGGGAGAATTGCTGGAGCCCAGGAGTCTGAGAGCAGCCTGGGCAACATAGTGAAATCCCATCTCTATAAAATAAAAATAAATATTAGTTGAGCTTGGTGGCATGCACCTGGAGTCCCAGCTACTTGGGAGGCTGAGGTGGGAGGATTGCTTGAGACCAAAAATTTGAGGCTGCTGTGAGCCATGATCATGCCACTGCACTCCAGCCTAGGCAACAGCATGAGACCTGTCTCTCCCTCTTTTTTTTTTTTTTTTTTTTAAAGGGCAAAGGAAAAGTTTTTGTTTCTTCGGTGGTCTCTCTCCATCTGCAATGGTGTTTTAATTTGCTATTTAATGTCGTGCCCCCTTGGAGATAGGGACACTCATGAAGGAAGTATAGACACTCCAGGTGCCCCTGACTCAGTGTGGGAAGTGCACCTGCCCAGTCCTTCCTGTGCCTGTGCCCAGGTGCTTGGTTGCAGTTGCTGGGTGGAGGTGGGAGAGAAAATGCTGAGAATAGGTGATGGGGGGATGTAGAGAGGTGGCGGAAGGCAGGGCAGCCTGTGGGCCCAGGCTCTTAAGCTATGGTCACACCTTCCATTGTCCCTAGACTTCACTCATAAAACATAAATTAAAAGAGAACATTATTAAGAATTTTAAGATGATGACCACAGAGGATTAAACCTCAGGGCGGGATCCCCTTCTGAGGGCATGACTCTGTGTGACTGCACTGGTTGGGTGCCCACAAAGCCAGACCTGCTTATGGCCTCCAAAGTGGAGGATGGCAAGAGCGAAAGACGTGGGGAACAGAGGGGAGCTCTGCCCGCCCACAGTTTCTGCCGAAGTGTCAGATGGATGAAAGGCATTTTATCACTCTGGATTTTCAGCAGGAACCACAGCTGCCAAACGGGGCAGCACAGCAAGCTCCTGAGTTTGTTGACTCTGGTGCTAACTCAGAGAGCTTAAAGATCTGAGGCATCTGGGCCATGTCTGCAAAGACGGTGTTAGCAATGCCTTAACACTATCCTGATATTTTCAGCCTAACTTGTTTTACTTGGAAGTAAAAAGGAGAGGTAGGTGGAAAGCTAATTTTGCATAGAATATTTAACAGGAAATAAGGATACAAGCCTAGTAAACCTGTATTAGTCCATGTTCACACTGCTGTAAAGAACTACCCAAGACTAGGTAATTTATGAAGGAAAGAGGTTTAATTGACTTACAGTTCAGCGTGGCTGGGGAGGCCTCAGGAAACTTACAATCATGGCAGAAGGCAAAAGGGAAACAAGGCATGTCTTACTTGTTGGCAGAAGAGCGAGAGGGAGGGGAAACTGCCAAATATGTTTAAAGCATCAGATCTCGTGAGAACTCACTCATCATCATGAGAACAGCATGGGGGAAACCGATGCCCTGATCCAGTCACCTCCCACCAAGTCTCTCCCTCAAGAGATGAGATTTACAATTTGAGGTGAGATTTGGGTGGGGACACAGAGCCAAACCACATCAAGACCCTTCCTAGTGTATGTGATCTTTAGAAGTCTCTTGAATTATCAAAAAAGTAATTACTGCTATCTAAAAAGTATCTTAAGGAACTGTTAATGTATATTAGCAAGTCCTTTCAAGATCTCCAAATATAAATTTAGCTTTATAATTGAGTCACACCAAATTTTCATTTCTGTGATTTTTGGATTGTATGATTTTGCTGCCTTTTTCTGCTTTGTCTACCACTGTGTCCTCAGTACCTAGAACAGAGCCCGGTACATAGTACATGTTAATAAATATTTGCTGAATGAATGCGCAAGTTTTTTCAGAATCATTACTCAGGTTTTATAAGATAAGTTATATTCCTTATAAGTAAAGCCAAAATAGAAGAACTGACATCTTGTTAGCCAATTTCTTTAAAATTCTTAGAACGTTTTTTCCCCTTTTTGTTTTATAATAAATGAATATAATTTGTTTTTTAGTTGTTCAAATATGGAATTTGTTAGAAATTCTTAATTATTTTAATTCTGGGTTGGGCTAAAAAAATTACTTTTGACAGTGAAATTATGAAAATAGGCCAAGTCAGACATCTTAGACTCTTGGTCTGAAAGCCTTGGTTTGGATTAAAGCTGTGTGCTAGAGGTTGGAATTGGAGCTTGTAACATAAGTACACCTGCTGCAGCCCCTAAATAGTCCTTCTTCTGGAGGATGGCTAGCAGATAGCATGGAAGAGCACGGGCTGTATCCCCTTCCAGCATGTTATCTGAGATCATGAGTAAGAGAATCAGTTGCATTGTTGAACCTGGAGATCTAGTTATATTAACCCAAAGCCGAAGAATGCTGTTGTAACCAATTCCTCCAGTTTGCACAATCTTGGGATGCAAGAAAGGGTGACAAACAAAGTCACCCTTACAGTGAAACCCTACATACCATGCCCATGCCAAGGCTCTCTTGTCCCTTATGTTAGCTACTAAAGAGACCCTTTTATCCTGAGGTCAGGCCTGGTGGTTCCGGACCTGTGTCAATGGAACAGGAATTTGGGTACGTCTTTTAGGCTAGGGCATGCCCCCACAATAGGCCAGGATGCCAATGATTCCAGGCTGGCCCTATATTTTGATAAGCCACTGAAGATTATGCACTTGAAGATGAGCAAGCCTGGTGTGGAGTCATTGCACCCGAGGAAGAGAGATACCTGTGGTCACCATAGAAAGAGGATATGCTCAGTCTGGTACTAGCTGCTTAACGCTATGTTGACAGAGGATGGGGGTGGGTCTTGGGGAAGCTAATGAAGATGAGAAACTGGAGAGGGGCCAGGAGCAAGATTTCCTGATACTTTAAAGTTTGCAGCCCCGTGGTAAGGCATTTTCCCTTCCCACTTGGCTCACGAAGAAAACTGTACAGGTAACCCCATGGAGAAGAGCTTCTGCCATAACCTCTCAGCTCTCCCCAGGCTCCAGCTGCTAGGGTCAATGAAGACACAATCCAAGAGTTACTTCTTTCAGAAATTTGCAATGCCAGCAGAGACACAGCCTGGGCTACAACCACTGAAGGACTGGTATGGGCTTTCAATAATACACCCACAGTGCTCAGAGCTAGACTGAATGACAGGAATGGGCTTTCATCAGTATGCCCACAGTGCTCAGGCCTGGACTGGGAGCAGCCTGCAGGAAGTGTAGCCTCTATGAGAATACAGTGGTGGATCCAGAGAAGTGGCATCTGGGGCTGCAAGTCAACCATGTTCCTACAGCAGATCTTGGTGGCTCATTTTCGTGATTGCTGCAACTCTTGTTGCTACTTCTTGCATTCTGACCCTGGACAGAGCCATCTTGATCCATAGACAAGTTTTAAGAATTGGAACTTTGCAGGTTCTTTGTAAAGAGACTGCAAATAGATATGACTTTGGAGGGTGTGGCAGGCAGACTCTAAGATGGACCATAATGATCCTCACCTCCTGATCATCATACCCTGGTGTAAGCCCCTTCTCTTGAGTGTGGGCTGGGCCTTGTAACTTGCTTCTAACCAGTAGAATTTAGATAAAATGAGAGGATGTCACTTCTGTAACTAGGTTATGAGAGATTGTAACTTTGGTCTTGCTAGCACTTTTGCTCTATTTAAACTCTTCTTTGCTGCCTTTGATGACGAGCCATCTGGAGAGGCCCATGTGGTAAGACTGTGAGAGCAGCTTCCAGCCAACAGCCAACAAGAAACTGAGGCCCTCAGTCCAACAACCTGTAAGAAATTGATTCCTGCCAATAACATGCCAGGCCCCCATTGAGCTTTCAGGTGAGACCTCAGCTGTGGCTGACTCTTTGATTTCAGCCTTGTAAGTCCTTGGGCAGAGGACCCAGCTAAGCCATTCCAGGACTCCTGTCCAGACTCCTGACCAACAGAAACTGTGAGATAAATGTGTGTTGTTTTAAGCTACTAAATTTGTGATCATTTGTTACACAGCCATGGATAACAAATTGAGGAGCTTGCTCAGCCTTTGAGCAATATCATCCAAACCCTGAATTCCCTGGATATGTTGAAGGAAGGTTTTCAAGCTCTTTCCACTTTAAAAGCCCTGATTCTAACACACGCTTGTATACAACACAGAGTTAATCATTGGCTATACAAATTAGTATGCAAAGCAAATATCCTTGTTATCACACTGGAGTTCCAGGAGCAAATGTGAAATATGATCAGCAGTAAATCCTGCTAAGACTCTTAGTTAATTGGTCACGCTTCGCACAATTTCAACTAGGAAAGAAAGCCTACTCCACAAGGTGAGTGAACAGAGAGACAGCAAAGTTGAGTTTTGTCAGCAAAGCTGAAGAAATAAAATGGGCCAGGCTCCTTAATATCTGTGAGCAAGGGAAAGTGACTCACACGTGTCTAGACAATGCTTTGCTATGGTTTTAACCTAAGTGTACCTTTGCCTAGAAAATGGTTAATTCCTTTTCTGAAATGTGTACCTCTCTCAGAAAACAGTGGCTTCCCAAAGATGTTCTAGAGTTAAAAGCACTACAACGTTCACGAAACATCCCAGATTAAAAAAAAATATATAACACAGGCTGGGTGCAGTGGCTCATACCCGTAATCCCAGCACTTTGGGAGGCTGAGGTGGGCAGACTTGAGCTTTGGAGTTTGAGACCAGCCTGGCCAACATGGTGAAACACCGTCTCTATTAAAAAATACTAAAATTAGCTGGGTGTGGTGGTGCACATCTGTAATCCCAGCTACTCAGGAGGCTGAGGCATGAGAATCACTTGAGCCTGAGAGGTGGGGGTTGCAGTGAGTCGAGATGGCACCACTGCACTCCAGCCTGGGTGACAAAGCGAGACCCTGTCTCAAAAAAAAAAAAAAAAAAAAGTAACCCATTCTTAGCAGGAATTAAAAATAAGAAAAGTTGAGTTCAGAACACTACATCTCAATTCTCAGTTCTAGAAAAAGGTGACCATGATGGAGTAAGGACATAGCAAAGCCTGTGTGCAAGGGGAGTGCAGAGAGTTGTGTGATATGCTGAGGCTTCTTTTCAGTATACGCATCCACAAATCAACCACACTCTGTTTACTCAAGAATTATGTACGTGGTTCCACATCACTTTTCTGCATTCAGGAAAAGGCCCAGAAAGAACTTATGGTCCTTTCCTGCTTTCCTGTGCTTCCATTGAGTGCTTTTGCTCACCTGTGCACAGTTTTCATGGTGGTTGTCATTACAGAATGGATCTATGAGTAAGAGATTTGGTTGTCTACCAGTCTAGGAACAAAGCAGGGGGAAGTGTGGGGATGTTAAAAACCCCTGTGAAAATCTGAAGGGAGCTGTAGAACTCTCTCCAGACATAGGCACATTCACTCAGGTGTGCTTTTTGTAATGAATTTCTAAACATATTCTTGGTCTCCATGAGGTTAATGTCTGCGGACCTCCGGGTAGGAAAACCCCCTGAAAAAAAATCTTGTCCCTGGCCCATACCCGCTTTGTAGGGTGGCTTTTTGGGCCTTCGGGTTTATCACAGTGGTGCATGAAGACCCTGGATATTTGCGTCCTCTTCATCCCATTAGGCTTGGTTTGTGGAGCATCTTCTGGCTGAATGACCACAGACTGGCCTGAGCATGGCTTGTCAAGAGAGCAGCAGGAGGAGGCCCCAGACTCCCAGGGGCCAGACTCACCTTCCTTCCCTCCCTCCCTCTCTCTTTCCTTTCCTTCCTTCCTTCCTTCCTCCCTCCCTCCCTTCTTTCCTTCCTTCCTTCCTTCCTTCCTTCCTTCCTTCCTTCCTTCCTTCTTCCCTCCTTCTTCCTCCCTCTCTTTCTATTTTAGTTGACTTATCATGAAGTTCTCCCTAGAGAAAGAATGCTCCTGATAGTTATTTTATGATTCATTATAGTGTTCAATGTAACAATTATTCACCATTATAGATTATTAAATTGACACTATGGCCACACACATTACTTACGGTCAGCCTGATTTCTTAAACCTTTTTAAAAATCAATAGACTTTATTTCTTAGAACAACTTTAGATTTACAGAACACTGAGCAGATAGTATAGAGAGTTCCCATATACTCCTTCTCCCTCTCACACAGTCTCCCATATTATTAACATCTTGCATTAGTGTAGTGTATTGGTTGCAATTAATGAATCAGTATTGATGCATTATATTGATGTCCATAGTTTATATTAAACTTCACTGTTTGTATTGTACAGTTTTATGGGTTTTGACAAATACATAATGTTATGTGTCCACCAATACTGTGTGATTCAGATAGTTCTGCCACCCTAAAAACACCCTGCGCTTCATCTATTTATTCTTCCACTGCCCAGTCCCTAGCAACTGCTGATCTTTTTACTGTCTCTATAGTTTTGCCTTTTCCAGAATGCCATTTAGTTGGCATCGTACAGTATGTAGCCTTTTTAGACTGGCTTCTTTTGCTTATCAATGTGTATTTAAGTTTCCTTCGTCTCTTTCTGTGACTTGTTAGCAAATTTCTTTTTACTGCTGAATAATATTCCATTGTATGAATGTATTGCAGTTTGTTTAGGTATTCACCTATTAAAGGACATTTACGTTGCTTCTCGTTTTTGAAGATTATGATTAATGCTGCTAAGAACGTTTGTGTGCAGGTTGTTGTGGGGACATAAGTTTTCAAGTTAATTGTGTAAATACTTAGGAATGCGATTGCTGGATGACATAATATAACTATGTTTAGCTTAGTTAGAAACTGCCAAGCTGTCTTCCAAAGTGGTTGTACCATTTTGCGTTCCATGAGCAATGAATGAAAGTTCCTATTGCTCCACATTCTCACCAGCATTTGGTATCATTGGTATTTTGAATTTTAGGCACTCTAATAGGTGTGTAGTGGTGTCTCATTGTTGTTTTAATTTGCAGTTCTCTAAAGACGTATGATTTTGAGTATCTTTTCATATGCATCTTTGCCATCCGTATATCTTTTTGTGAGGTGTTTGTTCACTTTTTAAACATATGGATATCCAATCATTCCAGCTTCATTAATGAAAAGACTATTCCTTCTCTACTGAATTGCCTTTGCACATTTCACAAAAATCACATGCCCACTTATATGTGTGGATCTATTTCTGTACTTCCTGTTCCTTCCCATTGATCTGTTTTTTATCTTTATGCTAATACCACATTGTCTTGATTTCTGTAGATCTATAATGGGTCTTGAAACCAGAAAGTGTTAGTCCTCCAATTTTGCTCTTCTTTTTAAAGTTGTTTCGGATATTCTAGGTCCTTTTCTTTTCATTTACATCAAAATTTTAGAATTAGCTTGACAGTTTCTACTATAAGTCCTGCTGGGATTTGTATTGGGACTGCATCAGTTCTATAGAATGGGGGGAAATTGTCATCATACAATATCAAGCCTTTCAACCCACACATCTCTCTATTTATTTGGGTTTTCTTTGTTTCGGCAATGTTTGTATAGTTTAGTATATACAGGTCTTGTACATCTTTTGACTAATGTATCCAAAGTATTTTATATTTTTGATGCTATTGTAATTGGTAGTTTGGGAATTTCAGATTATTTGGTCCTAGACATACAATTGATTTTTTCACATATTGATCTTGTATACATTTCAAACTAAATTACTTATTAGTTTTAGCAGCTTTTCTGTAGATTCCATTTGCTTTTATATATAATCATATCACAGTGAAATAAAGACAATATTAATTCTCCCTTTTCCATCAGGATAAATTTTATTTCTTTTTTATTGTCTTACTGCACTGGCTAGAATCTTCAGAAATAGAGGCGATAAAAATAGACATCCCTTACTTTTTCCTGATCTTAGAGAGAAAACAGTCAGTCCTTTACTACCTAGTATGGAGTTAACTGTAGATTTTTCATAGATGTTCCTTATCAGATTGAGGACATTCCCCTCTAGTGCTGCTTTACTGAGAGTTAGATTTTTCTGTGTTTGTTGAGATGATAACATGGATTTTTCTTTTTTAATCTGTTAATATGGTGAATACATTGATAGATTTTCAAATGTTAAACTAACCTTGCTTCCCCAGGAAATGCACTGGTTATAATGTGTTATCCTTTTTTGTATTGTTGGATTCTGTTTGCTACAATTTTGTTTTGAATTTTTGCATTTATGTTCATGAGAGATACTGATATGCAGTTTTCTTCTCTTGTAGTATCTTTGACTAATTTTGGCATCAGGGCAATGCTTGCTTCATATAGTGAGTTCAGAAGTGTTCTTTCCTTTTCAATTTTCTGGAAGAGTTTGTTTGGAGTTAGTATTATTTCTTTCTTAAATATTTGGTAGAATCCACCTGTAAAGTTATTAGGCCTGGGGATTTTCTTTTTTGAGGGGGGATTTTAAAGTACAAATTCATTTTTAATGATTGGTGTAGGGTTATTCAGATTATTTCTTTCTCCTTGAGTGAACTTTTATAGCCTGTATCTTTCAAGGAATTTGTCCACTTTGTTTAAATTATCAATCATAGGTATAGAGTTGTTAATGATATTCCATGATTATTCTCTTCATTTCTGTAGAATCTGTAGTGGTGTCACCTTGTTCATTACTAATGTCAGGAGATTATGGATTCTCTGTCTTTTTTTCCTGAGTACTTTGCCCAGAGGTTTACTAATGTTATCGATATTCTTCAAGAAGCAGCTTTGGCTGTATTCTCTTTATTTTTATTTTCATTTAAAACTTTGAAAAATTTCTTTGATTCCTCTCTGACCTTTATTTTTTGGGTTTAATTTGTTATTTTTTCTAGTTTCTTGAGGTGGAAACTGAAGTCATTGATTTGAGACCTTTTTCTTTTTCTAATATTGGCATTGTGCTATAAATTTCCCCCAAATGCTGTTTTTCTTCCCCATTTAATAATGTCTTCTAGAACTACTTCCATATTAATTTATAGAGATCTTCCTAATTCTTTTGTTTTTCAATTTATTTTTTCTGGGCTTTAAAAAATAATCTTTTTATTTTAGGATAGTTTAAATTTATAGAAAATTTACAAAGATAATACAGGGAGCTCCTATACACCTACACCCAGTTTTCCCTATTGTAATACTCAGGGTTCTCCAGAGAAACAGAACTAATAGTATGCACATATCTAGAAAGAGATTTATTATAAGGAAATTGGCTCACAGTTACAGAGGCTGGAAAGTCCCCAAAACTGCAGGGTGGGAAAGGAGGAAGCTGGAGACTCAGGAGAAACGATGGTGTAGTTCTACTCCAAAGGGCCAGCAGGCTCAAGACCTAGGAAGAGTCAAGGTTTTAGTTTGAGCCCAAAGGCAGGAGAAACCAATGTCCCAGTTCGAGTCCAAAGACCTCTCCTGGAGAAAACTTCTCTTGCTCAGGGGAGCATTGTTTTTTTTTTTTTTTATTTTATTCAGGCTTCTCATTGATTAAATGAGACCCACCTGCATTACAGAGAGCAGTCTGCTCTACTCAACGCCTGCTGATTTAAATATTTATCTTATTCAAAGAGATCCCTGCAGGGATGCTCCAAATAATGTTTGATCAAGTATCTGAACATCCTGTGTGGTCCAGCCAAGTTGACACAGAAAATTAATTATCACAGCTATTTTTAACATCTTACATTAGGATGGTACATTTGTCACAATGAATGAACCGATATCAATACTTTGTTATTTACTAAGGTACATAACTTAGTTATATCTCTTTAGTTTTTGCTCAAGGTCCTTTTTCTCCTCTGGGATCTCATCTAGGATATCATGTTACATTTACTCATCAGGTCTCTGTATATTCATCTTGCCTGGGACTTTGACTGATAAGTACTGGTTAGGTTAATTTATAAAATGCCCCTCAATTGGTATTCTTTTTTTTTTCTTTTTCTTTCTTTTTTTTTTTTTTTTGAGACAGAGTCTCCCTCTATCACCCAGGCTAGAGTGCAGTGGCATGATCTTGGCTCACTGCAACCTCCACCTCCTGGGTTCAAGCTGCCTCAGCCTTCCAAGCTGGGATTACAGGCGCTGCCACCACACCTGGTTAATTTTTGTATTTTTAGTACTGACGGACGGGGTTTCACCATGTTGGCCAGGCTGGTCTTGAACTCCTGACCTCAAGTGATCTGCCCACCTCGGCCTCCCAAAGTGCTGAGGTTATAGGCGTGAGCCACGGTGTCCAGCCTCAATTGGTATTATCCTGATGTTTTTCTCATGATTAGACTGAGGTTATGAGTTTCCAGGAGGACACTACACAGATAAACGATATTCTCTTCACATCAAATCAAGGGTACACTGGATCAACATAACTTATCATTGATGATGCTAACCTTGATCACTTGGCTTGAGGTAGTATTTGCCACGTTTCTCCACTGTCAAGTTACTCCCCACCTCCCGTTTTAATACTGGACTCTTTAGAAGGAAATCACCAGGTGTGGCCCATACTTAAGAAGTAAGGAGTTATGCTTCTCCCATCTGAGGGCAAAATATTTATACAAATCATTTGGAATTCATCTCAGAAGATTTGTCTATACTCATTTATTTATTATTAATTAATTAATTTATTTATTTTTTGAGCCGGAGTTTCACTCTTGTTGCCCAGGCTGGAGTGCAGTGGCGTAATCCCGGCTCACTGCAACCTCTGCCTCCTGGGTTCAAGCAATTCTCCTGCCCCAGTCTTCCAGGTAGCTGGGATTACAGGTGTGTGCCACCATGCCCAGGTAATTTTGTATTTTTAGTAGAGACGGGGTTTCTCCATGTTGGTCAGGCTGGTCTCGAAGTCCTGGCCTCAAGTGATCCACCCACCTCAGCCTCCCAAAGTGCTGGGATTACAGGCGTGAGCCACCACACCCATTACTTTATTTACCCATTCAATCGTTTATTTGTACCTTTATGAATTCATGGACATTTATTTTATACTTGGGTTATAGTCCAATATCACTGTATTTTCTTCTCAAATTATCCTAGCTTGGGTCATTGGGAGCTCTTTCCATTGGCTCCTGTGTCCCTTTGATGTTTCCTGTTGTTGTAGTGTGTGTGCTTGCATGCATGTGCATGTGTGCATGTATGTGCGTGTGTGTGCATGCGTGTGTTGTTTGAGCTTCCTTACCTTCTGGTACTATAAGAAGTTCTAGGCTTGTCTTCTATATTTCCTGCTCCAGTCCTAGAATCAGCCATTTCTCCAAGGAGCCCTGATTCCTTTCACTGAATAGTGGGATTGGAAACTAAGATCTGGCAGTAGCGAGTGATCATTGTTCCTGGAGTGTCATTGTTTCTAGGCTCTCTTAGCTGAAAGAATGAGGAAATACATGCATGTGGCTCATTCTTTGTATAGCTGCTTATTATTCTATTGTATGTATGTGCCAGAGTTTACTGAACCAATTTCCTGGGTTCAATAGATTTGTTTTTGCTTGGACATTTTGGTAGTTTCCAATGTCTTGCTATTAGAAACAATGCTTCAGTGAATAACCTTGTGCATCTGTATTTTCATATTGTTGGAGGTAAATCTTGGGATAAATTCCTAGGAGTTGCTGAGTCAAAGCCCAGATGCATTAGGTAGATCTTTTGGATATTGCCAAATTCTTTTACATAGGGGTTGCACACAGAATTTGGATATTGCCAAATTCTTTTTCATAGGGGTCACAACAGTCATTAATCAGCTATGATTAAGTATCATAGCTGTGATAATTAATTTTCTGTGTCAACTTGGCTGTACCACACAGGGTGCCCAGATACTTGGTCAAGCATTATTTGGGGCATTTCTGCAGGGATCTCTTTGAACAAGATGAATACTTACATTTGCCTTCCCACTAGCAATGCATGGTAGGAATGTTTGTTTCCCCACAATTTTGTCAACAGAGTGTATTGTCAGGCTTGTAAATTTTTGCCAATCTGATGGGTGAGAAATGGGTTCAGGGGCTACACAATTCTCATGGAAGGTCTTAGGCTTTCCAAACTAATAGCTGGCAACAATAAGCTAAGACAAAGGAATCTGAAGGCTTAGGAATGAAGTAAAGAAAATCCCTCTCCTGGGCTCCATTCTTACAGAGTTTTAAGAATGCTACAAATAAAATAAATTTAAAAAATAAATGAAGATAGAAAAGAGAAAAAAGGAATAACACAGAAATAGATCATTTCAGTTCACATGTTCTCAAGCAGAACTAAGATTCTGAACGATGACTCACAAACCCCAAAGAAAATCTGCTTCTTAATAGATGTATTACAACCCATGTGGCAATGTGTGATAACTAGTTCTTTGTGGTTACCTGTGACCAAAATCTAACTTCCTTCAAGGCTCTTTCTCTTTCTGCGGCTGGCCACTGAGGTTGCGGCAGTGTTGCAGACACCCACAGCTTTTGTTTTACAATTTCTCTGGCATTCCAGGTTATGGTACAACATCTCTAGAAGTTAATCCTCACTGGTCAAACTATATTCTTTCCATTGCCCGGGTTTTTTAAACATGAAACAAAGAATTCAGAGGAATTCCTTTTTCTCCCAGGAGGAAGCGTTCCTAATAAAGACCCAGTTGTATCAAAAGTAGGAAGGAAATATTACCTTAAGTAGCTTTAAGTTGGCACAAAAGAAGAAGCTGCTAGTAAAATAATAGCAGCAGCTGGCCTTAAATGTTGGTTTAGTTTTTCAAATAATTCTCCCTGCTGTCTCATTAGAGGATCCCCCTCCTCTATCTCTAGTGAGGTAGGGGAAACGGCACATTATCCCATCGTACAGATGAAGAAAGAGTTGGTGTGGGTGGAATAGGAGCTTCTGCTCCAGCGAGAGAACTGGGATGCGTGTTCTAGTCTGCACTCCCTTTGACTCAGAAATGGAATACAGTTGTTGAAAAAAAAGCCCAGGGGTCAGAAAATAGAGCCTTGTCCCTGTGTGACATCAGCAAGTTGTAGAACTGTTTCAGTCTCAGTTTCTTTGTCTCCCACAGGGGGAGAAAATATAGACTCTAGGACTCTGTAACGGAGGTCAAGGCACACACATATAGAGACATGTTAGTCTTGTTCTACCAGGCTATTATTCATTTAATCATCCATTCACTGAATACCTTTTGACTGTCAAAACTAGATTACAAGTTGCTGGGCTTGGAGTTGTGGAGAGACCCCCCGTTGGCTGTTATGAAGGCATACTCCCCCCATGATGCCGAGACCAACCACACACGAACTTGGTACCACACCCTCCAAATTCTACTCTGGCAGACAGAGAATTGCTCAAGTCATGGGCAAAACTCCCAAATGTCCTATTTTTCAATTCTCTGATTTACCTTGCTGGATTTACCCAGGCCTAGGAAGATATTTCTCCATTTCCAAGCTGAGATTTTATGTTTTTAGTTGAATATTATCTTCTCACTCTTTCTGGAGAAAAATTAAGTGCTGCATACCTTAAAAAGTTTACAATATTTGACCATGAATGAATGGATTGTTGACATACTCTGTGGCAAAGAAAAATGTCAGTTAAATTTGGATAGTAAGGCATTTTGTAGACCACTAGAACCCTAGGATTGAAAAGAGCTTCCATTGTCTTTTAGTACCAAGTTCCACTGGGTGCATCTTTTACAGGATCTTAAGATGAGTCTTTGGTGGGTGCCACTGGAAAGATCAAGTGATTATTCAGCAGGTGTATCCACTTAGCAATGCCCAAAACTGGATTCGCACATGCAAGGACAAAACCACTATGGTGCTTCCAAGGTGCGGCATTTAAAAAGAAATGTAGGCAGGGTGCAGTGGCTCACACCTGTAATCCCAGCACTTTGGGAGGCCAAGGCAGGTGGATCACTTGAGGCCAGGAGTTCAAGACCAATCTGGCTAACCTGGCAGAACCGCATCTATACTAAAAATACAAAAATTAGCCAGGTACGCTGGTGCACGCCTGTAGTCCTAGCTACTCGGGAGGCTGGGGCATGAGAATCACTTGAGCCTGTGAGGCAGAGGTTACAGTGACCTGAGATCACGTCGCTGCACTTTAGCCTGGGAGACAGAGTGAGATTCTGTATTGGAAAACACCAACAACAATAACAACAACAAGATAAAAAGAAATGTGTTGAACTAATGAAGTTTTTATGAGCCTGGGAAGAATGGATTTATTAAAAGTCAGAAATAAGATTAAACACATCAGATAGAGTAATTAGCTTCTGAGAAGCAGAAAAACTATACTGTGTAGTTCCATTCATTGGTTAAGGGTGGAGGAGAAACTGAGTTATTTATAAAACAATATTTTGATTTTCACAAAGTTCGCTGTCCATTTAAAGAAAACTAAAAACAAAGCAGGGGTATTGGAGAAAATAGGGTAAAAAATTTCAAAAGTTAAATTATGGTTGAAATAAAGTTTTAAAGTAGTTTTTAACCAGTGGAAGAAAATATGTCATTTGTTAGTTTATAAAAGCAGAAGAGGAATAAACATAAATAATGATGATAAATATAAACCTTCTAAGTGACAATCTGTTAATCGTGGATATATGTTTAGCCAAGAGAAGAAAAACAAACTGAAAACATAGAAAAGCCACCTTTAAAGTAGTATCTGAGAAGTGGAAACGCAGAGAAACAACTAGGAGATCTCTCTGTAACCCTTCAGTGACTTCGGAGGAGGCAAGAATTTTTGGTATGAAGCATTTTGTAACAGGAAGTTGAAAGAATGCCTACATTTTCCTCTTTAGACTCAGAATGTAAACAGATTTCCTGCCATCATAAACTGTAGCAACTTCCCTTTGAGAGTCTCCAATTCTGGACCCAGGCCTCAAGGAGGCCGATGGGGTCATCCATTAGGTTAAAAATCGGAGGAGAGTGTGCGCGCCTTAGTAACCTGTCATTGTCATTGCAAGGAACACCACTCTTGTGCAAACTCAAAGCGGGGCTCATGTCTGCAGACACAGAGAGGGGAAGAAAGGATCAGAAGGAAGGGAACTTACATGAACCCTGTGGGGCCTTTCACCCAGATCACCTCGCTTAATCCTTGCCTGTGCCCGGTCAGGTGGCTGTCATTACCTGCATCTGAAAGATGTGAGATTCAAGGTTCAGGGGAGGTTAAAATATTTGCCCAGGGATGAACAATTAGAAAGTGGCACAACTGGTACTTGAAGCCACAGTGGAGAAAGAGAGGATATCTGCTCTAGGCTGAATTGCATCCCCCGAAATTCACATGTTGAAATGCTATCTTCCAGTACCTCAGAAGGTGCCTGTCTTTGAACAAGGAAGGGTGAAAATCACCTGCATTTGGGGAGATCGGAGTTTGCAGGCAGGAGGGGTGACTCCAGGATGGGAGGAGAGGAGGGATGGGGAAGGAGGCGTCCTCAAAGCAGAGATGGACGTGGGCATGAGGAATTTCCTTTAGTGAGGAAGGAAGGCATTTTGGAATGCTGGGATCTGTTGTCCAATTTGAAGAGTTTCTCATCTGTCTTCAACAGCTCTGAGCCTCCTGTTGCTTCAGGGGGCTGGAGGCAGGCTGGTGGGAGAAGGTGTCTGAATCTCAGGTGATGCCCAGCAGTGAGACCACAGCAGAGAGCAGCCTGGAGGGCTTAGGACATGCGAGGGCCTCCGGCAATACCCTACAGTCAGGTGACCCTCCACAGCTTCCTATGGGATGGGCTAGGCTTGAGCCACTTGGGATATTAAAGGGACAGATGAGGCCTGGGAGGCTGGGGGACTTGGGTCCAGCAGAGCAGAACATTCAGGCTCCATGCTGTTTTGATGAGAGACACAGGGAACCCTGGCCTGGGCTGGGAGGAGGTGGAGGCATTCATGGGAGAACAGGTCAAGGAGGGCACTAGCTACAGGAGGAGCAGGGAGGGCATTTCAGGCAGAGGGAAGAGCAAATGTGAAAGGCGTGAGCTGGAAAACTTGGTGAATTTGGGGGACTATGAGAGGAGAGTTCATGGAGGGGAGAGGCCTTGGCTGTGGCAGGAGAGGTTGGAAGGGAAGACACAGGAAATATAGCTGGGGCTGGAGCAGGAACTGGGTCCACGGCCAACTTTGTTTCAAGATCAGAGAAATTTGAGCAGAATAGGCTGATGAAAGCAATGGAGCAAAGAGTGCAGTGAGAAAGGCTGGAGACACAGGAGAGAGGAGACTGGGTGCGTGAGCTCAGGAAGGTGGAGGGCTGGTGGGAAGGCCAATCCCAGAGCACAGATGCCTCCTCCACTGTGACAAGGAAGGAAGGGGAAGCAGCAGAGGGGAGATGCAGGGGGGTCTGTGGGTTTGCAGTAGGAAGGTGAAGGAGGTCCCAGCTCCTAGTTTCTGTCTTCTCTGTAAAGTAGGAGTTGAGGTCATCTGTTGAGAGTGAAAGATGAGGTGGGGAAGGTCATCAGAGGTGAGAGGCTCAGGGAAGCCAGGAGAACGGGGGTTGTTGGCAGGGTTGCAGTCAAAGTCCACCAAGCCAATGGCAGCAGTGTGGGAAGGGAGTCATGGAGTCTTTGCTGCTTTCAATCAAATGCCCAGTGGTGCCACTTCCCTTCCTCATCTGGCCATGAGCAAGTGGGAGGAATACTGGGCTGGATGCGTCAAGGCAGAGGGGGTGCAAACCCCAGGTCTCAACCCTGTCTCAGAGAAGGGGCCTCTGAGACATTAAGCAGCAGCCACGTAGCATGGCTGCAGGGAAATGGTGAGCTCAGGGAGTGACGCCTGCCGGTAAGGGACGTGTTGCAGAGGATGTTCTGATGGGAAGTGGAGGCCTGGGTCATTCGTTCAGCAGGAGTGCAGGATGCAGAGGGCATGGGAGGCTGAGGAGGGAGGACAGATGCAGGTGCCCAACAAGGGACAAGGAGTCACAGGACACAATGGGATCAGGCTTGGGATGAGGACGATGGGGCTGGGAAGTGGGGGACTCCAGGCTGCTGGAGAAGAGGCAGTTCCCTGGGAGGAGCGAGCTGGCTGATGGTACCCTGCCTGGCAGTAGGGGCCAGCAAGGTGCCAGTGGGCCCCTGTCCCAGTAGCTGCAGGCTCCCTGAGCTCACCCCAGGAGATGGTTGGGGAGCGCAAGGGAGGATACCCAATGGCTCGCCCCTGCTCTAGTGCCGGGTGGGGAGGGAGGCCAGCTGAGGTGGAGGGAGCAGGTCCCACCTGCTTCTTCTGACTCCTAGGATTGGGCACCAAGGAGCGCCAGGGCTGATGTTCCCACCTGCTTCTCCTGACTCCTAGGATTGGGCTCCAAGGAGCACTAGGGCTAATGTTCCCCAGGGTTATCTTATCTGCCCATTGGCATCAATGAGCCGTAAAGTGGACCTCAGCAATCTCTCTGCTCTGGGCCAGGTATGCGTGGGCCACTTCTCCCAACAGTGTCAGGTGACATTGTCCATCCTACAAATGAGGAAAATGAGGCCTGGGCAGGTGGGTCACATGCAAACGGTCCCACAGATGGCCAGAGCTGGTGCAGCTGAGACCCAGGTGTGCTAGGCCGAGAAGCACCCGCCCTTCTTCTTCCCACACTCACCCTCCTGGGCTCTGCACGGGGCTCTCTCTGGTTGCTCCGAAGTCCATGCTTGCTGGGCTCTTGGTTTGCCTTTGCTTTTTCTCTGGTTTGTTTGGGACATGGTTGAACTTACCTCACCAGCAAAATGTGTACTTTCACCTTAGGCTTCGGGTCCACTGCGGGTGATGCTGGGGATAGGCTGGGACTGGCTGGCTCGCTCAACTTTTTGAGATCAGTAATGAGAGAACAGTGGGCCTGATTCAGGGAAGGCAGCAAGGTGTGATGAAGCTCCCTGGGCTGAATGGAAGGAATTGGTTTGGAGAGCCAGCTGTGGCTCTAGGAGTGGCCATCTGACAGTGGATGGGGAGGGGAGGCAGCCATACCAACCCCTGGCCCAGCAACGCAGGGCCAAGCGAGTTGACATGCTGGCCCCTCTCCCTTCCTGCCCTTTGATCTCCTGCCAGGGCCTCCAGCTGGCCAAGCCCACGCTGTCTGCTGAAGCAGACTCAGGGTGAAGACAGGGAGGCTGGACCTGCAGGGGCTGCTGGAGAATACCAGCACAGGCTTCCAGGCCACGCCATTGATTCAATTATTTTACAGCCTTAATTAGGTTCTGACGTTAATCATATATTTCCTTCTAGCTTGCTACAGATTCTTCATCACAGCAGCGTTACGAGTATTATAAATTTAGTACCCATCTGGATAGTTAAGGATTTCATAAAAAGCACACTATTCTATCCTGAGGGTTCTTTCTTCTGAATTTTTCCCTTCCCACAGCTTGTAATCCTGTAAGAGGGTTACATGAAACCAGAGACCGGTTTCATGGAAGACAGTTTTTCCATGGATGGTAGGGGGACAAGGATGGTTTTGGGATGAAACTGTTCCACCTCAGATCATCAGGCATTATTTAGATTCCCCTAAGGAGCATGCAACCTAGATCCCTCATATGTGCTGTTCACAACAGGGTTCGCGCTCCTGTGAGAAACTAATGGCGCTGCTGATCTGACAGGAGGCGGAGCTCAGGTGGTCATGCTCGATGACCCGCCACGCACCTCCTGCTGTGCAGGTGGAATTAATTTTAATGCTATTTTTATTTAGCTTGATATATTCAACATATCATTTCAACATAAAATCAATATAAAGAATTTATCGAGGAGATATTTTACATTCTCTTTTTCATACACAATCTCTGGAACCTGGTGGGTGCGTTACCCTGGCAACACAGCTTGGCTTGAACGTGCCCCCTTCCCAGTGCCCAGCGGCCCTACGGGGTGAGTGGCTGCTGTGTTGGGCGGCACAGGTGTGGACTTTGTTCCTGCCACTCTAATACCCACGCGTCCCTCCTTGATCTTCTCTCTGCCCAGGCTACTGTCAAAGAAGGGCTCCTTGCCAAGAGTTCCCCTCCCTGCCTGCTGCACAAAATAAAAACAGGAGACCTATTTGAGAATGTGCACACTTAACTTTGGTGTCTCTGGAAGCCAAGTAGCTGAGCCAGGGTGACAGTGAGGACGATTTGGGTTAAGGAATCTCCCTCTTTGAGGGGAAAAATGTAGATGAACTCTTTGCAAACCTACAATAATTTTCCTTCCTCTTTCTTCAAAGCAAAGGAGCAATTGTTCTCCCTGTGGTCCACAGCAGAGGGCACCTGTGGAGTAGTGATAACCTGTGTGCTTTGGAGTCAGACAGGACTGGGTTCCAATTCTAGCTCTGTCATCTTTAGCTGTGTGACCCTGGGCAAGTCACCTGACCTCTCTGAGTTTCAGTACCTTAATCTATAAACCTTGAAAAACATACCTACATTTTATGTGGTTCGTGATAATTTACTGAATTGACATATCTAACTTGCCACACACACACAGTACAGGCTCAGCAGATGGTAGCCCCTGTTCTACGTTGGTGAAAAGCAGGTCAGAGAATAGAAAGGAGAAAGTAAATGTTAGACCCAGTACGCCTATCTTCTGAGGATGAGCACAGATCTTCCGGGTCCGAAGGTCAAAAAGATGATGTCACACAGCCCTGGTGGATGGGGAAAAGTCTTTGGCTTAGAAATGCTGGAGTGATTTGAGAGGGACGGCTCTCCACTCGATAAATCATGTCTTATGACAGCTCCAGGGGAGTCTATGGGAACAGTAGCTGCTGAGCTCTGTGCCAGATCCGGCGGCTTCTGTATCAGAAAGACAGCCCAGAGGATGCCACGCGGGAATCAAAAGAGCGAGAGTTACAGGAAGGATGAGTCAGAGCGAGCCAGGGCGAACAACAGTCGTCTGTTCCTTGAGACATGCCGAGGCGCTGGAATCACGCTGTCCCACCACGCGGCGCCTGCTCCTTTCCTGAGCCCTCCCTGACTGCACTGCAGAGCCATGGAATTGTTTTTCTTTTTTAATCACTTGGGTAAATAGATGCTGTGTGTGGCTGTTTAAAAAGTAAAGAACAATCAATTGCAATCCCATGTTAGCGGGTAAAGGAGAGGAGGACTATGGGGAGAAAAAAGGCGAAATGTAAAAATATAAAGAGAAATCATAAAGATCATCTACATGGGTTCCAACTTGTCCAGCCTTTGTGAGCAAATAGGGTGTTTTGCTTTCCCCACGTGGTAGAAATCCATCTCAAAGTAATGGAATATTCTTTTTTTTTTTTTTTTTTTTTTTTTTGAGACAATGTCTTGTTCTGTTGCCCGGGCTGGAGTGCAGTGGCGCAATCATAGCTCTCTGTATCGTTGACCTCCCGGGCTCAGGGGATCCTCCCACCCCAGCCTCCCGAGTAGCTAGGACTCTAGGCACACATGCCCAGCTAATTTTTGTAATTTTTGTAGAGACAGGGTTTCACCATGTTGTTCAAACTGGTCTCTAACTCCCGGGCTCAAGCAATCTTCCCACCTTGGCCTCCCAAAGTGCTGGGATTACAGCTTTGAGCCACTGCACCCAGCCCCGCATATTCTTTTAAAGGTATTCATTGAGTAGACTGAAGAGTTAACTGACCCTATTATGAACCTGCATTGCTTCCTCTCTTCTCCTCCCTCACCCCATGTCTTGGCTCTGTTTTCCTCCATGATGGCGTCATTCCCAGGCAGGAGACAGCAGTGCGAGGCTCACAGTGTCCTTGCACTACCATCCAGACAAAACAACAGTGGCTTTCCTTCCCAGGGTCCCTCTTGGCTCCTCTGCAGCCGTTTCTGCCCCCTTGGGCTAGTGTCAAGGTGGGAGAGGGAGACAAGATTCACAGATTGGCTCCAGTTGATCAAATGCCCACCTCTGGCTGGTGACGTGTGCAGCAGATCCATGTTCAGCAGCAACACACACCTCAAGTGGGAGAAAGCAGCTCTGCAACAGAAGGAGGGGCTGCCATGCGAAGAAAGGAAGGAGTGGGTGTCCCAGCTCCTGGGAGCGCATCTCCAGGGTCCCTGGAACATGGTTTAGGGGACCCTGGTCTCTCCTCTTCTAATATATTTTGCAAATAAGAAGGCTGAGGCCAAAGAGGAGAAACAAAATATAGCTGTAGATCCTCATTATTTGCCAATTCTGTATTTGTGAGTCGGCCTTACTTGCTAACATTTATGTGTGATCCTAAAGTGAACACTCGGCACTCTTGTGATCACCAGTAGACATGGACAGGGCAGTGATCAATTTGAATCTTCCCGTGCACATTTTCCAACTAAGGTCAGCTAAGGCAACACTGTCTTCTTGTTTCAGCTCTCCTACGGGAAACAAGTGTCCTTTTCAGTCTATCGAGTGCCCTGTTTTTAACATTTTCGTCCTTTTAGTTGGTGATTTTGCTCTTTAAAATGGCCCCCAAGGGTAGTGCTGAAGAACTTTCCATATTCATAGCACAAGAAGGCTGTTACATGTCTTGGGAAAAAAACACATGTGTTAGGTAAACCCTGCTCAGGCATTCATTGTAACTCTGCTGGCTGTGAGTTCAACGTTAATGAATCAATAATCTATACTAAGTGAGGTGTCTTTACACGGAAACACACACAAAACAAGGTTGTGTATTGAGGAAAGTGTTGTAACCAGAGGCTCACAGGAACCTAACTTTGTGTTTTCCTTAGGAGCAATGGTTCAGTATGCACGAGTTCAGTGTTCACAGTGACTTTATAGACCGGAGCTACAGCAAATAATGAGACCCAAACAAAAGGTCCTCGAGGCCACCCAGAGAGTCATTGACTAAGCCAGGACTCTGAGAGTTTGGAGTCCACTGCTTTCGCATACTGCCATATATAATGTGGGGTAGAGATAAGGAAGACAAAACAAAGCAAGATGTGAGAAGATTGAGGGGAAGGAAGGGGAGACAGCAGTTGAGCAACCAGGGAAGTGAATGTCTATGAGGCACAGTCGTAGATTCAATGGCTCTCAGGCAGGTCAGGCTCATCACACCAAGCTATTCCAATGGCTTGGACACCAGCATCATAAGATTGTATAGGGGATAAGACTTACCTGCCTCGAATATCGTAATTGAGCCTTCGTCTAGAAGTTGTATAAACCTAGGCCGTAAGTTTCAACACAACTCAAAGAGAAGCACCTCAGGACATTCACAAATGCTTTCGAGAATGTGAAGCCTTTGGTTAACAACATCCCCTGGTTTAGGAAAATAAGAGAGGTGAGAGAATATTTATAAATATAAACTATAACATTTAAATTAAATATGTACGTGTTCTCTGTGTTGCCATCAAAGTTTCTGAGTCTGTTTAACAAAAGGGGTGGGGAAATTTCCCGCAGGATTTTGGTGTTTGCATGAATACTTATTTTCAAAGGAGAGCTGGTTAGTAAACTCCAGGCTGTGTAGGAATATCATAGAAATTGCTTGCTGTTAGAAATTGTTGTTAAAGTGCTTGATGCGGAGAACTACAGTTATTAAACTTGCAGTTGTAAATTATGCATGTCACAGGTGAGTGAATTTACTCACCAAGCTGTGGCATGATTAAATCATGGACTTTACCTTTGCTGATTCTGTCATATTGATTCCACCAATACATCAAACTGGACATTGTTGTAAGTCACAATCCGACATGAAAGTCTCCTCCTTGGAAAAGTTATTCTGACAAGTAAATAAGTGAGTGATACTAGCAAATTAATATTGGAATATAATTTACATTTCAAAGCACTTTTCTTTCACTCATATTTTGTTTGATTCTCTGCTCTTTAAAACTATGATTCCAAAGTTTAAATTTCAATATCTTAGAAACTGTCGTTCTTTACCCAAAGAAAATGATCTGCTTTTATTTTCAAACTTCAGAATTTATTTATTTATTTGAGACAGAGTCTCGCTCTGTCACCCAGGCTGGAGTGCAGTGGCACGATCTCGGCTCACTGCAAGCTCCGCCTCCCGGGTTCATGCCATTCTCCTGCCTCAGCCTCCCAAGGAGCTGGGACTACAGGCGCCTGCCACCATGCCCGGCTAATTTTTTGTATTTTTAGTGGAGATGGGGTTTCACTGTGTTAGCCAGGATGGTCTCGATCTCCTGACCTCGTGATCCGCCCGCCTCGGCCTCCCAAAGTGCTGGGATTACAGGCGTGAGCCATCGCGCCCGGCCCAGAATTTATTTTTAAAAGAACATGTTTACTTCGTTTTCTCAGGAGTTCTAAAAGATTAAAATATGGATGAATAGAAAACTCACGGATCTGAAATTAAATACGTGCTTGGATCTTAAAGTGTGCTGTGTAGCCTTAGCCTTATTTAGCAATTTAGTAGATATATTTGTAATTTCTTACATAGATACACAGACTGTCAAAGGATCTTCATTTTGGCTTTTGTTGGGCTTATTCTCTGAGATTTCACATCTGCCGTCATTAAAGATAGCTGCAGGTTTTATCTAGAATTAGCATCTCGTTCAATTCATCAACCTTTTTTTCCAAAGCAAATCTTGGTTTTTCTCATACATTAGCCTTAGGATGGCAAGCATTTGGAAAGTGCTTATGTTGACGTTTTAAGACTCAAGACCTTCAGTGTGGGGGCTCAAGGAAGGGCCCTGCCTCAGACTGAGCTGCTTTCAAACCAGGCATATTTTCCCTTAGATCCTGGGTCATGGATTCATGCAATGTTGTACAATTAACTTCTAAACTGTCTTTTATTCTCTAATCATGCTCTTTATAAACTGCCTGCATGTAAAACAATGAGAAGGAACAGTGACTTGTATAGGCGTCATGCTTTGTAGTTTACAGAATGTTTTCATACCCTTGAAAGGATCCCAGCACCTTAAAAGGGCTTTTTTGCTACATCAGTATATTGAATGAGTGAATGACTGAATGAATGAATGGACCCAGGATCTTATATGAGCCTGACAACATCCCTGGGAGGTATCTTCATTTTACAGAAAAGGAAACAGATATGTATCTTATGAAAGTCAACACAGACCTATATTTTCTTTCTATTCAGATAATTTCTCTGACCTGGGATGGTATAGTTCCCTTCAGTTAAATTAGTACAAAGAAAGCAGTTTCAGGAAGCAAATACATAAAAACATTCACCTCTTTTTGATTTGCACAAAACTGGCTCTAGATTTATTCATTCGATCAAACGACACCAAGGCCAAATGTCCTCTCTCCATCAGGGCTGGGATTGGCATGCTGTACACTTTCTGCTACCAAACAAAAGAAACATGTGGGCAACCTGAAATTAACCTGGCTCACATTTTCAGCAATTGAATGAATCTTTGTGGGCCTGCTTTTCCTGATAGTTCACTAGCGTTTCGCTGAAGGCTTTCTGTAGGGACATGGTCTCGTTGACTCCTCACTGACCCTATCCTTGAGTTGCATCTATTTCAGTCACTGCTAAGTGTGTACAATCACTCTTTGTGTATGATCCTTAGAATAAGACACAGGACCCACATGTCAATCAAACTGACGATCGTTTCCATCAGGACCATGCCATGGGCGTTCCTCAAGGAAGGTGGAAGCATCTTGCTCTTGTCTACAATTGTGTACAGGCAATATCAGGTTAGTCGAAATGAATGGGGTGGCTATTTACTCTAAGGTGTGGTGATCTTTGCTGTTTTAGACTTCAGCAAAGATCATCTGTGACACTTCCTTCCAGGGCTGGCATTTATCATCAACAAACTCAGTTTCATTCCAGGTGTCTTTGCTATTCTGCTACCTGCTGGCCACTTTCTCTGCATCTTTGTTCTAATCCAGAGGAACAGAGACTCTGATTCAGTCTGTCCATGGACGGGTCCTCTTAGATCATGTGTGTTCTACCTGATCCAATCAGCTCTGGATGGGGCATCGCAAGGCCCCAGTATGCCCTCAGGCCCTGTTGGTAGCAGGGCTGTGGACAGGACCAGTGCCTGGAGAAGGGGCGTGGGCAGGGCTGCATACCAGCATGCGTCTCATTCAGGCCCTTCATCCAGTGGTGCTGGATCTGGTTTGCATGGGCTCATGAGAGCCAACTGTGAAAATTTCAGGAATATTGTGAGCCAGTTGTTAAGTATAGCCAGGATTAACAATTAAATTATGTAAATTTACAATAAAACGAATCATATTCAAAGGAAAGATGATAAATGCACAAAACTCATTTTCTAATTATCTCACCACATTTTATTATTATTGATGCCTAATGATGGATATTACCTAGCCCCACGGTAGCAATGCTACGTAATGGTGTGTGACCATGCTTCTCTTCTCAGCTGCACGTTTACTGCTGTCAGGTTGCAACCCTGATACCAGTCATGTGGGAGCATTTACATCATGGCAATTGTCAAATGCTACAAACCAGAGCTTAATTTACTGTTTTGTTGATTATCTAGACCAGGGGTCCCCAATACCTGGGCCACAGACCAGTACCCGTCTTTGTGGGTGGGAGAGTGAGCGAAGCTTCATCTGTATTTACAGCTGCTCCCCATTTCTCTCATTATTGTCTGAGCTCTGCCTTCTGTCAGATCAGCAGCAGCATTAGATTCTCATAGGGGCGGGAACCCTATTGTGAACTGCATATTCGAAGGATCTAGGTTGTGTGCTCCTCATGAGAATCTAATGCCTGATGATCTGAGGTGGAACAGTTTCATCCTGAAACCATTCCCCCAGCTGCCGGGCTGTGGAAAAATTGTCTTCCATAAAACTGGTCCCTGGCGGCAAAAAGGTTGGGGACTGCTGGTCTAGACTTAATAAATTAAAGGAGTTAATGTTAATAGTGAAGATTAAATTAGAAAATGTGGCATGCCCATAGTCATTATAAGTAGCACAAACAATTGAGGAAATATTTTTGCAGTGTTTAAAAGTATTATCTGACTCAGCAGAAAGGGTGCTCAGGCTACTGACAAACAAGTTAGGTTTCAAAACACAGCTTCATTGCTTTCTTTTTGTCTGATGCTTTAACATGAGGGAAAATATCAACCAACATTTATTTTTTTTTTGAGATAGAGTCTCACTCTGTCACCAAGGCTAGAGTGCAGTGGTGTGATCTCAGCTTACTGCAACCTCCACCTCCTGGGTTCAAGCGATTCTTGTGCCTTGGCCTCCTGAGTAGCTGAGATTACAGGTATGTGCCGCCATGCCTGGTTAATTTTTTTTTTTTTGTATTTTTTTTTTAATAGAGATGGGATCTCACCAGGTTGGCCAGGCTGGTCTTGAACTCCTGGCTTCAAGTGATCCACTTGCCTCAGCCTCCCAAAGTGCTGGGATTACAGGTGTGAGCCACCATGCCCAGCCAACCAACATTTGTTTCAAAACTACACTTGTTTGTGAATTGAACCATAGCTTGGCTATGGATACAAGAGTTCACCAAAAATTGAGATAGCATCTTGTCAGTCAATTGACTTTTATTTAATACTCTTTTTTTATAGAACTTATAATAAAGAGTATCATATATTTGATGATTTGTAAACTGTGTTACGCATTTCTTGTATTAGTAAAGTTTATAATAACCATATGCAGTGTGTATATATGCATACTGTTTTTGGGACACTGATTGTTAAATGTTTACCAGCACCTCGGTGCTCTTGCCCACCCATGGGACAGCCCATGGACTGAGGAGAGCCCAGCAGGGGCTGTGGGGAGGTAGCAGGGAGTGTGGAAGGTGCTGAGTGGGGCCAGCTCTCCTGCATGGGGGGTTGATGTGCAGGGAAGCCTTGGAACCCCAAGAGAGTGGGACTCATGTTCCCACCCCTAGGAAGTGTAAAAGAAAAATAAATGCCTGGATCCCCAAATCACTAAGCCAAAGGGAAAAGTCAAGCTGGGAACTGCATCAGGCAAACCTGTCTCCCATTCTGTTTCTAAAGAAGGTAGCTACAAAGATCAAGAAGCTACAACCTCCCTCACAATTTGCCCACAAGGAAATTCCTTGTGGAGAAAGGACTGATGGAACTCAAAGTCATCCCTCTGCTCATGGGAGACAAAGGCATATCTAGATTGCTTCCTCGGCCCTGTTTTTTGACTAAGCCAGACTAGAGCATAAGTGACTATTCCTGTAAATTGGGTATTCACCTTGGGAGGCTGAGGCAGGTGAATCACGATGTCAGGAGATTGAGACCAGCATGGCCAACACGGTGAAACCTCGTCTCTACTAAAATACAAAAAATTAGCCGGGCATGATGGTGCGCACCTATAGTCCCAGCTACTTTGGGAGGCTGAGGGAGGAGAATCACTTGAACCCAGGAGGCGGAGGTTGCAGTGAGCCAAGATCACACCACTTCACTCCAGCCTGGTGACAGAGCAACTCTCCATCTCAAAAAAAAAAAAAAGAAAAAAATTGGATATTCAATGAGAGGCTAATCAGAACCTCAAAAGAATGCAACCATTTGTCCCATTTGTCTCTTATCTACCTGTGACCTGGAAGCCCATTCCCCGCTTTGAGTAGTCCTGCCTTTCCAGACCAAACCAATGTACATCTTACATATATTGATTGATGTCTCATTTCTCCCTAAAATGTATAAAATCAAGCTGTGCCCTGACCGCCTTGGGCACATGTCATCAGGACCTCCTGAGGCTATGCCATGGGCACATCCTTAACCTTGGCAAAATAAACTTTCTAAATTGATTGAGACCTGTCTCAGATACTTTTTGGTTTATGGAAGGTACTGACAGTTATGGCGACAGGCAGAGCTGCAGAGACAGTCATTCACGGGACGCCAGCCCAGCAGCTGGGTGGAGAGTGCCTCTTCCTCCTCCCCACAGCAGCACTTCCGAGAAAGGAGAGGAGGCCTGTCATCCTCTCCTCCAATCCAAACAGAGCCTGAGCTCAAACATTTGCTCCAGGGAGAAGTCCAGGAAGAAGAGGGGATGTAAATCATGCTGAAAACGAGGCTTTAAACTGGATTGAGTTTTTATACTCAAAGAAACTGGAAAGTTTTGGATTCTGTTCAAGATATCATCAAGGAATGAAAAGGAAGGTTCAACAATATATAGTTCTAAGTCGTGATTTTTAAAAATTCCATATCTCCATCTCACAGTTAGAACTAACTATTGAAAAGCCTGGTTGGACTGGCCTTGAACAACTGTTAGATTTCTTTTTTTTGTTTTTGCACTTTTTGCCCAGGCTGGAGTGCAATGACGCAATTTCGGCTCACTGCAACCTCCGCCTCCTGGGCTCAAGCGATTCTCCTGCCTCAGCTGCCCGAGTAGCTGAGATTACAGGCATCCACCACCATGCCCGGCTAATTTTGTATTTTTGGTAGGTTTCTGGTCAGGCTGATCTTGAACTCCTGACCTCAGATGCTCGCCTCGGCCTCCCAAAGTGCTGGGATTACAGGCGTGAGCCACTGCGCCCGGCCACAATTGTTAGATTTTTATTGTAGGTGAAGTGACAGCTTTTCCTCTTTTCTTTGCCCAAACCTCAGTCAAATTAGTGACCAACTTCATCAACTCACTATGTGGTATTTTGGGGCAATATTCTGTATTCCCTTCCTGTACATATTTTACAATCACTCTAACTTCCTCAAATACTTTTTCTTATCTTTTGTATCATGAGTAGTTTGTAAATCACCTCATGTCATTTTTAAGAGGAGGAGAATTGGAAATAAATGAAGAATTGCACTCACTAAAGTAAGATGTAACTTTTTGGGAATTGAGATGGTAGAACAAAAGTTCATGACCATGAGACATGCTAGATGGAAAAACTGAGTTATTGACGTTTGAAGAATCTGTTACAGCTAGATGCTCAGATTGTGCAGATAAGGTGGGTCTTTGGTTTATCATTTCATTTCTTTTTAACTTCAGGGAAGGAGCACTGAGTTAATAACACTTCTCTGGTCATGACCCATTTTTGTTACTGATTCAAGAAAATTGCCTCTTTTACTATACTTTTATCCCCATTTCAAATTCCCCATTCCTCTCCTTTTATAGGTAATGATTTAAATGAATTTCACATTTATTTTCTTGTTCATATGCATTTCTGAAAAAAATGTCCATTTTTGTTTTGAGTGCATTTTTAAAGTTGGACATCTCTTCACATTTTTTATATTCTTTTATTGCATTTTCTCTCCTGTGAAACATCTGTTTCTTTTTTCTTTTTGCACTTTAGTTGTTGATATTTTTTCACATTGATTTGTTGGAGTTATTTTAAATGTATATTCTAGATACTACTCCATCACCTACATGTGGAATGCAAGTATCTTCCTCCAGGCTGCTGTTATAAAAATCTTAAGTGTAGTTTAATAAATTTTTATGGAGTGTTAAGCCCCAGGTTGAGAAGTAGAACATCACCCACCCCAGCAGCTCCCTCGTGGATCCCCCCAATTGCTCTGTCCTGCTTTGTTCCCAAATGTAACTGCAATCCTGATCTCCAAAATCAAAAGATCAATTTGCCTGTTTTGACATTTCATATAACTGAAATAATACAATACGCATTATTTTGTGTCTGGCTTCTTTTGGTCAACAATATATTTCTGAGAGCCATTCATCTTGATGCACGTAGGTTAGTTTTCATTGTTGTATACAAACAGAAAACAACCCCTTTAAAAAGTGGGCAAAGGACATGACCGGACACTTCTCAAAAGAAGACATTTATGTGACCCACAAACATATGAAAAAAGCTCAACATCACTGATCATTAGAGAAATGCAAATCAAAACCACAATAAGATACCATCTCATGCCAGTCAGAATGGCAATTACTAAAAAGTCAAGAAACAACAGATGCTGGTGAGGCTGTGGAGAAATAGGAACGCTTTTACACAGTTGGTGGGAATGTAAATTAGTAAATTACTTCAACCATCGTGGAAGACAGTGTGGCGATTCCTCAAAGACCTAGAACCAGAAATACCATTTGACCCAGCAATCCCATTACTGGGTATATATCCAAAGGAATATAAATAATTCTATTACAAAGATACATGCTTCCATATGTTCACTGCAGCACTATTCACAATAGCAAAGACATGGAATCAATCCAAATGACTATCAATGATAGACTGGATAAAGAAATGTGGTACATATACACCATGGAGTACTATGCAGCCATAGAAAGGAACAAGATCATGTCCTTGGCAGAGACATGGATGGAACTGGAAGCCATTATCCTCAGCAACTAACACAGGAACAGAAAACCAAACACTGCATGTTCTCACTTATAAATGGGAGCTGAACAGTGAGGCATTTCAAAGTGCTGGGATTACAGGCGTGAGCCACCGTGCCTGGCCTGTGCTAGATTTTTAAATACATTCCTGGAATAAACACGACTGGGCCATGATATGTTATCCTTCTGAAAACTACTAGATTTGATCTGAAAACATTTTTTAAAGCACTTGTACATCTATATACTTGAGTGAGATTGATCTGTAATATTCCTTCTTTGTCATGCCCTTGTCAGATTTTGGTATCAAAGTTACACTGGATTTGTCTATGAATTAAAAAATGTTTCCCTTTTTCTGTTTTCTGGAATAATTTGTAGACGAACAGTACTATTTCTTCCTTAAATAATTTGGAAGAATTCACTGGTGAACCCATGTGGGAATACAGTTTTCTTTGTAGATAATTTTAAAATTATGGATTAAATTTTTTAGGTAAATAGAAAGTTTATATTTTTCTACCTTTTATGGATTTGGGTGGTTTTAAGTTTTTTTCCCCTGGAAGTTTTTCATTCTTTTTCTAAATTTTTAAATGTATTGGCATAAAGTTATTTTACAATATTCTTTAAAGATATTTTTAACATCTGAAGAACCTATAGTGATGTCCTCCACTTTATGACATGTGCGTGTGTGCACGTGTGTGTGTGTGTGTTCATGTGTGTTTGTGACCTTTCTCCCTTCCTCTCTCCCTTTTCTCTCTCCTTTCTGAAACAGCATTGGTCAAGGTTTATCAATTTTATCAGTAAACTAACTTTGGCTTTATCAATTCTCTATTGCCCGTTTAATTTTCTATTTGACTGTTTACACTTTTTAAAATTACTTCCCTTTCTGCTTTCTTGGGGCTTAGTTTGTTCTTCTTAAAACTTTCCTAGATGAGTTGACAGCACTGATTTTAAACCTTACTTTTGTTTTTAAAGTTTTTTTTAAATTTCAATAGTTTTGAGGGTACAAGTGGTTTTTGGTTACATGGATCAGTTCTTTAGTGCTGATTTCTGAGATTTTGGTGCACCCATCACCCAAGCAGTGCATACTGTACCCAGTGTGTAGTCTTTTATCTCTCACCCTTCTCCTGTCCCTTTCCCTTGAGTCCCTAAAGTCCGTTGTATAATTCTTGTGCCTTTATGTCCTCATATGAAACCTTATTTTCCAATACATGCAATTAAGGCTGCTAATTTCCTGCTAAGCACATCTTGAGTTGTATCCCATAAATTTCATCTATAGTGTTTTCATCACCATTCAATTTAAAATATTTTCTGATTTCAATTTTAGTTTTTTTTTAACTGGTGGGTTATTTAGAATTTTATTGCTTATTTTACAAAATTAGAAGAGCTTAGTTTTATTTTTATAACTGTTTTCTAGACTAAATTCACTGTGGACAGAAAACTCATTAGCTCATGTACTATATGAGTTAATTCATTTAAAAATTTGAACTTTATGGACCAGCTAATTGTCAATTTTGGAAAATGTTCTACATGAACTCAAAAAGAATATATATTCTATAGTTGCTGGGAGGAATTAGATACAGTTTGTTATGATTACTGTTCAAATCAATATCTATAGATTAAGGAGGGATGTGTCTGATTGTTCTATTAGGTACCAAGCAAGGTGTTTTAGTGTTCCAATCTGATTGTGTACATCTCCTTTTAGTCTGACAATTTTTTCTTTTAATATTTGGAATCTATGCTATTTAGTAATGCAAATTTAGAATTCTTACATCTTCCTAGTGGACTACACTTTCCTCATTATGAAATATCCCCACATTTCTCAAGTAATGCTTCTTGTATTATGGTTTATTTTGTCTGACATTAGGGTAACTATGCCAGCTTATTTATTTATTTATTTATTTTGAGAGACAGAGTCTCACTCTGTGGCCAAGGCTAGAATGCAGTGGCACCTCAGCCTCCTAAGTGGCTGGGATTACAGGTGTGTGCCACCACACCCAGCTAATGTTTTGAAATATTTTTTGCAGAGATAGAGTCTTGCTATGTTGCCCAGGCTGATCTCAAACTCCTGGCCTCAAGTGATCCTCCTGCTTTAGCCTCCCAAAGTATTGGGGTTATAGGCATGAGCCATTGCACTTGGCCCCAGCTTACTTTTGATTGGTGCTTGGATGGTATATCTTTCCCCATCCTTTTAATTTAAATATTTCTCTTTTTTTAAATTAAATGTGTTTCCTGTAAGAAACATATAGTTGGGATTTGCTATTTTATCCCATTTGACAATACTGTCTTTAAAAAAAAATTAGTAGATTTTATTCTTTGGGGAAGTTTTAGGTTTACGGAAGAATTGAGTGGGAAATACATAGAGTTCTTCTGTACCCCCTCAGTGCCCCCATCCTCTCTCATTAACATCTTGCATTAGTGTACTATATTTGTTATAATCAATGAGCTAATATAAATACATTATTATTAACTAACGTCTACAGGCTACAATAGAGCTCACTCTTTGTGTGGTAAATTCCATGGGTTTTGACAAACGCATAATGACATGCATCTCCTATTACAGTATCACACAGAATAGTTTCACTGCCTTAAAAATCCTGCATGCTCTGCCTATTCATCCCCCCCTTTCTCTTCAACATCTTTGCACTATTTAATTTTTTAATTATAGTTTTTAGTTTGACTACAGGCAGTAAATTACTAATATATTTTATTTTAACTCTACCTCTTACTATTGGATTTCTATTGGTTCCACATGTTCCATGATCCTTTTTCTTTCCTTTTTTTGATTATTTAAGTATTTTTAAAGTTTTCTTTCTCTCCTCTATTGGTTTGTGACTTATACACTCTTGTACTGCAAAGTTACCCTAGAGATTTCTACACACATCCTTAACTTTTTAGTGTCTAATATAAATGAATATTTTTTTTTTTTTTTTTTTTTTTTTTTGAGACGGAGTCTCGCTCTGTCGCCCAGGCCGGACTGCGGACTGCAGTGGCGCAATCTCGGCTCACTGCAAGCTCCGCTTCCCGGGTTCACGCCATTCTCCTGCCTCAGCCTCCCGAGTAGCTGGGACTACAGGCGCCCGCCACCGTGCCCGGCTAATTTTTTGTATTTTTAGTAGAGACGGGGTTTCACCTTGTTAGCCAGGATGGTCTCGATCTCCTGACCTCATGATCCACCCGCCTCGGCCTCCCAAAGTGCTGGGATTACAGGCGTGAGCCAACGCGCCCGGCCTAAATGAATATTTTTAACACTTCTGAAACAACGTAAGAACCATGGAATACTCCAACTTTATTTACTACTTTCACCACTATATCCTATTGTTGTCCTATATTTTATTCTATATCTATTTCAAAACCACAAGACATTATTTTTTCTTATGTAGTCAATATTCATTTGTATTTACCCACCTATTCATCTTTTCTATTGCTCTACATTCCCTCCTGCATTTCTGAGTTCTGTATGAGAGCATTACTTTCTGCCTTAAGAATGAAGGCAGCCAGATATTAAGGAAAACTTCCTTCAAATAAGCAAAAATAAGACTGCTAACTTCTCAACAGAAAACAAAACTGCTTCTAACATATCCAAAAAAAGCCAGAAGACAATGGAACACCTTGAAAGTCTGAATAACTGCCAACTAGAATTCTGTACACACAGCTGAAGGGCAGATTAGATACCGTGAAGAGATAATTAGCAAATTGGAAAACAGATCAGAAGAAAATATCCAGAATAAGCTTGTAGATGTTAAAGGGTCAAAAATATGAAAAAAAGTTTAAGAGACAGAAGAGATAGGTATAAAGGTCCATGTGGAAGTGGAGCCTTTTGAAATAGAATAAATAAATATCTCTTAAAAGTGAAGACAAATAAAATTTGTCTTCCAGATTAACAAAATCTGACAGAAAAGATCATAGGTAGACCTGCACTAAGGGAAAGCCAAATGGTATCCTTAAGCTTTTAATAATGTTATCTCCTAACAAAGAGATGTATTTGTTTATTTGCTTCTGGAAGGCAGCATATCACATCAACTGGTCAAGGTGTTCAGGTGGCTGAATGCTGGATGGCAGTCCTTTTTTGAGCTAGCCTATTGTCTCTTCACCTTTCCTGCTAGGGAGCAGTGTTCAGGGTCCCATTTGAGAGCTTGGTGTGTTCACAAGGGGCGCTTCCCATGATTTGGCCCAGAACACCAATTTTGGTACCCCACACAGCAGGGACACTGAAAAGGAGGGCCTTCGGTCTTTCCTTTTGGAAAAGGACGAATGCAACACAAATGCTGGGCTCACCTCCCTTGGCTTTATTCTTCTCCTAGATCCTTCTTCAGACAAATGTTGTCTGTATGTTTTTCCACTTTAAAAGTTTTTCTCAGTGGAAATGTTGGGCCTGAAATGACATAATCAGAATATGTTGGAAAGTGAATTCTCTGAATACATTTTTAATACAGTTGTCCCTCTGTACCCTCAGGGGATTTGTTCCAGGACTCCCTGCATATACCAAAATCTGAGGATGCTCAAGTCCTTGATAGAAAATGGTGAAGTATTTGCATACAACCTACACACAGCCTCTCATATACTTTAAATCAAGCTTGTCCAACTTGCGGCTCACGGGCTGAATGCTGCCCAGGACAGCTTTTAATGAGGCCCAACACAAATTTGTAAACTTTCTTAAGACATTATGAGATTTTTGGGCCTGGCGCAGTGGCTCACACCTGTAATTTCAGCACTCTGGGAGGCTGAGGTGGGCAGATCACAAGGTCAGGAGTTCGAGACCAGCCTGACCAACATGGTGAAACCCTTCTCTACTAAAAATACAAAAATTAGCCGAGCGTGGTGGCACGTGCCTGTAGTCCCAGCTACTCAGGAGGCTGAGGCAGGAGAATCACTTGAACCTGGGATGCGGTGGTTGCAGTGAGCCGAGATTGCACTACTGCACTCCAGCCTGGGCGACAGAGCAAGACTCTGTCTCAAAAAAAAAAAAAAAATTATGAGAATTTTTGCGATTTTTTATTTGTTTAGCTAATCAGCTATCATTAGTGTATTTTATGTAAGGCACAAGACAATTCTTCCAGTGTGGCCCAGGGAATCCAAAAGATTAGACTCCCCTGCTTTAAATAATCTCTAGATTCCTTACAATACCTAATACAATGTAAATAGTATGTAAATTGTTGTTATATTGTACTGTTTAGGGAATAATGACAAGAAAAAATCTGAATATGTTCGGTGCAGTCACCTTTTTTTACTGAATATTTTCAATCTGCAGTTATTTGAATCCACAGATGTGGAACCCATGGATAAGGAGAGTCGACTGTATGTGAATGGTATCATGATATATATTCATATACATCTCATTTGGTTTCTTATTTTTCACTACCATCCATGTTTATTTGTAAGATTCACTCATATTAGTAAATATTCTTGTAATTCTTTTTGTCCCCCTTCATTGATGCATATGTCAGGAAACACACACACGCATGCGCGCGCGCGCGCGTGCACACACACACACACACACACACACACACACACACACACTTGGGTGCTTCCGACACCCCACCCCCATAAATACTGCCATAATGAATATCTTTATGCATGCTTCCTTATGCAATCTGTGCTATATCTCTTTGTGATATCTACCCAGGCACAGAATTTTTCTGCCCCAGGTGGTGTGCTATTACCTAATTTGTCAGTAATGCCAGATCATTCGAAATGGCTGGTTTATTCTGTCCTCTCTCTAGCAGGACATCAGAGGACCTATGACCCCATATTTTCAGCTTTTCGTTTATGCTCATCTTCAGTTGTAGAGTGATTTCTTGTAGTTGTTTGGATTTGCATTTTCCTGATGCAAACTAATGAATTTGAATAATCATCATACGTTTTTAGCTTTTTGAGTTTTCTCGTTGTCATATCCTTGTTGATATTTTGCCATTTTGTTGTTTATTGATACATTTTCCTAGAAGGTCTGTAAGAATCCCTTGTATATTACACAGGTGTATCCCTTGTCAGTTTTTGACATTGTAATTTTTATCTAATAACTTTGTCCATCGTGCCTTCCCTTGAATACCAATCTTGAATTTTAATGTATTCAGATTGATCAATTTTGCCATACAATGTGTGCTCTTAGAGTTTTATTCCAGAAGCATTTTTCCAACCCAAATCACAAAAATATCATGCTACATTTTCCTCTATTAACTTTATAATTTTACCTGTCCCATTTGGTTTTCAATCTAAATACAGTCCAGTCTCAAATGTGGTTTGGTATAGGCACCCAATGTAACTTTCCTTTAGATAACGAGCCAGTTTTCTAAGATCATCTGCTGAATTTGTCCATTGTTCACAGATATGTGTCATTCACATGCACTAAATTCCCATAGCATTTCTTCTTCCTGAGCTGTTTATCTGTCTCCCTCATCCAGTTGTCCATTCTACAGCACATACCACATTCCTGTGATCTTGAAGTATGTCTTAACATCTGTTAAGGCAAATCCCCTGTTTCTTCTTTGTAAGATTGATTTAAATGTTGGACTTTTATTTCTCCATGTAATTTTAAAGTAAGTTAATGAGTTTCTTAAAAAAGATCTGAAATTTTGATTGGAATTGCATTGAATTTATATATAGTTTGGTGATAAAAGACATCTTTATAACATTACATCATCTCAGCCAAAAGTAGAACATCTCTCCATTTATTTATATTCTCTTCTGTTTCCTTCACCATAATTTTGACATTTCACAACAGAAACATTGTATATTATTGGTTAAACTAATTTTAAAATACTTACGAATGCATTACTCCTGTGAATGGACTATTGCTTTTTAAAAAAACATTTTTTGTTCTTATTGCTGAATAACAGATAGAGAAATGCTATTGGTTTTTGAAGGTTAATCAAGTAATCAGAAATCAAATGGCCAATCTTTTTAGCTCTAATACTTTGTGGAGCCAAGTTTTCTAGGTAGATAATCATTCAGTGATGATGGTTTTATATCTTCCTCTTTCACTCTCATATTCTTTATTTGTTTTCTTTCTTTGTACTCTTGGCCAGAGCCTCTGACAACATCTTCAGCAGAACCAGTAAAAATTAGCATTCTTGTCTATTATCTTAGCAAAAAATGTTTCCAAAGTTTCTCCATCAGGAATAAGATTGGCTGCAAGTGTTTGGGCGTAAAGCATGATCAAATTAAGGGAGTTCAGTTCTTCTCCCAGTTTGCTAAGAATTTTTTCATTAGTAGGTGTTGAGCATTACTAAATACTTCTATATCAATTGAGATAATCACATGCTTTTTTCTTCTGTAATCTATTATTGCTCAGTGTTACTGTCAGAAGTTAACTCCATGACTATATGGAGTGGCTGAGTATGGGAGAATTTTTCTTCAGGAAAGATTTAGAAAAAGAATTTTGTTAACTGTCCCAAACTTTTAATTTTTACCTCCAATTTTGCAACATTAAACTGGTGCTTAGAAGAGGACTCTTCAGCAGGGGTCCCCAGCTTCCAGGCCATGGACTGGTTCTGGTCAACGGCCTGTTAGGAAGCAGATTACGCAGCAGGAGGTGAGCAGTGGGTGATCCAGCGAAGCTTCATCTGTATTTACAGCAGCTCCCCATTGCTCACATTACCGCCTGAGCTCCGCCTTCATTCAGATCAGCGACAACATTAGATTCTCATAGGAGCATGAACCCTATTGTGAACTGTACTTGCAAGGGGTCTAGGTTGCACGCTCCTTATGAGAATCTAATGCCTCATGATCTATCTCGCATCACCCCCAGATGGGACCATCTAGTTGCAGGAAAATGTGCACAGGGCTCCCACTGATTCTACATTATGGTGAGTTGTATACTTATTTCACTATATATTACAATGTAATAATAACAGAAATAAAGTGCACAATAACTGTAATGTACCGGAATCTTTCTGTAACCATCTCCCCCTCGTCCCCACCAGGTCCATGGAAAATTTGTCTTCCATGAAACTGGTCCTTGGTTCCAAAAAGGTTAGGGACCATGCTCTTCAAGATTAGTTTATAGTCCAACCTGGATAAAATGCTCTTGGAGTCCTCTTGTCATTAAAAAAAAAAAAAAAAGCTGCATTGGCCAGCAAGGTGGTTCATGCCTGTAATCCCTGAGCTTTGGGAGGCTGAGGCAGGAGGATCACTTAAGCCCAGGAGTTCAAAGTTGCAGTGAACCCATGATTGCACCACTGCACTCCAGCCTGAGCAACAGAGCAAAACTTTACCTCAAAAAAAAAAAAAAGAAAGATGTGTTATTCTATCTGAGAGCAGTTCAGCAATTATACTTACTGTTGGTACGAAAAAAGAGGTGCAGAGAAAAACACAATGTGAGATATAATTAGAAGTGCCTGTGCAAAATGTCAGCTCAGCTTCCCCTCCTCCAGCTAGTGCTTCCAAAAATGTGATTCCTGGAGCCTTTGAGTTTATTTCTGGTTGATCTGAATGCATTTTATGAGCCATTTCCCAAAATATCCATTGGATCTCCTTTGGCCATCGTAATCAGCTCATAAATTGAGCTCATCAGCTGTAGGGCTGGAAGATGGTGCTTCTCAGCCACGAGGGCCATCATGTGGGATTCCTCTCTTCTAGCCACTGAAACCACAGCTGAGACGCTGGCTGGGACAACTCAGCTGCAACCAAAACCATCCCGGTAGAAGGCTGAAGTAAGTCTGTGGCTCTTGAGATATTTTCCATCTCTTACAAGGCTGGATTTAATCTAAAGCTTGATAAAACAACAAAACAAAATAAAACAAAACAAACTCTCTGCTTAGCTTTTAGTAAATAGATGCCGTTTCTTGTTGTCACTTGTCTATCGTCACAGCTAAGTGAGTAGTTTTTGGGATGACATCATACTTAACTGTGCTCTCATTTTAAATTACCCTTTGTTGCAAAGCCTCATAAATACTGAGCTGCATTATTACATAAACCAAAGGCTGATGGGTCACCTCATTTGTCTTGTGGAAAATGAGTGTGTTCTGTGACCGTGGGAACAGCAAGTTCTTGGGAGAGGCATCTTTCACTTCCAGTGAGGATTGGTCTCTGTCTTGGTTATAAAGGGAAGGGTCTCTCCCTCCACCCTGTTTGGCAGAAATCCTTTTTCTGTCACATTTGTTGCTGCTGTGGGTTCTGTGGTTTTCAAGAGAGCAGAAATATTCAGCCATTCTGGTTTCCTCTTTTTCTGAAAACCCAGTATTAATTTCTCCTGGACTGGCATTTTGTAAAATTTGCCTTTGAAAAGTATTCTGTGTTGTGAAATGCTCATATACACGTCTGGAAATATCCTTCTGTAATGGATGCTGCCAGGCAGCAGGAGAGGCTGCTGTTTGTTCTGTGGACAGCATCATTTCTTTGCTGCCTCCTTCTCCCCAGCGGGCATGCAGGCAGCATGTCTGGGGGCCTGAGGGAGCTTCTCCCTGAGGCCTGGGCTTTGAAGGCCCAGTGGGCAGGTGTGGGGTCTGGACAGCTCCAACTAGCTGGCAGCTTGGACAAATCGTCTCGTTTTTCAGGCCCTTGACTTCATCCATGACAAGAATTTCGGGCTAGGTGATCTCCAAGGTGCCTTTCGGCTCTCAATTTTTTATTTCATTTCCTTCTCATCACCATTGCCTTTATTCATGGAGGGGTGCACTGAACTCCTGAAGAAGCGTGCTCTCTCTAAGTTTCTAAGTTTCTCTTGTCATTTCCAAAGCACAACGTTGATGCTTTAGGAAGTGGTGTTTAAGTCAGAACAGTGCGTCCTGTCTAAAACCTTCTCTCTGGAGCCTACATTGAGAACATTCCTGAAAATTCCATATGATCATCCTTTTTTTTTCTTTCTTTCTTTTTTTTTTTTTTTTGAGACAGGGTCTGGCTCTGTCACCCAGGCTGGAGTGCGGTGGCGTGATCACAGCTTACTGCAGCCTCGACCTCCTGGGCTCAAGCAATCCTCCCACCTCAGCCTCTCGAGTAGCTGAGGGACTACAGGTATGCACCACCACACCCAGCTAATTTTTGTATTTTTTGTAGAGTTGGGGTTTGCCATGTTGCCCAGGCTGGTCTCGAATGAGACTGCCTGCCTCGGCCTCCCAAAGTTTTGGGATTACAGGCATGAGCCACCATGCCCAGCCCATAAAATCATTCTTCAGTGTGGCAGAATAACATTTGAGATATGAATTGCTGTTTTTCCTCCCTGGTATTTCCTTAGTCCTTCTGCCTGTTCAAGCTGAGAGCCACCAGTATGGAATGTCCAGGCCTTCCAGAAGGTTTGGAGAGGGGTTTCCTAATGCAGGTTTCCAAACACCCAGTTGGTTATGGAAATTGGATGTAGGCATTGAAGGGCATGAAATGACACTGTGTGCCTCTGGGGAAAGAAGGAGAGAGAACTGGTCAGACCAAAGGCAATCCCAACAGACTGTGGAGGAGGAAATGAGTTTTACTGGGGAGGAGGGAATGAGTTTTCCGGGCTCTGACAGCCGTGAGGTCTTGACTGGGCTCCTTGTCAGTTACCTCGATGTGGCTGACTTCAGAGGGCATGTGATTAGGGGACCCCAGGGTTGAGGGTGCCCAGCCAGAGTCTGGCAGGGAAGAGACCATGGGCCTGGGACAAGGATGGGCTGATGACTGCTCCGACCTCACCCTGCCCTGGTGCTTCTCCCTCCCTCTTTGCCCGGCCTCAGTGCCATTACTTTTAGGAAATAAAAGTGATTTTTCTCGCATACCTGAATATGGGGCTTGCAATTTACTCCCCCCATGGTAATTTCTAGTAGGTTTTTCCAGCTTGGAGGGTTAACACACGTTATTTTAGTGAAGGCTATGGAAAATTCTAGGGTATCAGTGCAGCGGTAGACACAGGCACCCTGTGGTGAGGTGCAGGGCACAGGGAACAGCGGGAGACACCCAGACAGGCAGGGGCGGAGGGGAGATGCAGTGAGAGGCGACCGTGAGGACAGGCAGCACCTGCAGATGCCCTTGATGGGATGCACAGAGGGAGTTCCTGCAAGCGCGTTCCCTCCCAGCAGCCTGGAAGAAATCCTCACAGCGGGCCGAGGAGGACAGAGGAGGTGGGCATGATGACCAGGGCAGAGAGACAGCAAGGACGCTGTCCTCCTTCACTTGCAGGAGGAGGGATCGCTGGTCTCAGCTGAAGCTGCTGCTCTATGGCTCACTCAAGGCTGGGGTAGAACAGGCTGTGAAGGCAGAGTGAGGGGTGTGGAATGGGAAGCCAGACAGCTGGGTTCTAATGGCACCTCCACCTTGCAGAGACAAGTGACTTAACATCCCCTTAACTCAGTTTCCTTGCCTCTGAAAAGAAGGTAACAGCTCTGTCTGGGTCCATGTGAATGGTGTGCAGAGTGAGGGCTACAGTCAGCTCAGCGGACTTTAAACAACCCCTCAACAGCAATGGCCTAGGTGGGTGGTTGCCAGGTGCTGGGGTGCGGGGATGGTGAGCAACGGCCTAATGGGACAGTTTCCTTTCAGGGTGATGAAAATGCTTTGGAATTAGACAGAGGTGGTGGTTGTACAACGTCGCAGCTATGCTAAACGTCATGGAATTGCTCACTTTTCAATGGCTGACTTTGTTGTGTGAAGCTCACCCTAATTTTAAAAAATGTTAAATATTTTGAAAAAAAACTAAGAACCCTCAAAGCAGTGGCTTAACTTGAAAAAGCCAAAACCCTAGGTAAGGATGGTTTATGTCAGAATAAAAAAAACTGTGTTAGCACTTGCTATGGGTTGAATCTTGTTCCCCTAAAAGATACTGAGGTCCCACCCTCAGAATGTGTGAATGTGAACTTATTTGAAAATAGACTCTTTGCAGATGAACAAGTTAAGATGGTCATGAGGTCACTGGGGTGTGCCCTAATCCAATATGACTGTGGGCCTTAAAAACAGGGAAAATTTGGACACAGAAACAGAAATAGATAAAGGGAGGAGGATGTGAAGACACAGAAGACAGAGAAAGGCCCACGGATACCAGATTCTTCCATGCAGCCCTTAGGAAGAACAAACCCTGTCCGATGTTGGCCTTCTGACCTCCAGAACTGTGAGATGATAAATTTCTGTTGTTTGAGCCACATAGTTTGTGGGACTTTGTTAGGGCAGCTCCAGGAAACCAAGACAGTCTGAGTGGCCTCTTGATGCCTAAGTTGGCCACCATGGATGGCCGGACACTCCCTAGCAGACTCTACCTCTAGGAGGATGAAGAAAGGTGGTATTCCTGCCCCCGCCATTTGAGTGTGAACTGAACCTAGTGACTGGTGCTGGCCAATAGGATGTGGTGAAGATGATGGGATTAGATCACCTCACAGGGTAGCACCCTTGACGTTGATCTGCTGGCACACGGCTGTGTTGCAGAGGCCAGTAGGAGCTGATGGTGGCCTCCAGACAGCAGCCATGGGCCCATGCTACAAAACATTCCCAGGCCAACACTTCAGAGGTAGGCCGGGGAGTGCACAAGCCACAGGCACCACATAGTGACAGGCAGAACGTGAGTATCACACCAACAATCACACCAACAACCACACAAGCTGGGAAGCAGGCTCTTCCCCACTCCACTGTGAGCTGTGAAACACCTCGCTGACACCTTGCAAGAGACCATGAAGTCGAGGAGCCAGTACAGCTGTGCCAAGGTTTCTGATCCACAGAAACCACAAGATGCATGCGTGTTGTTTTCAAACACAAATTTAGATGGCAATTTGTTATGCAGCAATAGATAACCAACTATGCTCCTTATATCCTATTGATGTAAAATGTCAGGTTTCTGGATTCTTGTCCTGACGGCTTGCAGTTGCTAGGTAGAATAATAGGAAGCCTTTGTCAGGGCCAGGGCCAGCCTCAGAATGCCTGGGGGTGGGGCTCAGGCAGGGGCAGGAACCCAGAGGAGGACTGGCAGGAGAGACCCTGTCCTGGGGCTGTGCTCATTTGACATGACAGCAGACCGAGGAATCCTTCACAGTCCGTGTCCAAGAATGGGGTTTTACCTTGCGTCTCCTATTTCCTAGAGAGAATTCCCTTATTCAAGGGAATTCAACTCAGAGAATAATGTTCAACCATCCAGAAATGCATCACTACAAGAGGGGGCATTTTTTCCATCCATGATATCTTCTGCTTCATTTGTTTTATGGCTTTTACTGAAAGTTCCTGAAGTTTGCCACAAAAATCAACTCACCAACACCCTGTGGATTTTGTTTCCTTTCTACTGAGATCCTAACGCATCAGATGGCCAGGTTTTTGATAAGAAGTAAAAGAAAGGACCCAATGCAGGTGACCTAGCTTCAGCTTTATCTAGGATGCCAATAGTAGAAATTAAATATTAAATAGGAGTATAAGGGGAAGGTGTTAATTACCTGTGTGTTTCTGGTCTTACAGATATTTTCAGTAAAAGCCTGGTTTCATTTGCTTTTGGTTTTTGTTGATCAAGGTAGCTCTGAATTGCTCTTGTATTGCTGAGAGAGTTTCGGAATGTGCCAACTTCACCGGCCTGTGAAGCCTGTTCACATTACATTACACTACTGCCAAAATCAAGAGGCCTTCAAGCCCCCACCTGCCTATTCATTCATTTATTTATTCAAAAATATGCATTGGGTAGAGGAGATAGATACAATGGCACACACAATCAGCCAGGTTCGTGGCCTCATGAACTTACGGTTTAGTTGGGAAGACTGACATCAATCATATAATCAGATCACACTACAGTGTGACCCAAGCACAGCTCCAGGTGCTGCAGGGAAGGCTCCAATAAGGGGACAGATCTGGGACTGAACTCCAAAGGTCAAGAGGAATTAAGCCATCAGAATGCAGGGGGAAGAGCATTTCTGGCAGAGAGGGAGGCAAGAAGGAACGATGCAAGCATATGAGGACAGAAGGAAGCTGCTTCTCTAGACAGCAAGGGAAGTGTGTCTGGACAAAGGCTAGGATGAAGGAGGACTCTCATAGGAAATTTTGTACAGATTTCTGGTTAGAAGTGGCAGGCTTAACACATCCATTGAGTCACCCTTATTCCTGAAATATCACTAAAACAACAAAAAAGTTTCTTGTTTTTTTTTCTTGTTTTTTTTTTTAAAGCACAAACCTTCAAGGATATAATGAAAGAAGAGAGAACAGCAGTAAAATTGTATAAGCAGGTGAACCTAAACAGGGAAAGCAGAGAAGCAATCTGATAGATACATGCCTCAGCCCCTGCAAACTCCACGACAAGGTTTTATGCAGGTGGTTCAGACACCCAGACCCCAGGCTTATTCCCCACTTGACCCCTAACACCTCCTTCAGGAAGGAGACTAGGAGAACCTTCTAGAGAAGAAGGTTCTGACTCTGGTCAGTCAGAGGTGAACACTTAGCATTTCACCTTAGGGTACAATCACTTAGAGAGCATTAAGAGTACAACGTGGGGCCAGGCATGGTGGCTCACATCTGTAATCCCAGCAGTTTGGGAGACCGAGGTGGCCAGATCACCTGAGGTCGGGAGTTTGAGACCAGTCTGACCAACATGGAGAAACCCTGTCTCTACTAAAAATATAAAAAAAAAATGGCCAGGTGTGGTGGCGCACGCCTGTAATTCCAGGTACTTGGGAGGCTGAGGCAGGAGAATTGCTTGAACCTGGGAGGCGGAGGTTGTGGTGAGCCAAGATCATGGCATTGCACTCCAGCCTGGGCAACAAGAGTGAAACTCTGTCTCAAAAAAAAAAAAAAAAAAAAGTGTACAACATGGGAGTGTCCCCAAAGACGCATCCTGGGCCATCACCCTGCAGTGGAGACTGACCCTTCCAGTGGCCACACAGCCAGCAGCCCCACCCACACACAGAGCTTAGAGCTTGCAGTCTGCTTTTCAAGGCCTGGCACTTAGATGGAAACCGACTGCCAAGGATTATCAGACAGTCAGGGGAAACAGCTGCCTGGCATCTGGGAGCTCTAAACAAAGGCAGCTCCTGGCACCACCCCAAGCAACTCTGACTTAATAGTCTTGGGATGGGGCCTGGAGAATGTGGTTGTTTCTTTCTTTGTGTGTTTTGGTTTTGTTGTCGGTGAGTTGCTTTTAAACTCTCCAAATGATTCAATGTTCAGGTGGGACTGAGAACAGCTGATATCGTCCATTGAAAGAGTATGGAGATCAAAACACCTGTGTTCAAGTCATCATCCACCAGTTAGCAGCCATTGATAGCTACAGCTTTGCACATACAGATGAGAGCATTAGGATCATCCCAGAGCTTGCAAAAAGGCAGAGCTCCACCTCCAGCAGATCTGATACAGCAGCGTCAGGGGAGGCCCCAGAATCTGCACCTGTAACAAGTTACCAAATGGTGCTGATGCTGCTGGTGCAGGGGTCACACTGTGAGAACCCCTGCCTTAGTGCTAAGTGTGCTGGGCGTGGATGCAGACCCAGATGCTCAACTCCTGATTTTTCCATTCACTGGCTGTGCAATATCAGGAATATTACCTAAATTCCCCCATCTTAACTTCCCGCGTCTATAAAATCTGCATCCTCATGCACCCACTCAAGGTGCTCTTGTGGGATGAGAGGAGAGGACCCAGGAGAGCTGAGAGCTCCTTGCTGGATGCGGAGCATGGCTTTGTGTTGTTACTGGGCATCTCTCTCAACCTCGCCTTCAATAGAGCCCAAATGAAATAAGGTGAATACAGCCCTGAAACTTCAGAAGGTACAAACGGAAGCCCAGCTTACACATGACAGTGCTTTGAAAATGACAAAGTGCCACACTGATGTGAACCACCTAGATATTGTTACTATCACCAAGGAGCTGGAGTAATCTTAGTGTTCTGCTTAATTCCCTCTTTTTTTTTTTTTTTTTTTTTTGAGACGGAGTCTTGCTGTGTCACCAGGCTAGAGTGCAGTGGCATGATCTTGACTCACTGCAACCTCCGCCTCCCTGCTTCAAGGGATTCTCCTGCCTCAGCCTCCCGAGTAGCAGGGACTACAGGCACATGCCACCACGCACGGCTAATTTTTGTATTTTTAGTAGAGACGGGGTTTCATCATGTTGGCCAGGTTGGTCTCGATCTCCTGACCTCGTGATCCGCCCACCTCGGCCTCCCAAAGTGCTGGGATTACAGGCATAAGCCACCACGCCCGGCCTAATTCATTTTTAAATGCTCTTCCTAGGTGCCTTTCAGCATATACTACAGAGGGTTTTTGTTACTGCTTTTTAAACTGAGTAGCCTGAAGCCAACAACACTGCCTACAACAGCGCACTGAGCCTCCAGCTCCACATAGGTGAGATGGGATAAAACCTTACTTCCCAGGGCCATTTTAAAGGTCAAACAAATTCTCATCAAAATGTTTTATACTGAAATTTACTATGTAGAAAGATGAGCAGATGTTAATAGTATCGTTACTATGATGGATGTATAACTCTTAGAATTAAGAGTCAACATGAAAGAGGTGACATCTCGGGTTTCATAGGCATGATGGTCTTCCATTCCCGTTCACTATGACAAGATTACCTAGCGGTCTTTCCATTTATGGTGCTCTGGAATGCTTAACTTATAAAATTCTGGGTTCAAATTTGCAGTATTCTGGGAAGGAAATTGTCCAACGAATGTTATAAAGCTATTATAGCTTTATATTTAGCTATTTAGCTTATGTATTTTTTTATTTAGACCTAGATGTCTGCGTTCTTCAGCAGATACACATGGGCTCCAATGCTGGGCCAGGTCCTATGGCAGGAGCTGAGGCTGCACAAGGGAGAAGATCTGGCGTCACCCTCAAGGGTCTACTGGGTGGTGCAGGCAAAGGAAGGAGCCAGCCCCGTGCAGTGTGGCTCACCACAATGGGAGAAGCAGGCTGCTGTGGAGATGCAGAGGACAGCCCAAGGCCAGGTGTGGGCTGGGTGCCAGAGAAATGCCTCCAAAGGAGGTGGCAGGCAGCCTCAAAGGAATGGATGGGCAGGGGGCCCCTGGGCCCCAGGAAGCCTCCGCAATGAGAGAAGGGGTGCTGTTTTGGGGGAAATGCAAAGAGACTCAAACACTGTTTAACCGTTCCTCCCCAGCCACTGTCACTTGGTATTGCAAAGGTACAATTTATCGCCACGTCAGCTGTTTTCCTTTCCATACATCCTTCCTGTCCTCATCTTTATGCATACATGTTTCACAGGGTTGCAAGCATAACATGAATGCAGGTTATGTTCTTTTCACTTAACTTTGTATTTTTAGTTTGCTCAAAGTTGGCATAATTATAAATTCAGTGACAGTATAAAAGTTCTACAGTTAATGCAACTTATCTCTCTCAGCATTACTACATTGTTGGCAGTTTCTATTGTTTTAACCGCTATAAATCTTGGTGCATTCCCATATTTATGGGTACACCTTCGTCTTCATCAATCATGGTTGTGTAATAAAATGAATAGGAGAATACAGACCCTGGCCTTGAATCCTAGCTTTGCCACTTCCTGGCTGTGACCATGGATGAGTCATTTCACCTCCCTGTGATTCATTTCCCCATCTGTAAAATGGGAACAATGACACTATCTACCTTAGAGGGTTGTTGTGAGGGTGAAAGGAATGAACGCATTAGTGCTTAGAACATTCCCCAGCACATGGGAGAATATATTAAGATTGTCAACCTAAGTAACAAACAGAGAGAGGCTGTCTAAAAAAAGAGATGTTTTATTTGAGAATAGAGCATTACTATATGCAATGCCATAGTAAACTACGTGTGTGTTCAGGAAGGTAAAGAGGCAAAGGTTTTCAAAGGAAAACATGCGGAGGATTATGTAATTATTTTGAAATAATTATCCTTGGTGACAAAGATCCATAACAAGGGTGACGCCATTCCAAGTTTGGACACACAGTGGCTGGGCAGATACCCTTGCAGAAGTATTTTTTGAGAGAGGTTGTGACAGTCTTTGTGCAAGGTTGTGGTTTTTGTAGTCTTTTTATGTTATCAGGCACACAAGTATGAGAACCCTCTCTTCACGGCCTTGCCTGTCTCTATTTGTCAGGGTTGTCTTAACATTAGTGACTCCATTTTGATTCTGACAACTTTCACACTATTAAATAAAATATTCTTGTTCATCTTTGCATCTGTTAGTTAATAACAAAGTAGTGCTCTATGGGTTAAAATAGTTTTTTTTCCATGAATCTGTTGAGTTTAATTTTTTTCTGATCAATTTCCGTAAGTTCTTTATGGACTCTGGTATTTTCTGGTAGTATTTATCTTAGCCTGTCCTCATTTATATATTTTAAACATTTTTAATTACCAAATCTTTTGAATATCCTTTTTTTGTGATTTTTTATTACATCAAAACTCATAAATTAATCTTGTATTTAAATTCTAATAATTCCATTTTTTCAGGCATAATTTGATTTATTATTATAATTTTATTTTAATATATAGTGTTTTATTTTCCCAATAACTTACTATTAAATTATTTCATTTATTTGGCATTAGTTCAGGGAGCACTTGAAAATGTTGGAGAAGATAAAATTTCTCTACTTTAAATATAAACACTAATATTACAATGTATCGTATTGATGTCATAAATATGGACTGGAACATTTCTACTTTAAAATTTATTGAGCATTTCTTTATGACCTTGGAAAAAATATAATCGCTTCCCATAAATATTATTTTGCATCTTGCAAAACAGCTAACAATTTTATGCCGCCTCATAGTTTACAAAGCCCTTTTGTATCCCTCATGATCCCCAGACAGCAATTTGAGTGGTTGCTGTTGTCTGAATTTAGACGGCAGTGAGTCACAATCTCATGTGATGATTGTATTTCTGTCTATTTCTCTCATAAGTCTAATAAAATCTTCTTTACATATTTTGTTGCCACATTGCTCAGTGCATGGAAAAAGAAAATTATTGAGCAGCTATTTATACCCGTTATCGTGGGAGTACCTTCACATACAATCCATTTAATTCCATGACCTTGTGGGGTCACTAATGCTATTTCTGCTTTTAGGGATGAAGAAAACAGTGCAGAGAGGTCCTGGTGTCCCCAGACTGGCTGATAGCAGGTCACTGTTTTGTTGTTGTTGTTGTCGTTGTTGTTGTGTTATTATTAATTTTTTTTTTTGAGATGGAGTCTCGCTCTTATTGTCCAGGCTGGAGTGCAATGGCGCAATCTGGGCTCACTGCAACCTCTGCCTCCCGGCTTCACGCAATTCTCCTGCCTCAGCATCCCAAATAGCTGGGACTACAGGTACCCACCACCACGCCTGGCTAATTTTTGTATTTTTAGTAGAGACAGGGTTTCACCATGTTGGCCAGGCTGGTCTCAAACTCAGGTGATCTGCCCACCTTGGCCTCCCAAAGTGCTGGGGTTACAGGTAAGCAGGTCACTGTTAAGAGTTCAAATTCACACCTAATTCTCAACTCCAGGCTCTGTGGCCACCATAGTGCCCTAGTGCACATCTGAAGATGACCTTTCATGATGAATTCTATACAAAATAACAAGGTTTCTCACAGTACTGTACAACTTCTTAATTTCAATTTCATCTTCTATTAATTTTAGATGTCTGCCTCCTTTTTGTTTTCCACTGTTTTTTTCCCATCATCGTTAAGCATTGTGTTGTGGGTTTGTTGGATTTCTTTGTGGTTTTTTTTTTTGGCTTTTAATGTAATCTTATCAAAACATTTTGTTTTTAGTAGTGAGATTGAGACTATGTAGATGAATTGCTAAACACATTCTTTTTGTTTTAATACATCAAAATGTGCATTAGAAAATTTTGTAGATTCTCTACAAAATCTCATTGCAGAGATTTTGGAAAATGCTATAAATCACAATGATCCCTGTAGCCAGAAAGAATCATTCTTAACATTTTTGTTTCACAGAAAATCGATGTACTGAATATAGTTTTATGTCTTTTTTTTTCACTTAACATTGCCTGTTGAGAATTTTTTCATGCCGTTGAAAACATGGATTTTCATACGAGAGATGCATTGTAATTTTTCAATCATCTTCACCCTTTAAACTATCTATGTTGTTTCCAATTTCTGCTTTTATAAATAAAGCTGAAATAAACAGTGTTGAAGTTAAAGCTTTGACTGTATCTCTGGTTGAGTCCCATCGATGGATTCCTGGAAGCAGAATTAGGCAAAGATTGTGAATAATCTCGAGATCCTTGTGGCGTATTACCTCATCACGTTTCATTAAAAATCCCCTAGTTTATAATCTCATTCTCTGTGCATGAGGAAGCACTCTTTCCCCCAATAGTCCCCCACTCCCTACCCACCCGACACACAAGTCTGGAAAAGTCCTGCTAATCCTCTGCTGCCATAGATGAAATGGCACAGACTTGCAAGCCAGGGAGACACAGAATCCAGGCTGCACTCCTGCTCTAGGCCTTAAAATTGGCAAGTCACATAACCTCTAGGCGCCTCAGTGTTTCCCTCGCATGACAGGCACGTTTAACAATCGTGCAACCAATGCTATCCCCCTCCCTGGGGAAGGCCAGATGGTGGGGAGATTTCAGACATGTCTGGTTGCAGTCAGCCCACCCAGATCTCATTAACTCCCTGCAGAATGGGCTCACCCAGGCTCCACAGACACCTAAGAAAACGAGCAGGCTTTTGGGGTCCATGACTCCACTGCAAAATCTGAAAACTGGCCTTTGTAAAACAGAGTTTGTGTTATAAGATAAAAATACTGTTTCTCTCCAAATAGCTGTGAGAGGGTGTGAGACACTACTGTGCTTAGCAAAACAGATACAGTGACCACGGGAATCACAGGAACATTCCGGGGACAGGGGCTGAGTGCACCCAGGCACTGGCTGTGCACCAGCCGCATGAGAAGTACCCTCGGCAGACCTGCCTCTCCACAACCATCCTGCACCAGTTAGTACCACACTGGAGACATAAGGAAAGAGGCCCAGAGAGGCAAGGACCGCTCAGTCAGGATGTGGAGGGCGAGACTGGATCCGAGGCTAGATCTGAGGCGGGCCCGGCAGTGACAACATTGTCATCTCATGGTGACATCCAGACCGAGTTCCACTAAGGAGGGAACAGGGCATACTTTCTCTCCTGACTTTGCTGTTGCCACAGCAGCCACCCCACACTGCCTTGTGTGGCGAGAAGCTGGCTGTGGAAACCTGAAAACCGCTCTCCTGCTCCAGATCAGGGCAGCCCCACCACCCGCTCTGGCTGATTTGAGCAGAGTTGATAAAAAGAGTTCAGTGTAGAAAAGGGAGGCCAGGCAACGCCAGTGCCACCGCCACAGTCAGCACACGCAGGAGATGCAGCCCCCAGCCCGGCTGCCTGCACCCTGTAGAACCTGCTGGGCTGTGCCTCCGATATCAGAGTGCTCTAAAATATGTAGGGGGATACAGAGTCTCCCTGTACTCTCAATTCAGAAATGAGAGAGAGAGAATTGTGAAAGCGAATTGGGTGCATCTCTCTCCTATTGAGCATTCAGTGATGCCATGTTAATAGTTTTGAAATGGCCACGTCAAGAGCATTTACACCGCAGAAATTGGCAACCACTGCACCTCCTCTCCCCCACAGCTGGCTTGTTAAACATTTTCCACGACAGTGGGATGGTCCCTCCTCCAGGCCTGCTGAAATCACCCCGGTGGTCAAGTTCACCTAGACCCCTATCAGCTAATTCCTTCCCCTTCCCCGGCATCTCTTTGAGTTTAGCTTGGTCCTGCCCTTAAGTCCATAAATGACTTGCTTGCCTTCCCCTTAAGAATATAGATCAGTTAGTATTTGATTTATCATCATACCTATCCAGATCAATTTTTAAAAGAGATTCTAGTTTTCTAAATAGCTTCCAATTTGTCCATATACCACAACTACCACATTAGACACAATGAGTAGTGCTGCGGGGGTTAACAATGACAACAGAGATAAAACACTTAATATTTTAGACAGTGTTTTGAAAAACACTTTACAGTGAAAAAGGATGGTATAATAGTTTTTACAGTCCTCACAGCCCAGACAGCAGATCCATAAGTCACAAAATGTAAAAAATAGGAGGAAGAAAATACACAGATCTTTGGGATTAAGGACCATTTTATTGCTCATTAGTGCCAGATTGTGGTTTCTAGTCTGAATTACTTAACATTTAGAGCAGAAAGAAAGGAGGAACAGTTCTAAGTGGGACCATCCAAGAAGAATCTTGGCTGAGGCTCCCGCACCCACCCCAGCCCCCTACAAAATGCTTTCTTTCTTTCTCTGTATACTTGATTGTCCCATGGGAGCTGATTGCATAAGGAAGAATATTTTCCTATAATTGTCAGCAGAACATTTCATAGGTTTTTAATAGACAGTGGCCGGTTCTTTGGGGGTATTTGAGCGTTCTCACGCCTTTGAGAGAGTCCCCACCATGTTTGTCAATGCTCAAGTACAGCTAAAGATTCAGATGGCCAAGGGAAAACAGAAGTCTTCTACCCTGTGAACCACAAAGTCTGTACATTTCACAGTGGTAAAAGCCGATTGGCTACTGAATTTCCCCTTGATTACTACTGAGCACATAATTGCTATACAATTAAAATGTAATTATACTGTCAAAGAATAATTCTACAGTTACTCTAGCATAGTGATTTACAAAACTGAAAACATTTTTAAAAGAATTCTGAAAGTTCCTTTCCACATCGCATTGCTAAATCCTTTACTAATTAGTGCCTTTCTGGGCATCTCTCCAAGAGCCTCTTAGCTGCCACACTTTTAAGGTCAACTGTACAAATATTAGCTTATCATCTACTCAGGGCTTCTGAAAACATGATATTAGTTATCAGGAGTGATCTAATTATTGCTTTGTTTGGAGAATAGATAATAAATTCTTTGTACTTCTGAAACATCGCACATTCCCAGCGCTCTAAACCTTATCATAATTCCCTCGGATAAAGAATTACCAACTCTTGCTTGAGACTCTGAAGAAGGAAAAAATAGAAAGGAAGGAAGGAAAGAACGGAGAGAAAAAGAAAGAGAAAAAGAGAGAAACAGAGAAGAAAAGAGATGAAATGAAAGCAGGCTTTGCCTTCGAGGTTCCGAGGAGGGTTCCAGGGCTCCGGTGTTGTGGGAGCTTCTGTTTCTCCCCCTCTGTTTGTTCCTCTGTTGTTTCCTGGGTTCCCTTTCTCCTACCCTAGTCTTCTGTCTCCTCCTCCCATTCTTTCTTTAAGTTTCTTCCTTCCTCTCATCTTTGCCTCCTATGAACCCTCACGGAGAAAGGTTAGTCCTCCCACCAGGCTCAGCTTCAGGTCTCTGCTACAGACCTGCAATCAGATAATTTTAGAAAACTGAGTGCTGTATGTTTAGTTGTGTGTAATTGAAACTTTGCTTCACTCACAAGATCTGGTTTTGTTTGTTTTCTTGTTTACGCCAGGGGAAGTGCCATCCGACAGCCCATTTTTCTTTCTTAATGATCATTTATAAACGTTAGATATCTGCACTTTTGTGCCACAGGGAAAAGGGAATGATTAGTTTTGTAATTCTTGCTGTGGAAAATTCTTTGCAGAAATGGAATCAGCTAAGCCTGGCCTGTTTGTTGTATTCTCAAATGTTCCTCATCTCCAAAGGGACATTTGAAGTCTTCATAGGCTGGGGGCAGTGGCTCATGCCTGTAATCCCAGCACTTTGGGAGGCAAGGCAGGTGGATCACTTGAGGTCAAGTAGTTCGAGACCAGCCTGGCCAACATGTTGAAACCTTGTCTCTACCAAAAAACACAAAAATTAGCTGGCCGTGGTGGTGGGTCCCTGTAATCCCAGCTACTTGGGAGGCTGAGGCAAGAGAATTGCTTGAACCTGGGAGGCAGAGGTTGCAGTGATCAGAGATGGCACCAGTGCACTCTAGCTTGGGCGACAGAGTGAGGGTCTGTTTCAAAAAAAATAATAATTAAATAAAAATTAAAAATCTTCATAGAATTTGAGGTTGGGGCATGCAAATCATGTGGAACTCATAGTCTTTGTTAAGATTCTTAAATTATGAGCAAGAGAAATGAAGGTTAGGTCGACTAAGGAAAAAGTAGAAGGTTCTTAAGTTATAAGGATTAGAAGTAAATCAAATAGATTAAGGAAAAGGTGGGGTTATATGATATATGGGTTCTGGAGTGTCTCCAGGAGCCAACAACTGGAGTGAGTCGTGTACAGGATGGGGAAGGCTTGGAGGACTTTCCATGGCTCTTCTGCTCATTTGCCTCATTTGCTTCCTCTTTGTAGACAGCCTTCCTTTGCTTCCTTGGGCACCTGGATAGGGCACAGACACTCGCCTTCAGCTCTGCAAGGCACATTGCCAGCTGCCTGCTGGTTGCCCAAATTGAATTTCACTTCATATTCCTGAGGTAAAAACTGGCCTAGGTTGGGTCTAGTGTCCAACCCCAGAGACACCCAGATACTGCCGGGGGGTTGAGTCAGGTACAGCAGAGACCACCTTCATCTGTAGTCAGCCACAGTATCACACTGACAACACCTTGCTAGAGTATGGGAGAGCAGAAACCACCTCACCTCAATCCTCCTTTCCCAACTTCGTGGCCCTTCACACGTCTCTCTCCTCACCTTAGTTTCCTTGAGAACAAACCTGTGCTGTTAATTTCAGAGAGTGATGGAAATTGCATACGTAAATGTAAACACTCTAAAACAAATAGGAAATGACTTTGTTTTACTAATCTGAAAGCACTGATAAACTTCCTGAAGGAATACATTGATTGTCACCTGCAGTTGGCTTGTGGGGATGTCATATTAAATGCAGCCCAGAACCAGTGGGATCTGCTGGTTGTCCCCAGTGAAGACTCAGGACCAGAAATGCCTACGGGGTCTTCTAGCACACCCTACAAATAAAAATCCTAAAAATAATGTACAGTGCTTTCCATTTCAAATAGGCTACAACGAGAATGTTAACACTGGGTGGTAACTGAGGTAGTCAAACTGGACTTCTCATGGCGAGAAAAGGGAGCTCCATATTGACCAGCACCACTGTGACTCTTTTAGTGACTCTTTAGAACCTTGTAAAAAATTATCTGCACCGTATAAAAAAGAAGAGGTTGTAAATAGAAGTATTCCATATTTTTAAATTTTTATTTATTTATTTATTTATTCATTTATTTATTTATTTATTTATTTATTTTGAGCACAGGGTCTCACTCTGTTGCCCAGGCTGGAGTGCAGTGGTGCAATCACAGCTCACTGCAGCCTTGACCTCCCTTGGCTCAGGTGATCCTCCCACCTCAGCCTCCTGAATAGCTGGGGCTACAGGCACACACCCTCACGCCTGGCTAATTTTTGTATTTTTTGTGGAGATGAGGTTTCACTACGTTTCCCAAGCTGGTCTCAAACTCCTGGGCTCAAGCAAACCACCCGCTTCAGCCTCCCAAAGTGCTGGGATTAAAGGCATGAACCACTGTGCCTGGCCTCATATTTTTTAAAGATGCAAAAATAATAATATCATTTATAATCATCACAATTCTCATTGCTTATATTATATGGCAAGCACTATGCTACATGCTTTATGGATGTTATCTTGAAATGAATTCTGTGACATAGGGTTGCCACCTTTCTTTTGCAGTGGGGGATCCTAAAGCTCAAGAAAGCTGCATGACTCTAGAAGAGCTCACGTGAGTCCTGGGTAGCCAGGACCAGCAGGTGAAACTCCCACTCAGGGACACACTGTGGGACAGAATGCAACAGCTGCCTAAAGACCAATGCTCAGCGATTTGTGCTTTTAAGTATATTTTCTTAAGATGACCCTACATGTAAGAGGAAAGAGAGAGCTAAGCATTTTAAAACAAACAAAAAAACAAAAAATTTGGACCTTGGAAGGCAGTATTTCAGCTCATATAGTGGGAGCTGAAAATATCTTTGATTTTTCAGCTGAGTTTGCAAGAAGAAAACAGAAAAAGACAGCAGAGGTCAGTGTAGATTTTGGAGGGAGGGCTTTGCCAGTGCTGAAAACAGTGATTTTCACTGAGTTGGGACAGAAGGTTCTTCCCAGCATGCTCTTCACAAAAGCAGTGAGAAGCGAGGAGGCTTCACTGAGATCTGTCAACCAGGAGACAGGAAAGCCCAGGGATGAGAAGGTTAGAGTCTTTCCAGCCATGGCTGAAGGACTTGTGGGTTGGGGTAGGAGCCCAAGGGGTTGGAGGCACCATCCACCACAGCTCCTGAGGACAGAGCTGCTCAAAGTTAACAGAAGAAGGCTGAGAGCAGCTTGAAGGTGCCTGGTTTGGCCAATCAGATTGGCCTGAGATTCATTTTGGGAAGAGCTTTAGCTGACCAAGGACAAGGTGCCCTTGACATGGCCAGCCTGGGCAATATGGTGAAACCTGTTTCTACAACAAATACAAAAATTAGCTGGGCGTGGTGGTGTGTGCCTGTAGTCCCAGCTACTCGGGAGGCTGAGGTGAGAGGATCACCTGAGGCCTGGGAGGTTGAGGTTGCAGTGAGCCGCAACTGCACCACTGCACTCCAGCCTGGGCCACAGAAGGAGAACCTGTCACTTTGTCTGTTCCTGACAGAGTTCCTAAAAGCCTTGTCGATGGGGGCACCAGGAGAATCTTTTGTTCTAATGTTTGGCTTTGACCCTGGTTCCTAACACAGAGCTTCTAATCCCTTGGAATTTCCTGAGTGACAGAGCATCTTTTGTCCTAATGAAGTGTCCCTGATGGGCTCCTGGACAGCGTCAGGATGGGGGCGCTGCCTGCAAGGGGAACCACCATGCAATTAGAGGATTGGGACTTTCGAATCTGTGCCCTTACCCCCTGGCGTCTGGGGAGAGGTGAGGGACTGGGGTTGAGTTGATCACCAATGGCTGATGATTTAATACATCATGACTACGTAACAAAGTCTCCATATAGCCCCCAAAACTGGGTTCAGAGAGCTTCTGTATAGCTGAATGTGGGAAGGCGCCTGGAGGGGAGCACTTTGGAAAATCCCTGACCTCTCTCACACGCCACCATACGCACCTCTTCCGTCCGACTGTTCATCTGCGTTCTTTGTAATATCCTTTATGCTAAATGCATAACATACGCAAGGTGTTTCCCTGAGATCTGTGGAGCACTCTAGCAGATTAATTGAACCTGAGGAGGGTGTCATGGAAACCCCCAGTTTATAGCTGGTCAGTCAGAAGCACAGGTGACAACCTACTACCTGTGGTTGGCGTCTGAAGTGGTGGGCAGTCTTGTGAGACTGAGCCCTCCACCTGTGGGACCTGATGCTGTCTCTAGGTAGATCATGCCAGAACTGAATTGGATTAGAGGACACCCAGCTGGTATCTGCTGAAGAATGGGTTGCTGATGGGGACAAATCCCCACAGTGCATTTTGGTGACCAGAGGGGAAGTATTCTGTGTTGTCTAAGAATAGGAAAACGTTTGTGTTTTCATCAGACCTGCCTTGAATTCTTGTCTCACCTCTCCCTCTTCTCCCCTGCTTTTCACCTGGCTAATCCCTTTCGGTCCTTAAAATCTTGGGTTATTTTCTCCAGGAAGCGTTTGCGGCCCCCTGGGCCAGCCTCTGCACACCCACTTGCACACTTCCTGCTATCACTTTTGTCACATTACATTGGCATCGCATTTATGGGCTGTTCTTGGCCTTGGAGCATGTGCTTCTCAGGGGAATGTGTCTCACTTCTTACTGCATCTCTAGCAACTAGGAGAGTACCTGGTGCAAAGTAGTTGTTCAGTGAGTTTGCTGAACTGTACCAAATAGCCTTGGTGGCAGGAATGGAAGCATTGCTAGGAGTAGCTGTCGTGACACACATTGGGAAGAAGCCTCCGTGAAAAGGATGCACTCCTGAGCTGTGGAATAATTCAAATCTGCCTGATCCAAGGGTGACCTGGGCAGAGGAATCCAGGCGCGGCTGCCCACCAGCTCACACAGCACCACCTTGCCGCAATGGCAAAGACGCGGTTTCAAAGTCCTGCAGCTTGCCAGCCTTGAAATTAGGTGACTCTTGATGTTTGGGCTTTAAGGCATTGTATTATTCAAAATATTTGCATATAGTTAAGTTGTATTAATTTAAAAATAATATATAATTTCAAATTTGCATAATTTGAATTCACAAACAGTATTTATCATTGAATCGTAAGCAACACACAGAGGTGGTCTGATCACCCCTGAAACTAGAGCTGAAGGGAGCTGGGCCAGCAGAGGACCAGGAAGGTAGAAGCAGTTGGAGCACCCGACACAGCTGGGCTGAATCAGCAGGCCATGTGTCCCCAGTGAGGGGGTGAGCACCGCACTGACAATGTTGACAGCAGCTGATTTCTTTGATTTGTCTAGGCACAGTAAGGCCCTGAATGTGTTATCCAGTTTAATCTTCACAGTGCCATGCAGGATGGGTTCTGTTACCGATGAGGAAACTGGGATACAGAGGGAAGTGGAGGCGTCTTGATCAAGATCGCTGTGAGGATAGTCAGTGTCTCAAGCCAGCGCTCTGACTATAGATTCGCATGCTTTCCTCCTCCATCTCTGCCCTGGCCCCCGTACTCCTCTCTAACTCGTGAACTGATGTTGTTACCTCTTAAGAAAATCTTACACAGAGTCGGCTGAATTCAACAAACCCTTCTCGGGCACCCACCATATTAGGGAGCAGTTCCTCCCTGCACTCAAGGCATTCACTGTACAGAAATTTGAGTTGCCCAAAGTTGACCTTGCTGGACTGTGGCCGCTTTCGAGAGTCTCTAAAGCCCAGAGTGAAACAAACAAAAAGTAAACGAGAGCTTCAGTGGTCTAGAAATTGCGCATGGTGAACAGTCCAAATCAACCTACAGCTGGAGCCTGGACAGGGATGGCCACAGACACGGCACTGGAACAAAGACCATCCATGGCCTAGGCATGCTGCTGTGTTAGACGATTCTGCCACCCTGTAATTATACTAGCTTATTGGCAGTGGCTTTTATGACCGGGCTAGGCAGTTTGCTCCCTGTCCACAAATGTCTACTCACCAAAGAAATGTGGTGGTTCTAAAAGAGAGATGTTGGTTTTGTGCTGTGGCAGTGAAACAAGACACTGTGGTGTTTTAGCTTTTCCTGGTTCCTCTCTGAAACAGTTCAGCAGGCTGGCATCAGCTAAAGACTGTTAATAACATGATATGCGTATCTGGTCAACCTCATTCTCTGGAGGGAAATTTGCAGTGAAGGTTCTGTGATTATGATCAGAGCTCCCCAGTGTTCATGGCAAATACCAAATGGAAGGCAGACTTGCCGCAGGACCGTCTCGTCTCCATCCACAGAACTCAGTGTTCTCTGGTTTCTCGAATGCAAACCAAACCAAATAAAATAATAGATTTTCCCTTAAGATTGAACATAGATAGGTATTCTTGAAAACCGAAACTCCATGAATTTAAGGAGGCAGGACCTTAAACTAAGTTGGTCCTAGATTAGGATAAGGGTTGTTATGGGTTTGGGGGACAGTAGATTTCTCCGAGGTCAGTGAAAGTTGGTCACACTGTATGGAGCCACAGACATCCTGAAAAACGTGTGCAGCAAGATCTTGGAGGACTGAAGATGACAAGTGAATGGAACTTCAGAACATAATCCTGGTTTTTAGGTCCATTTACATCCACTTAACTTCGAGTTCTGTTCTTATCAAGTGTAAATAGAAGAACAATAGCAATCGACTTTGCAATGTCTTTATATTGAGATGATTGGGAAGAAAATCAGCCAAGTCCATATGTGCACAGGGATGGAATATAGAATGTTTTAAAAATATCATCAATACGACAAAAGATTAATATTTCTATACACAGCTCTTAAATAAGAAAGAAAACCAAGAGAAAAATGGGCAATGCATATGAACAAGCAATTAATGGAAGAAACACAAATGGCTATTAAATTTAGGAAAATGTTTAAACTTACTATCAATGAAAGAAATGCAATTAAAGTGGGGAAATATTTTTTCTGCCAAATTGGAAACATGAAATTGAGGCTATCTGGTGTAGTCAGGGTAGGCGGATATAGATACAGCTGCACACTAAATTTGTAGATTGAGATAAGTGTCTCAAAGATCCTTTTAAAATTATATACCAACACTTTGACTTTCTCATCCTTTGATAGGAGAATTCCACTTCCAGGAATTTGTGGCTGTGGAATGGTAGCTCAAGGGCATGAAAGTGTATATATAAAGATACTTTAAAAAAGGTTTTGCTGGAAAAGTGACATCAAAAGGGAAAAAAATCCCTTTAATTACCTCTCCAAATTGAAACGTGTTTAAATTTCTTTCCTACTGTGCTGGACAAAACTTTATGTAGCAAGGCAAAATGTTAATTTTGCAGTTTGACTTGACCTCTTTAGAAACTATTCCAACTGCGGTTGAGTTTTAAATCTTTACAGTAAACTTTTTTTTTGAAGAAAAAGGGCAAATCTTGCCAAGAGTAGAAACTCATGTCTGGGTACCAATTAGACTGTGCTTATGTTGTTATGGTGACCCTGTCATTTAAAAAATTGTAAACTAATATCTTGGAATAGTTAATGAGCTCCATAAAATGACTGGATTACATTCAGGGAAAAGACACTGGCTGAGTTTCTGAGTCATCAGTGAAATTACTGAGCAAATTGATATCTGGGCACCATGTGTGGTTTGGTCAAATTTGATGGTTAAAGAGATTACATTAGAGTCAGGGGTTGTGCCCTGGCCTGGTCTAGAAATAAGGAAAAGCAAATGCAGCTCTTTAGCCCTTATTTTTACACTCCATAGAAATGCTATGCCATAAGTTAAGTCATAAAACTTTTGATGCACAAACAACATAGCATCAAAATATGTGTAATTGCAAATTGTTAGAATTGCGAGGAGAAATTATCAAGACACAGTAACAATGCAAGACATGAATGCACCAATTCAGAATTTGCCAGAAGCAAGAAATAAAGAAAAAAGGATATGAACATTGCAATTAACATGTTTATTTTAATAGATACAATGAATTTTGTACCCTTCTAATAGACACTAATAGAGGCTTTTCCCCCCCAAATAACCAGGGAATATTTATAAAATTTGGCTATATGTAGGCTAAAGGAAAACTTGATTACTTACCTCAAAGTAGAAATTACACATCTCATTATTTAACCATTTGTATTAAATCTAAAAATAGGCTGCAAACAAATAATGAAATATAAATTATAAGTATCCTGGGACATTTTCAAAGCACTCTTTCAAAAGTTTTGAGTCAAAAAATAAATCAATTTATTGTTAAAGTAAATTTACAGATGGGTTAGAAATTAATAATAATGAGAAAAATACAAATCAAACATACAAATCAAAACTACAAATAGTGTTGTCAATTCAAAGCTTTAAAAACCTTTACTATTAAAGAAGAAATATTTTTAAGAATTAACAAGAAATATTCAACTCAAAAAGTTACATAAAAACAAAAATAAGCAAAAGCAGGTATTAATCATGATAGAAGAACACAATAAGTTAGAAACAAAATGCATAGAAATAATAAATAGAGTGAAGATCCAGCTCTTTGAAAAGATTAACAAAATAGAGTTGTTTTGGGGAAATGTGATCAAGGGAAAAAAAGAAAGAAATTAAAACATATAACATTTGGAATTAGAGAGTATCACCACAGATAGACAGCAAACTAAAACTTTTCAAATAAAGAACTTTTTTTTTTTTTTGAGACAAGGTCTCACTCACTCCCATCACCCAGGCTGGAGTGCAGTGGCATGATCACAGCTCACTGCAGCTTCAACTTCCTAGGCTGAGGTGATTCTCCCACCTCAGTCTCCCGAGTAGCTGGGATTACAGGCAAGAGCCACTAAGCCCAGCTAATTTTTGTGTTTTTCGTAGATATGGGGTTTTGCCATGTTGCCTAGGGTGGTCTCGAACTCCTGGGCTCAAATGATAAGTGATCCTCCCACCCTGGCCTCCCAAAGTGCTGGGATTACAGGTGTGAGCCACTATGCTTGGCCAAGAATAAGTTTTTCATAGTGGTAGTATTCTTTTTTTTTGTAGCTCATATTTTATTTTTATTTTTTATTTTTTATTATACGTTAAGTTCTAGGGTACATGTGCACAACGTGCAGGTTTGTTGCATAGGTATACATGTGCCATGTGGGTTTGCTGCATGATAGTGGTAGTATTCTTAATAGCAAAAAAACAAAAAAACCCAAGTACATATTCATCGATAGATAAACCAAATGTATTACATCCAATCTGTGGAACAGATGGTGCTGTGAAAAAGTATCAGATAGACCTTTATGTACTAATATGGAAAAATTAGAATTACATATATAGAATGCTTTAACTTGTGGGCAAAAGGATGGGTATGTTGTTCATCTTTGCTTCCATGTACATTTAAAAGCTCTAGAAGAATGCATCAAAAATGTTTGACAGCACTGGATAGATGCTTGGGTATAGTGTACGGCAGGAACTAATTAGAGGGAATCAGAGAAAAGGGAGAGATTTTTTTTCTGTATATATACCTTTATACTTTTGCCCTTCAAAAGTTGTGAATGTATGACCTATTCAGTAAGTTAAATAAATAAAATACAAGTATTGTGAATAGAATGTAAGCAGATTATGGCCAGGCACGGTGGCTCACACCTGTAATCCCAGCACTTTGGGAGGCTGAGGCAGGTGGATCGCCTGAGGTCAGGAGTTCGAGACCAGCCTGGCCAACATGGTGAGACCCCACCCCCCCGACCGTCTCTACTACAAATACAAAAATTAGCCAGGCGTGGTGGTGGGTGCTTGTAATCCCAGGTACTCGGGAGGCTGAGGCAGAAGAATCTCTTGAACCCAGGAGGCGGAAGTTGCAGTGAGCTGAAATCGCACCACTGCACTCCAGCCTGTGCGACAGAGTGAGATTGTCTCAAAACAAAACAAAACAAAACAAACAAACAATTAAAGCAAATGAGGAATCTGGATGTGGTTGATGTCTTTTCATACAGGCTGCTGAAAGGGGTGAAAGGAGTGGTGTCAAAGCTTAGCATGCCTGTCATCTCAGCATCCTCCAGTTACACCTTTCTAACCCAATGCATCTGTGTGGAGACAGCACCATGCAAGTTTGTCCTTGGAAGCTTTTTCAAAGCCATCCTTTCTTCTTTAGCTGACCCTGCCCCTGCTCTGGGCTGGGCTGTGACAGCCCTCTGACCAGGTCTCCTGCCTTGGTGGCTTGGCCCTGGTCTGCCTCTCCGGGCACCTGCATCCTGTTAAAACCACCAGCTCTGCATGTGGAGGGCTGGGGTTGTACTGCTCCTGCTGCATGCCTGTGGTTCTGAGTTAACGTTACCTTTCCGAGCCATGTCCCTCACCTGGAAAACGGGAATCATTCTAACAGCACTTCCCTTACCGGGCTCCCCTGAGGGTTGAGTGAAATAATGAAGGGAACGTGCTCAGCAGGAGACATACCATGCCCTCTATAAGCTTTCACTCCTGTCACTGCTGGATCTCACTGTGGCCAGCATAGAGATGTTGCTCAGCGCTGCCTTCAACAGGAGGTGGTCGTCTGGATCCTCCACCTGTCGGCTCCTTCAGAGCCCACCCTTGGCTTTTGAATCCAGGTCCTACTCTTCTCAGGGAGGTCCCAGACTGTGTAGGGTGGGACTAGGGTGGGGGGTTATGGTAAAAGGGCCTAGCCCTGTCTACCAGTGTAGGCCTCCATCAATGGGAAGCACTTCGTGGGGGCAGGGGAGCTCTGTGTCATCTCTTTTTCCTTCTCAGATGTCATCACCGACATGTTCCTGGGTCTAAGTCTGTTTCCTGAAGAACCCAGCAGGCCAGCTTGTCAGTTCACCTTACCTGACCCCGTCCACCTGAGGGCTAAAGCCTTGACCTCTGTGTTATGGCCACGGCCTTAAAGACCATCCTCTCATTTCTTCACCCTGTAAGTTTTGCTCATCCTTCAAGAATAACCTGTTCACTTGCTAGTCTTCCCCAAGACCCTGAAGTTATGTGCCCCTCCAAGCCCCAGGTCACTCTGCTCACTCCCAGGGTTGTCTGGGCGACAGGCAAAGCTGGCACCACCATAGGCAATGGGGCACCCAACACACTCCTCAAATCTATGGTGTCAAATCTACGGCAATAATTTGGCTTAATTTTCCCTATGCACTCTACATTCTCACTAAATATTATGGAATTGTTGAACTTAAATTAGGAGTTTTGTGAGAAAGATTTTCTCCCCTTCTTTTAATAGAATTATCCATTTAAGAGAATCGTACATTGAACAGATTCAATACATTCTCCCCAAGTGATTCTAATAAATGGAACCACCCAGGCTCTTTAAACGTTCAATTATGTTGGGGGTTGAAGGGGCATGTGTTTTGACTTTTAAAAAAATCTGAAATGAATCAGAATTCCTCCATACGAATCCTGGTAAATGTGTTCACAGAGTCACCATTCACAGCTCCAAGGGAAGCTTGGGAATCATAACCTTACATCAGTGTCCAGGCTGTCATTTCCAGGCTAATTAGCTGCCAGATGACTGAGAGGACACGTGGATGAACACAGGGCAAAGGGGACCCCGTGGGAGAAGCCAGTCAATGGACTCTGAGCTCAGGGACCAATCTGGACTCTGGGTCGTGGCCTCAGCTTAATGAGGTATGCAACGTGCCTCTGATTGAATCTCCTTGCACATACTCTGAACTCAGGAGAATCAGAAAGGTGTGAGTCAGTGGGGCCAACACTCAGCTCCTCCCCAGCCTGGCTCTGAGACCCTCTGTGAACCCTGGTGTCCTTGCCTGGGACAAACAGATTGGCCGATCTCCACTTTATTGGGCCCTTCCGAAAAGTAAATGAGACAATGGCAAGGAGTATTTAGTGGAGGCTGAATTTGAAGCACAGGACTGGGGGATTGGATGAATTTTAAATGAGGTCTAGTCGGATCTCCTGAGACTGTAAGTGAGGGAGCTGGAGCACAGACAGGGGAAGAGACTTCCTCGCTGTTCCTGGAAGAGTGAGTCTCAGGACCCAAGTTTCCATGCAACCCATCCTGATCACGTCAGCTCCGCCTCGCTGATGAAACTTCTAGCGATGAGATTAAAACCCAACATGTGTTGACTTTCTCCCGTGCCAAGTCCTTTTCACTCATTATCTTCATTCCACAAACAACCCTATGAAGCTGGTGCTATTACTTCCCTTTTTTGATGAGGAAACCTCGGTTCAGAGTTTGGAAACTTGCTCAAGATTATGTAGCTAACTGCTGGCGGTAGAGGACTGGAACGCCATTGGCATCCACAATGCTGCTGGCATCTGTTACCCAATCAGGCCTCCCCCTGGAAGAATCCATACTGCCTCCCAATCCTCAGTAGTAATGGGAGTTTTATTTCATTCTCCAAACAGATATCACTTGTTGTAATAGAGTTCATGCATATAGAGGAAAACATGTGTTTAAATAATGCATTTTAAAATGAATGTTATTAAATGTTTCTTTTTCAAGAACATTTTTATTTTATGTTGATAGTTTTCCCAGCTTTGGGGCCCATGACAGAAAAGTAAAGAAGATACGTGCGCATGCGCGCGCACGCGCGCACGCACACACACGCACGCGCGCGCACACACACACACACACACAATTTCTCCTTGTTACTTTCCCCTTTTAAAAAAATCTAACTTGTTCCTTCCTCAAAATATTTATATTTTAATTAAAGTGGCCTAAGGCAAAACTAATTTTCCTGAGAGATTACTCTTCACTGATCTCCAATTACAGGCAGTTGCTATAGTTACACCTGAATTAAGCAAGATACATGATATAATAACTTCACAATGTAGAACTTCTCCCAGAAATGTGTTGCACACTTCCACCATCTATTGGGTAAGTAGAAAGGCTTTTCAGGGCTCCCTCTTCCAAATTAGCTTTAAGAAAGATTTAATGGGAGGGAAAGGAAGGGAGGGGTCAAAGGGAAGATCAGAAGGTTTTTACAGTGGTGGTGTGCTTCTGTGCCCTCACTGTGTGTTTTGTGAAGACATTGAATAAAGCAGTGACTCTTTAACAAAATCTATGAATTAGGCCCTTTAGTTGGTGTCAACCTAAATTTCTGCCAGGGCTGAAGTGGTGGGGGATGGTTCCTACTAGGTAGAACTTGAAAGCTCTGTGAGAGACATGTGTATAGTATATATTTTTTTAATAGTTTCAAGCGAGGACAAGACCAAGAATGATTTTTATTTTCATAAAGAAAACTGTTAGAAGAATGACAACAACAAAATTGCATGTGGCAATGACTTGTATTTTTTTTTTAATAATTCCCCAATGACCTTATTTAGTATGGAGAATGTTGAAAACCAAACATCAACTTTTGGAAGGTAAACTTCAAAAAGGCTTTCTTGGGTATTGAAAAATGTTGACTACAAGACAGAATCAAAGATATGGCTATTTTTCTTCTTCTTTTTAACTTAGATCAGAATTGTATTATTAAATAGCCAACAATAGACACATTTGGAGCATATATGTTTTTAATTCCAATTCTATGTGTGTCTTGGGAAATCCTTAGGGGGTTTTTGCTAAAATCATACAGATCATGAGTCTGGATCTTGTACTACTCCCTCCCCCATAGCTCTTCCTTCACACACAGAAAATGCAGGGGGAGGGGGAGAAGAAGGACCTAGCGTGGGATGAGCCCTGCTGTGGCTCAGCTTCCTGTTGGGTCATCTTCAGAAGACCCTGCAAGGCAGGCGTCATGGATCAGGAAGTCAGGCCTCATAGAGGCAAGCAATTTGTCCGGAGCCTCAGTGTCAGGATTCAACCCTAGACAATGCCCAGCCTCTCCACTGAGCCTCTGACTCCCCAGTGGATGCCTTTCCCCTTACTGAGCAGAGAGTGAAGATGACTTTGAGTTCACCTCAAGGTGCCACATTCTTATTCTATTGTCACAGTGATGCAAACAACACAAACATCTCAGGAGAAAAAAGAACAGTCCAGGAACCTCGCCACAGGGTTAGGCTGATCAACCAGACTTTTAAGTTTTGGCTTTCTTTATTTTTGCAGCATTTTTCCTATGTGTGGACCCAATTTCTTCATTATTATGTGATATGCAGATTTTATCTTTCCTTTGCAGGATTAAAATATTAGTTTCATTATTATTACTAGCTACAGATCATTTTGAGATGTATTCAAACTCTTCTGTCCCTTCCTCACTAAAGTGTTATTTTAGAGAAATCCCTGGTTACACCTGCCTCCCACTCCACAGTGGGAGTTCTGTCAATATTAATTGATAATCGATGATGAGGAGTCTGGACTCCCTCCTTCAACCCTGGAGTATGTGTTTTTGATGACCTGCTGCCTAGGTGAACAATGACTAATCTTACTAACAGAGCATAAATCTCATTTTCCAATTTGCCACATCTCTCCAACCAAACTCAACCCTTTGAGGAGCAAAGATGCACCTGTGTCCTTGAACTATCAACCCAGTTACAGGATTATGCTTCCCAGAGTCCCTAAAGCCCTTGCCCAGTCAGCTGCCTCACAGGTGAGCTCATCAGGATGAAACTCTCCCCGTGGTCCTTGACCTCCCTGCTACCCCAGGGTGAACTTGACTGGGCTGAGAAAGAATATTATCCTCATGCTTCATGGGTCCTACCTCATGGCTGGGGACTAAGCAGGACCAAGCACCAGTTTAGAGACAAGTTCCTCTTGGGCAATTTTTACATTTGCAAACCAAAGAAGTGGAGCTCTAAAGCAGGGTTGGGGTGGCTTTCATTTCTCTCCTTTTCCATTGGCGGCCAATGGCATTTCCAACAAAAGTACGTCACCTTGGCCTGCTCATCTGCCTGTTTCTCTTCTTGCCTCTTTGTCCACTCAAAGTCCCTGATACCCAGCCTCCTGGCCTGCCTTCTCACACCCTGAATAATCTGTTCATCTTCTGCCCACTTACCTCTGAGCACAGACCCAGTGAAAACTCCTTTAATTCGGATTTATGCAGCAAGTAATGGATGCACCTCACAATAGCAGCCGGGGGAAACAGCAGCACTCCTCCCAGCCTCCATGGGGGATGTGCAACCTCCCCTGGACAGCCTCTCTGCTGATAGCTCCATGACGAAAGTATTGAGTAAGGAACATAGCCTTTCCTGTGTGCCAGGCGAAGTTTCAGGGGCTTCAGCTCTACTGTGTAACAGACTCCTGACAGCTCCTGCTATACTCAACAGTGTTCGAGATTTCTAAGTAGGACTGTCCTGGACAACCCCAAACACGTGCTCACTCTACCTCTAGTCATGATTCCTGCTGAAGTCTTGAGAAAACTGAGCAGAGAGAAGCTACATGCATTTTCCAAGGTCACTCACCTAGTGAGAGGAGGAGGTAGCCTTGAACCTGGGTGGTTTGGCATCAGCATGGGTGTTCTATGCTGTAGCACAGGGGTCCTCAACCCCCAGGCCACAGACCGGTACCACACAGCAGGAGGTGAGCTGTGGGCAAGTGAGTGAAGCTTCATCTGTATTTACAGCCACTCCCCATCTCTCGAATTACTGCTTGAGCTCTGCCTCCTATCAGATCAGCGGCAGATGGCATTAGATTCTTATAGAAGTGCCAACACTACTGTCAACTATGCATACAAGGGATCTAGGTTGCATGCTCTTTATAATAATCTAATGCCTGATGATCCATCACGGTCTCCCATCACCCCTAGATGGGACTGTCTAGTGGCAGGAAAACAAGCTCAGGGCTCCCACTGATTCTACATTATGGTGAGTTGTATAATTATTTCATTTGTAAATTGCAATGTAATAATAATAGAAATAAAGTGCACAATAAATGTAATGGGCTTGAATCATCCCCAAACCACAAAACTATCCCCCCTCCAACCTCCCTGGTCTGTGGAAAAATTGTCTTCCATGAAATCAGTCCCAGTGTCAAAAAGGCTGGGGACCGCTGCTATTAGCACCTTCTACTGCCTACTCTGCATTCCTGTTTCAGTGCCAGAAAAACAGGATCAGAAGCCTGGTGCCCTGCTTCTGAAAGGGCTGTGTTAAAATCAGGACTGGGCAAATGAGCAGGAATTAGAGGGACCCCCACCTGGAGCTCCTTGGAACCAGCTCAATGCAGACCAGAGAAGTGGCCATGTATCTTGAGAGTCATCCTTGCCTCCTTGCCCCAACCTCCCAGGACCAGCTCCTGACAACTGGACTGTTCTGCTCAAGAGCACCTGCCTCAGAAGGCAAAGGCATTCACCAGACAACTCAATGCTCCCTGCAAGGAGGGTCTGCCATTTAACAGAGGCCAGGGAAGGAGTGGCCCATTGCAAGGATGCAATGCTTGTTGAAATGTCATGGGACTTTGGGAAAGCAATTGTATCTAAGGCCTTGTCTCAAGTCATGAGGTCACTTATGGCCTCAGAGATGAGACAGGAAGGGAAAGGGCTTCGGCAGGTGGCCTCGGGCTTGTGTTACAAGCAGCCGATAGCCCCAGAGGTGCCATAGTGGGGCCTACCCATGCCAAGGGGCGTGATAAAGGGAGGGTTGGTGCTGAATTTGTGTCAGATCATTGTGTAAGGGGCAGCTATCACCTGAACCAAGGCGGGGAACTCCTCAATATGGGAATTTTGGATATTAACCAACAGGGAGACTGTAGGGCCACAAGAGAGCCAATGTCACCAAACAGACCTCCTAAAGCAGCTGTTCAGGGTGGACACACAGTCGCCCCGGCCCACGTTTCATTGGTCACAGTAAGTCATGTGGCCAAGCCCAGTTCAGTGGGGAGGGAGGCACTCCTTGCCCAAAGGAAGCCATACAGGATGGGAGGGACAGAAGAGCTGTGAACCAACACTACAATCGACTCCTCTCTAACCTTTGAGGGACATCTGCCTGCTACCCTCAAGCACAATTTGTGGGTCCAGCCCAGCCTAAAACCTCCAGGAGGAGCAAATGAAGAAGGGACGGTTCTTACCAATGGAATTGTCTGTCCCATGTGTGCTGGGCAAGGCATGGAGCAGGCTCGGGGACAGAGGGTCAGATGAGGTGGACAGTGAGATAGGCCCTGGTTTTGCAAGGCTGGTGAAGTGGGATCAGGGACACGTACAAAGTCCCCTCCATGACATCAGGGGGTTCAGCTTCTCCTGCTATAGGCCACTGAGACAATGAACTTCAGAGCACCTGCATGTAAGGAAATTAAATGATTTGTGAGATTGTTTCTAGAATGAAGAAGAGCTATGAGTACTACAGGTTAAATGAAAGAGCAAAATAATGAGGAAACCAGAAATTGTTAATAAGCAGCCAATAGTATTTCATTTAATATTCAGAACAATGTGGAAGGTAGGTACTACTATTCCTATTGTTCAGAAAAGGGAGCCAGGATTTGGAGAAAACTTATGACTTGCTCAAAAAAAGCTTATTCTTTGTCCCATTAGATGTACTAAAATTAGGCAGAGGTGGAGAAAATGATGGAGAGGAAGGCTTACTTTTGTGGATAAAAATATTGCCAGGGGTAAATAGTTCCTGTGTTCTGCAGATATGATGGCATCGTACCTGCTAGATGACAATTGGAAGCACATATGGGAACCAGAATCACCAGGAATGCACTCCCAGAAAGAATCTGAAGGACATGTCCGAGACCAAAATGGGGTTTGGGGCAGAGCCTAGAATGAGTCTTGAGCTCTCAACCCCTAGTCTGGGAATTGGTCTTCTTTGGTGCCTTCACTGTAGTTGGTTTCAGCTGTTAGTTCTCAACTAGGGGCATATCTCATGCTTCTGAAAAGCTGGAAGTCCCAGCTAGCGCTCTCCTCCGTAGCAAGGCTGTTTTGATAGCAGTGGTATCTTCAAAGGACCTTGGTGGGTTGGGGGTTACAGGAGATAATTCCTTTCTACTTGCACGGTCACTGTCAGTCCTTAATCTGGATATTTTCAGATGTATAGTCACTTTTCTCTGCAGACAGGCTTCTGTGATCACCAGGGGAAAATACAAATCCATTACTATAATTTGCATAATCTGCCCTTTGATCTGCTGAATTGTTTTCTCCTTAGAAAAATGCTACTCTGCCTAATTTTTTATTCTTAACCTTTTCCGCAGTGAAAATGTTTTCCAGGCTTCAGAAATTTCTTAAGCGGATATGACATAAATTTAAAAAGAGATCCTTTAACATCACCAGCTTAAGTGCCAGAATGGCCATGTGGCTGGGCTCTTCCTGGGACTTCCTGGCAGCTGTAACAGAAAAGGCTTGATAGAGCACTTAGTAAATGAAGCTGGTAAATCAAATATTCATTCTAAGAACTGTCCCTAAGTACTTAGTACCAATTTTACTACTATTCTGCAATAGACTCAGCACACAGAGAGATGGGGACTGGAGATTAGCTGGAATTGGGGGGCAGGGACCATCCCTCCATTTACTTTCTTTTTTAGTCCTAGACCATCACAGCACAGAGCCCAAAGTACTCAAATAGGCAAGTGATAACACATTTTAAAAGTGACCTTTTCAAACCGACTTTACAAAAGTCACTTTTGAAGCCCTTAGTGACATTTGAAATGGGTACTGGATGATTTCAAAGAATTGTTAATTATGTTAGGTGTTAATAGCATCATAATTATATAAGAAAATCCGAATTTTTCAAAACAGGAAAGCAAACTGAAGAAGGTCAGAATGAAATGATCTGGCATCTAGAATTTGCTTTACAATATTTCAGAAAGAAGGAAGGACAGGAGGAAGGAAAGAGGGAAGGAAGGAAAGGAGAAAGGGGGAGGGAAGGAAGGAAGACAAGAAAACGAATAAATGAATTATGGCTATTTCCTGATAATATTTGAGATCTGGGTGATGGGTATATGGGGCCATTGTAGAGATACCTTTGTGGTGTTTGGTAATTTTCATAATAAAACAAGCAGGCCTTCGATATGCATAAGCTACAACAATAAAATAAAACATCTATGTTTCAAGAATGAGGCAAGCAGAGAACAACAAGGAGCAAGGACCTAGAAGTATTTGAAACATAAAAGGATCATTGTTATAAAAACTAAGAGGAAAATCTTCACCCGAAATGAATGTCTTTCATGGAACAAAGGAAAATCTTATAAAGGGATGGTTTTCTATTCTTAAAGATATAAAAAAAAAAGTATGTCATTTTTTAAACAGAAATATGATGGTAGAAGGGGAGAATAAAATGTTTATTAAACCAAATGGCATCATTGTTGGAAGAAATTAAAATAAAAAAGGCCCTTCAGCAAGTTAAGCAAATGATATACAAAATAAAAATGGAGAAAAATACTCAAAAAGTTGAAATTTATTAAGAAATAAGGAGAATGTGAATAAAGATAACATTTTTGCATATCAGAATTGATACTAGCCAATGTTGGCCACCAGAGTGCAAGAAATAAATGCTCTAGTTTGGGGCCTACAAATTGTTATAGTATTTTTGAGGAGCCATTTAGCATTATCTGCTAACATTTTAAAGATACACACTCTTTGGCCTTGTAATTCTACCTCTAGGAAAATATCCTATAGAAATGCTTGCACACATGCAGAATGATACATTCACAGAAATATACAATGCAGCTCTGTAAGTGTGAAAAGCTATTAATCACTTAAATGTCCAACCGTTGGGAGGAGGTTGAATAAACTATAATATGCGCATTTGACAATGACTACTACATAGTTAAGGAAAATAATCACAAATATGTCAGTACTGACAGGAGAAGAAAAGAAAGAATTTCACTTTTACAATTTTCTATTTTTTGAATTTTAATGAAAAGCATGAATAAATCTGTTATTTGTGTAATTTTATTAAAGGTAACACAAAAACATTTTTAAAAATCAACAGACATAGAAAATAGAGTCTGGAAATACTGTCCTTTGTAATGGAATCAGAATTGGTAATCAAAGATATAATGCAATTGACTAAGACTAAATATGAAAACAGCTCATCATATTCAAGGCAAAACAAACAGAAAATTTCTCAAGACATTCTGGTAGAATGTTTGAGCTTTAAGATGAAAAAGAAACCCCAATTATTAGTCAAAAATCAGGTCACTTTAATTCTATAAGGATTTGAAACCATCTCCTTTATATAGTGTTCACTGTTCTAAACACTGGAGATGAACAAGATGAAGACTTTTGGTAGGAAAAATATGGTAAACAAGGAAACAAATAAACAAAAAAGTCATATGTTGTAATTCAAAAAACTAAAATATGGCAGTGTGACAGAAAAGAATGGCCTTTACTATAGTAATGATTAAACATGTCTTTAAGTCTGTAAATGTTGAAGATAAATATTTGAGAGTGAGAAAGTTGTCATTGAAAAGAATTATGGATAAACATCTAAAACCAATAAAAATATATCCTTAGAGATATAAATACTCATATTGATGACTCATAGAAAAAGCTGTGAAATATCCCAGATAAAAACATTTTGGAAAAAAAAATTTATGTTAAAAAGATAATGGAAAGAACATAATTTTTAAAAAGTTTCTCAAGTTAGATGAGTAAAAAATGAGAAATTGGCCAGCAAAAGACAGATAACCCAACGGGAAAATGATCAAAAGACTTGAACAGGCACTTTACAAAAGAGGAAATCCAAATGTCTAATAAACATGCAAAAGATGCTTGACTTCCTTAGTCATCAAAGTGAAAATTAAAGCCACAATGTGGTATCATTGTACCCCTCTCCTCTCCTCTCCTCTCTAATTTCTCTTCTCCCAGTCTGAGGGGATTCTTCTGAAGGTAGGCTGGGGAGATAGAATCATACTTCCTTAGACCCAGATGTAGTCTCTCTTTTCAGTTTTTGCCTTTGTTCCTAACTAGTCTTAGAGTCAAATCATCTTTTACATGGCATCTTCTGGATTTGTAATAGACATAGCCTTTTTTTTTTTTTTTTTTTTTTTTAGACGGAGTCTCGCTCTGTCGCCCAGGCCAGAGTGTAGTGGAGCAATCACGGCTCACTGCAAGCTCCACCTCCTGGGTTCATGCCATTCTCCTGCCTCAGCCTCCTGAGTAGCTGGGACTACAGGAGCCTGCCACCACACCTGGCTAATTTTTTTGTGTTTTTAGTAGAGACGAGGTTTCACTGTGTTAGCCAGGATGGTCTCGATCTCCTGACCTTGTGATCCGCCCGCCTCAGCCTCCCAAAGTGCTGGGATTACAGGCGTGAGCCATGCGCCCAGGGTAGACATAGCCTTTTAACAATACTTCTCAATTTTTGTTTCCTTACTGGTAAACTGGTTTGTCTCTCTTTGTACCCAGCCCACTATTATAGCCAGTGGTGTGGTGTGCTGGTGAGGAATTAATAACTAGATGTCTAAAATGTGTGCATGTGGACATAAGTTCATTGTAAATTTACTGCTATACAAAATATGCAGCAAATATTTACAAATAATACCAAATCCTATAATACTCATTATTATAAATTTCTTATAGCCAATTTATTCTCACAGAATATTTTATTGATTTTTTTCTGCCAAACTTTTATGTAATATCTGTAGTCAACCTATGGTTCCGATTCTTGAATGAGAGAAGTTCTGACATAAATGCTGGTTGATATTTTCATTCATGTTAACAAGTAAAAAAGAAATGAAACAACAATGAAGCTTCACTAGCTTGTTCATGATGTGAGTGACTTCTTTGCTGAATTGCTGAGTTTTCTGACAATGAAAGAATATATCCTCACGTTTTTGTGCTATTCACAGTATGATGGCTATAGACATGACATGCTTTCATGTTTAATCTGCATTGGGTATTAACGTTTTCTCTATCATGTCTTTAAGACTAAACAATCAACAAAACAGTAAGTCAAGCCCTGGTTCATAGCATTTGCCAGTGTCCATGGTGTAAGTATTCCCTCCATGGCTGATTACAAGCTACCGAGGTGACCTGACTGATCACAGCCCTGGAAAGAGGTTCCCAGTGGTCACCGTCAAACAGTATTTTCACCATCAAGAGACAATGAATGTAAACAACAAGAGCACTAAAAATAGTAAAATGTAGCAAGATAATTAGAAAGTGATAAGGTTTAAGTATTTATTGCTGTTGTTTTTAATAAAATGAATCTAATTGTAAATTTTTATAATTCACTTTTTAATAATGCCTTAACAACCAGTTTGCAAAACCCCTAAAAATCTAACAATCGGCTCTCGGATCTTTCATTGTGTTCTTTTTTTTTTTTTGACGGAGTCTCGCTCTGTCGCCCACGCTGGAGTGCAGTGGTGCGATCTCAGCTCACTGCAAGCTCTGCTTCCCGGGTTCACGCCTTTCTCCTGCCTCAGCCTCCTGAGTAGCTGGGACCACAGGCTCCCACCACCACGCCCGGCTAATTTTTTTTCATATTTTTAGTAGAGACGAGGTTTCACTGTGTTGGCCAGGATGGTCTCGATCTTACCTCGCCCTCCCAAAGTGCTGAGATTACAGGCGTGAGCCACCGCGCCCGGCCTCATTGTGCTCTTGATAGCCCCACAGAATGGCAGGAGAGGAAGAAAAAAATTAGTCAGATATGTGTCATGATTGAGGCTCGAATTCAAGAGATATGGAGGACGTACATTAAGAGAAAGATTGAGGATAAAGCAAAAAAGCAGATGGGCTTCTGTGTCACTCCCCACTGAGGACTTGAGGAGGAGAATGCATGGTCTTGCAGAAGATCCCAGACCAATACTCCTAGGATGCCCCTGGCTCCTTCTGGGTGTGGAAGGCAGTGAGAAATTCCTGCTCACGCCTGCGGGGCACTCAGGGGTCGTGGAAGTTTGGCGAGGAAGTTTCCCAGAGGAGTGGCCAGGGTGGGGAAAACGACCCTATAGGCAGATACAGGCCAAACACCTAAGCTAAAGACAAGGGGCAGCATCGTCAGACTCAGGAGAAATGCACCAGGGAGGCTGAGATGGCACCGGTTGGTTGGCAGAGAGAGCTACTGGGCTGTGACTAAGCTGAGAACAGCCAGAGATGTGGGCAGCAGTGGCAGAGACAGAGCCAGACCGGGGCCACCAGACCATGCACACTAGGGGCAATTCTAGGCCTGGGGCTGCCCTTTCCCATGGAGCTGCAGTAGCATTTTCATCCTTTACTCTCAGAAACTACCCAGAGGGGAGCAGGGAGGGAGGGGACATCAAAGACCAAGTGATGGGAAAGAGCCCGTGGTACCCTTGAGACTGCCCAGAGAATGGGTTGGGGCATTTATTAGATGATACAAAAATGTAATTTCTTCCCTGCTACTCAACTCCTACTGAGTGCAAAATCTGCAAAGGAAATCTGGTTTCCCTATTTCTTTTTTACTCTAGTAAATGTCAGTTTGTAATGCCACAATAGAATCTTCACTGGGGACTTGGAAATTCTATATAAAAATCAAGTATTTATTCACAGTTGCATCTGGATTTAAAAAGCGCCTCATTCTAGAAGGATTTCTGGTGAGGGGTTGAGGCAGTGTTTGTGGTGGGAACCATGAAGGCAGGGCTGGGTGTGAGGCAGGGTGAGGTGTGCCAGGCACTGACAGCTCAGGGGTCCCCTTCCCTGGGGGGCTCTTAGTGCTGGGGATGCAGGTCCCCCACTACAGGGAATTGCATGTGCGGTGCAGGGAAGAAGGGATGGTCAGCTGGGTCTGACTGGAGAGAGTCAAATCTCTGTTGGACACAATACAAACAAACAACCATGGGTGCACGTCTGCAAGGCTGGCCAAGGATGGCCGTAACACCTGCTGAGGTTTGCGGTTTCTCTGCTCCTCCCCACTGTGTTTCTCAGCAGTGCCATTAAGGAACTCATTGATTGAGTACCCTGGGGACTTCCTTCTCTCTCCTTTCATCTCCATGGTGGCCCCAGGGCCCACAAATCCAGGGCAGAATAGCTTCAGTTTTCCACTTTCTTAGAGTTGCCAGGGGCTTCAAATCCCCTAACTTGCTAGCTCAACTCTTGCTTCCATCCTGAGAAAACTCACATTTCCCCAGGACCACATGTGCAGGCAGTGGGGAGTGCCCATTTTCCATCCAGAAATTATTGACTTGCTTTGAGAATTCTTCAAAGGAAACTTTCTCACACTTGACAATTTAATGAGTTTGTTTATTTACTCCAGGGCTTTATAGGAGGTGCAAACCCTTCTCATCAAAATCACATGTGGACTTAGAGTATTGCTATATTCGGATTTTCAATCAGTTTTTTTTAATACTAAGCATGGTTTTGCAGACAGCTTTATAGGTGGCATCAGCCGCATCACCCACGTTTTTCACTGTGTCCTTGATCAGGCTGGGGTGGCGTGCCTTCTGTCTTGCGAGGGATGCTAGGCACCCAAGGCTCAGGCAGAGCGTGACGGAGCTTCCTGGGAGAGAAGCAAGAGACTCGGAAATTCCCAAGACCAAGACATCACATCTGCTTGGCATTCCCCTTCAGCTGGAATTCTCAGGAACGGCTGTGGGCTTTGTTAGAATAGCCATGGCTAAGGGTGCTTTGCAGACCTCGTGAGCTGAGACTGATTTTCTGAAACTGTGCTGGGGCAGAGGCTCCAGGGTGTGTTTACTGGGGTCTCTGGCGACACCCCGTGAGTACTCTCCTCCTCCAGCCATGCCCAACCAGGGTGGTGTGTTCATCCACTTCTCCTCACACAATGCTGTGTGTTGCTGTCTTGGCTGTCACCTTCCCAACCAGTGTTTCAATCGGGTGGACCCTCATGGAAAAGGCACCAGTGGTCTCAGACTAGAATTGCTCCCTGTCCTACCTCAATGTTGCAAATGTCCCCTGCCCAAATGCCCACTGTGCAGTGGGAAAGCCTATGTGACACCCCGCTCATGTGAAAAACAAAGAAACGATTTTCTCCTTTTGTCCCTTTCTTGGAAGTAGAGCCAGAATTTGTCCCATTTTGACTTTGCTGTACAAGTGACTTAGGGTCCCACGGGTGAGTTGGATGCATCGAAGAAGATCTCACTGTGAGAAAAAGTATTTTTTCTTCTTACCCTTGTTCCAGATTGATTCACAGGCTCTCATAGTAGAATTAGAGTCATTTCAGTGGAAGTATCTTTGAAGACACCTGGGTTGATGGCAGATTGATAGGAATTGTGGGTATTTCTGAGTAAAAGTGTATTTCCTTACTAGGGTCCTGCTTAAGAAGTTATGCATATTCAGGGACTATGGGCATTAACTAATGAGGGAGGAGCAATGCCTGTGTGATCCACCCAGCTACAAATCAATCGGTAGGGTATTGAGTTACGCTTAGGTTGAGTCCATGTCTTTGCTATTGTGAATAGTGCTGCAATAAACATATGATGCTGCTATGTCCTTGATATACAGATTTCTTTTGCTTTGCATAAATGCCCAGCTGCTTCTTCATTTAAGTGACATTCTGTTTATGATCTATGGGTTGGTTGCATGAGTGTGTTTACTTTATGAGATCCATTTATCTGTTTGCTTATTATTTGTGCATCTTTCTGCATGGGTGTTATACTTTAATGAAACTGTATTTAATGAAATTTTATTTAAAAATGGGAAAAAGAAAGAACGAAGGGGGCTTGCTGGTTCTTAGGGGGCTAATCATTCATAAGCCCTAAATCTTCTATGAATTAAGACGTACTAAGAAATAAGACACAGGAGCTGTAGAGATTGAGTTTTAAAGCCAACAAGAGATTTTGTTCATCTGTTGTTTGTTGTCTGAGAAATAAATTTATATTGGAGAGTTCAGTTTGGATTTATGGCTCCAACTGGGCTTCTTGTCAGCCTCTATTCCAAGCCAGCCCTTGGGCTGACTCACATGGAGGAGGATTGAGGTCTGCAGAGCAGGAAGAGTCAGACTGTTGGCTGGGTCACCACTGGGTGCTCTGCCTGACAGAAGGAGAAGGGCGTCCTGACCCGCACCTGACCCTAGTGTGCTTGCTGCAGAGTGGGGAGCTGAGGTCAGCCACAGTGACCTGTTCCCCTCTCGAGTCTCACCAGTCAGAGAAGTCTTCGGGACAAGTGAGTGAATTGGGATGAGGAAGAAGGCCAGGAGAGGTTCTTCCAGGTAAAGGCAGAAACATTTCCAAAGGCTGTCCTAGAGACTCATGCATCTGAAGGAAGATGGACAGACAGAGGGCAGGTCAAAGAAAGCTCTTCTTGATTTCACTCCTGCCAAGTGTTAGTGCCATGTGTCCAAAACCAGAGCCTCCAGTCCTACACTGGTTTGGAAAAAAAATCTCCTAGTGGTATAGTGGTAGATTAGATTCAGGGTCCCAGACCTTCACCCTCTCTGTAATAGATCATACAGCTAGAACTAGTTCCATGTGATTCCTTGGTGCCTCCCGGTGCGATATGTGGAGGACAATCTATTTTGGGTTGATTTAGAGGTTTGTCACATGACTTGCTTTCTTGGCCCCGGAAAGTTAGCAAACAAGATGCTAACACAGTCCTCACTTGCACCCATGTGGTTTGGCTTGGCTTCTTGCACTTCTGCCATAAATGCGACATGCCCTGCTAGCCGCCGTTCTGAGAAGAATGGGGGGATTCAGTGAGTGGACCAGGCCCAGCCGATCCCAGCTGAGCACAGCAGAGCCACAACCTGTACACGACTCTGTGAATGAGAAATAAAGCCTGAGGTTCTGGGTCTGTTTGTTATGCAGCATTTTTGCAGCAATAGCTGTCTGATGCAAAGAAAAAAAGCCAAACAGATGCTTCCTGTATCAAAGAGTGACATCTGAAATATACCCGTTATCTCGCAAAACTTAGGAAGTTATAATGACACCCTGGTCACCAGGTCTTAGATTTGGGTTCCTTTTTGCACATTTTGAATATACAAAGACTTGTAATTTTCACTTCTCTTTGAGCCTCGTGCCCTGGCACCTGGGTGCTGTGTTGAGGGTGGGCTGGGTGGCAGTAGCACCTGGGGCCATGCTGTGGCTACCACCACCACTTGATCCTGCCAGTGAAATCTAACAGCTAGAGGTTATTTTATCTCTCCTTCTCAGCATCTATTTTGGCATGAGACTCCCCCTCAGCAGATTCCTGAATAGCAGCTGCTCTTGATGATTGCAAGGGGCCCCGCGGCCTGGTGGGACCAAGGCTTCTGCCGTCTGCTCTCCTCCAAACCTGCCTGTGCTCAGTGTGGACTCTGCAAACCTGGAGGCCCAGTGCAGGGGTGGGCTGGGCCTGGAGTTGTCTCTTCTGGTTCCAGCGTCATCCTGAAACTTCTCTAGCTGCTGCCCCAGGTGTCGTGGTGCCCATGTCACCTGTGTCCCACATGGAAATCTCAGGTAAGGATAATTTTGGTCTTTAAATTTTCCTGAATGTCATTCAACTTTATTCCTCCATTTCCCTCTCCAAAATGGCTCTTCACACGCTCCATTTGTTCATTAATAAAATCTATGTCCCATGGGGAAAGCTGTGCTCCCATTTCCAAAATCCAGAATCATAATGACACATTTCTGGATTTCAGAGCAAATGGGAGAAGCCACATAATGACTGGATAAGTCCCCCTTCACTTTAGATGAAGGTCGGACAAGATGAAGAGGAAAATACCAAAATATCTCCTAGTATAGATACTGATCTGGCGACGGAACCAGGAGAACTCACAAAAGCATCTGCTTGCCCACCTGCTCCGCCTGGCTGGGCCACAGAGACTCTCAGGTTTTCTAGTCCCTGCTGTGGCCCAGGTGGACCTGGGGAAGTCAGACCAAGGTGAAACCTGGGCAAGAGACTCATTGGAGTCCTCGCCTGTCACTAAGGAGCCTCAGCCCCATCCCTCTGATACTACCAAGGTCAGGGGACTGAGCTTCCTAAAGCAGTAATGCTGAAAGCCACTGCCCTGGCCCAGCCCCAGGATTCTCTCTCCACACGTGAATTCTGACCAGCACATGTCAATCCTTTCCAGCCACCTCTTCCATTTAGTTCACTGTCAAATCCCAAACCAGTTGGCAGGCAGACAGAGGATTCAGACATACGGACATAATAAATCCGTCTTTCTACTTCAAAAGCTGGCTGGGAGAACTGAACTGGTACTTGGGGCCACAGACTGGCTTCCAAACCCCTTGGCCTTTGTCAGAAGCACAGGACAATGACACCAGAGAGGGTTGGGGTTGGCTGAGCAAACTTGCTTACCCAGGGCTTCCAGAAGGCTGGTGGGGTCCGAGTCCACCATGCTGAGCACAGGGAAGCAGGGACACAGAGGAAGACCCCCTCCCTTCTTTATAGGCATGAGGAGGGAAACGAGAGCACCCCAGGAGCTGAGTGGCCCACGCAGGCTCCCTCCTCCTCTCGGTCTCACCCTGCAGAGAGGTACATGACAGTGGGGTGGAGAGAAAGGCGCAGGCTTCTCCCCTCTGTGGGAAATTGAGGACTAGGAATTGACCTACGGCAGCTGGGTTTACACACTTTTCATACTATATTTCAATATGGCACATACAGGGTTTGAATAGGGCTTTTCCCCCTACATTCCTGTCCTTCCTGGAACCTCTCAGAATGTGGCTTTCTTTGAAAATAGCATCATGGCTTGATGTATTTGGTTCAGATTAGGTCATTCTGGAGTAGGGTGGGCCCTGATCCAATAGGACCGGTGTCCTTGAAAGAGAAGGAGAGATGCCTAGAGGAGCACAGGGCGGACACCATGCCTGGCGGAGGCGGAGGTAGGAGTGCCGCATCTCCTAGTCAAGGAGCTCCGGGGAATGCCTGTAGCTCCAGAAGCCTGGAGAATGGAACCCGTTCTTCCCTGGAACCCCCAGAGGGAGCGTGGCCCTGCCAGCCTCTTGATTGCAGGCTCCTGGGTGCTCCATCTGTGGGACAGTTTGTTGTTTTAAACCATCAGGTTTCTGGTGTTTTGTTACAGCAGCCCTAGGGAATGAAGACACCGCGACAGCTCAGTTGTTTAGGCCCAGCTCACCGGAGTCGAGTGCACGCCCACTCAGGAAGACACTGAGAAAGAAAGAGGAGATGCAGGAGGAGGCCGAGGAGGAGGAAAGATGTGACTTGCCCAACCAGTTACTCCTGAGTGCCCTGCTGGTCTCTAAAAGCAGAACATGCTGCTCTGGGAGACAAAATGGAGAGGCTGCAGATGCTTGTGCATGTAGAGATGTGAACGGTGTGACAGGAGAGTTGCGGCTGTTCTCGGCTGGACACTGCTGACACTTGCTGGCTCGATGAGGTTTGCACGTCGGCTGTCCCCCATGAGCCCCAGACTCCTTGTCTACAGGATGAAGGCAGTAAGAGCTCACAGTGTAAGCTGATTGTGGGAATTAAATGAGATGCCCAGGTAACGTACTTCGCAGTGTTCTGCTCACACAAGCATGCAGGTCATGGAAGATGATTGCGGAGCTACCACTGGGTGTGAAGTGAGATGCTGGGGAAAGAGCAGATATGACACACAGCTTATATCAGAGAAACTTATATATAAGGACATACTATTCGATAAAAGTGGCATTTTGAATCAATAAAGAAGGGAGGAATTGTTCAACCAACTGTTGGGGGAAAATTAGCTGATGATTTGGAATTTTAAAACGATGTATGCCAAACTTTAAACCTGATGTTAAAATATGTTCTAGAACTATTCAAAAGTTAAATATAAAAATCCAAACCAAATAAACTTACTTGTTGATATTGCAATGTAAAAGAGAAAGAAAAGTTCGACTGCATTAAATCTGCATAAAAACAGAAGAAAAATTTATAAATTGAAGAAAATATCTTAGAAATGATTTACACGCAAACAACTAGTAATTACGTGAAAGTCTCATATAAATCAGTTAAATAAACTAAAATACTTGTAGGTGTGTCGGCACCACAGTATCCATGAAGACTCTTGTGGTGATCATGGAAATGGGCCTCTCAGATCTTCAGCCACGGGGACAATCATTGACCAAGGGCCCTCAGTCACCGCATTATTTGGTCACCAGATCTGTCGCCAAGTCTATCACTGGTTTGCAGTGAGGCCACATTGCTGCAGGCTGTTCTCAGGCAGAGGCAGAGGGCGGCAGGGATACTAAGTGTCTCCTAAAATAAAAATGAAGTCTTTAAGAATTAAAGTTCATTTTGCTCAGAAGTCTTCCTGAGGACTGCAGCCGAGGCCCACTTCCCCCGGGGGGATCTTTCAGAGTGATTCTGCCAGCCGCTGCCAAAGCAGCATTTTGGCTCACAGTTGATGTACAGGTGGTGAAGGTCCAGTCCGTGCAAAATCACATCAAGGTTTGGGTGCAAGAGGACACCTGGTCATAGATTCCAGAGGCACAATGACAAAGCCGTCAGACATTACCTTACATGCAGAAAAAGGCAGGACTGGGATCATTCAGCTTTTAAGGAAGAGGGTGACCCGGGCGAGAGACCTGGGGGGGCTGTGTGCCCTATCCTGTTTTGTCTTCAAAGCATCTTTCCAGGGAGCTGCACATCATCCCAGAGTCAGGGGCTTTGTGAAGTGACGCTGGCAAGCAGAAATGATCAAAGGTGGCTTCTTACATTTGCTGCTTTGTCTCACTGGAGGCAGGCCATTCCTGGGGGGTGTGGGACTCCTCTGATTGACAACATTAGCCCCAGGACTTCCTGACAGCCTCGCTGGACTCCACCAGACTGCACTGCAGCTGAGGGTGCTGTTTCTCAAGCCCTCCTCCTTCCCTCCCTCCCTACCTCCTTCACATGGGTCACACCTTCATTACCTTCTGGCAGCCCCCCAGTCTTCCCAGCACCCTCCCAGCATCCTCATGGGGCAGAGCCCTCATGAATTTCTTGCAGGGCTGAACCCAGCTTGGCATCTGTCTCTCAGCAGACACAGACTCACAAATTTTTAACAAACCACTACTGGTTTAACAACATTGAGAAAAAAATATTCAACCCCTATAATATTCAAATATCCCATTCAAGTTGCAATCACTATCATGATGAAAGTTTCACTGGTTTGTTTTTTTAAACTAGACTACCCCTGGGTGGACTCTTTCAAGGAGCTAAACATGCTCCTGTGTTGCTGAGTGAAACACAAAGTTGCTCAGATGTTGTGAGAAAAAATTAGCACTGTGCTAAGAACCTTAAAAATGATCACATTTTTGACTCTGGCATTTCATGTTGAGAAAACTCTACTAAGCCATATAAATACTTATAAATAGGCACTAAAAATAGCCAACATTCTTTTATTGGTTTTGGAAAAAATAAGCAGTCATTTAATCTAATGTTGGCAACAAAGTGGAAAGGGTTCTGATATGATGGGATGTGTGGCAGCTCTGGAGGCTGCTACATGAACCTCCTTTCAAGGAAGACCCTAGCATGGAACACAGAACTTACTCCTCTATCTGAATGTAGGTTTGTGCCCATTAACCACCCTGTTGTCACCCACCCATCGCCCCTGCCTCCGCCCCCAGCCTGGGGGAACCATCAGTCTACTCTCTACCTCCATGAGATTAACTGTTTTAGCTTCCACATATGAAAGAGAATACATTACATGCATGTAGCAAAATAACACACGTATCCCATAAATATGAACAAATATTATGTATCAATTTTTAAAAAGATGCAGTGAGCACTCATTTTTTAAAAAAGAGCCTGCTCAAGAGGTGGTAAGCTGGCAGCTTCCAGCCTTTAGCAACTTCCGGTCAACGCCAGGTTTTTGGGCTGAGGCCGGGCTCACTGTGGGCACTGGGGCCTGGGCCCGTCCACCCGTTGTGGACCCCCTCCTCGCCAGCAGTCTTTGCTCAGGAGGGCCCTGCATCTTCATCAGATCTGCAGTGTCCATGCGGTCAGGAGTCTGCCCCTACCCAGTGCTGCCTCCTCACCCCATCCTTTCGTGGATGTCAGGTTTCCATGACAGCTAAAAGGCTCTTCCTACTCAACCTTGCTTCCTCCCTTTTTTATGTTCCACAGGACATGTCTACTGGATAACCAGTTCGAGAACTCCCCCTTGGCTTGGCCAGATCTCTCTTGGAACTGGGCTGCAGTCTGAGACAATTCCCACCTGCTCCTCTTTCCTTCTCTCTTCTTCACTGGGGGTCAGATCTGCGCTAGTCTAAGGCGCTCCCTCTACCTCTGGCTCCCATTCCTTTATCCCCCAATCAGTCTCAGGCTGCCTGGGCGTCAACCTCTAGCAGACCCAGGCTAACACTCCAAACTTCCAAAGACTGGACCCTGAGGCTATTGCCTCCCCTGCCTGCAAGTCAGAGCTCTTCGGGTCTCAACGTTCTGGTTTTCAAAGGCGTGCTTTGCGGCCGGGGAAACTACAAGAGTTCCATGGAAGTACCAGCTCCAGCTGCCTGCAGAGCCCTGTGAGCCCCTTCCACCCAGGGATCAGTGGGTAAAAGAGGGCTTATCATCTTGGCAGAGGTCATCGGCTCTGGTCTTCAGAAGGGTCAAGACTGCTTTCAACACAGTAGGGTCAGGAGGGATCCACGAGGAACTCAGGTGACGCACTTGTGTGAACTTCTTAGTGTTTTCTTGACACATTGTGATGACGAATGGAGGGACGCAGCAGCCCCAGCCTGAGGAGGGATGCGATCGAGAACTCTTCCTCCTGGGATGGGGGTCTAGGTCACACCACTAGGTAAGCCCCCTAGACCTGCCGAGTGGATGGTGCAGGGTGAGGTGAATTTACAACAGATAGTGGAGGAGGGTGAAAAGGAGTACCACTGGCACCCTCCTTCTGCTCACAAAGAGAAGCCCACTGCCACCCTGCAGGTGCAGCTCCAGCACATGTATGGAGAAGCAGAGGGCCAGGGAGCAAGGGATGGGCTGCAGCGTCCACGAGAAAGCACAGCAGACATCTCCCTTCAGGAGAAAACTTGACATTCAACTGCAAGGGTGCAGTGGGCTCCAGCCAGTAGCACCTCCAGCCCCCTCCACACTCCTTCCAGGCTGCCCCCAGACACTCACTGAGCACAGCCGGGCACTGGAGCCTGGCAGTTTCTACCCAGTGCGGGAACTCCTCCCTGTGTGGTTGGCCGAGGCCTTGTCAGAGCTACATTGCGTCCAATCCACCTCTCCCTCATCGCTCACAGAGGCCAAATCCCAGCAATCTTCTGGAGTCCTAACTCCATCTCAGCGTCTGCCCCTTAGAGGACCCAAATGGCGCATTAAGCACAATAAATGATGGAATGAATAAAGAGAGTGCCTTCAAACACCAAGTGTGAGGATGGCCTATCTGAAAACACCAACTCCAAGAAACGGAGTCAATGTTTCAAAGTAGGAAAGTTAAGGTTTCACTTATACAGGCAGAGACGGAGGAAGTTTTTTTGTTTGTTTGTTTGTTTTTAAGCAGGATTACATTTTTCATACAAAGTTGGTGGATATTAATAGTTGCAGCAATTTGATTGGTTAGGCAGTGTTTCTTTTTGGGACAGGTACACTTAACATTTTGTACAGAGGAAGTACTTAGGCATGGGCTTTCTGTTGTCTGGTCTAAGCAAAGCAGGGCAACAAAGCGGGGAAGTTAACCCATCACAGGACTCATTGATTAAGAAGGCAGGAGGTTTTCATCCCTGGAGTCATTCAGCTCTCTCTAGTCATTGTACAGAACAAGAAAAATAAAAAAGCAAGGGAATCTATAATCCGAAAAACAGACGTTATAACCATCTGTGACTCAGATCACAGTCACATCTCTCTCAAGGCTTAAAGTGTTTGAGGGGTTTCAACAGCTTTTAAATTGTATTTATTTTCACACTTATGAAGCAGGTATTATCTTCCCATTTTACAGACTGGAAAGCTAAGCCTCAGGAAGGTTGAACAATTCACCCAAGGTCACAGAGCTGGAAAGTATAGAGATTTGGATTCAGACGTACCTGACTTCTGATCTAACTTTCTTGAGCACCGTGTTTCCCAAATGTCCACCCACATACCACCTCCACCATCGTGGCCACATCTGCCCACATCTGCCTACTGTGAGTCTTTAGTTCAGGGTCAGACACCTCTTTCTGGAAAGGGCCATATTGTAATTGTTTGACATGGTGGCCCACATGGTCTCTGTAATCTATTTATCTCTTTCTTTTTTACTCTTTTAAAAAGAAAAAAATTTCTTAGCTTATGGGCTATACAGAAACAGGCTTTGGTCAGCTTTGGTCTGAGCCACAGTTTGCCAACCCCTGATTTAGCTTATTTTTTCTATATACAGACTTTGTAAATGAATTTTACATATTTCTTTTCTTTCTTATTTAGCTTTATTCTAAGCAGTAGTATCTGTAAAGTCCCAGGATGGGTGTGCCAGTTATACATGTTTTTAATACACATTTAAACAAATACATGCCAATTCCTTTATTTATTTATTTTTTAATTTATTTTTTTGAGATGGAGTCTCACTCTGTTGCCCAGACTGGAGTGCAATGGCGCGATCTTGGCTCACTGCAACTTCTGCCTCCCGGGTTCAAGCGATTCTCCTGCCTCAGCTTCCTGAGTAGCTGGGATTATAGGCACGTCACCACACCCAGCTAATTTTTGTATTTTAGTAGAGACGGAGTTTCACCATGTTGGTCAGGCTGGTCTCGAACTTTTGACCTCATGATCCACCAGCCTTGGCCTCCCAAAGTGCTGGGATTACAGGCGTGAGCCACCGTGGCTGGCCAATACATGCCAATTCTTATGGAAATATTGGTTCTATATCCCCATGCTTTGGACAGTAGTACATTTGACTGCTCTGCCATCTACCTGATACGAGTGGTCATCCCACAGGCTGGGTAGAGGCTGGGGAAAAAGGCTTTTTTTTTTAAATTCTTTTTATCAGGCAGAGTTTTATGATTGATATATATCTTTGTTGGAAATGTAAACCTTTCAGAGAGGCTGACAGCTATCTGCCTAACTGGCGTGTGATTGTTTGGTACCAGGCAGAGTCAAACTTCTGAATGATGACTGGTGGCTTGACCATCAAAGGGCCTGGCACCACTAACTGGTCACCATTGTTCTAGAGCCAAGGCGATCAAAACACAGCATTGATTCCTTCCTTCAGTCACCGAGCATCCACCAGGGCTCACCACGTCCTAGTCACTTGCTAGGTGCTGGAGATAGGATGATAACAGGTGCAATCGTGGACTTTGGCTGGGGAAGCCAGTGGTCCTTTGGGAGACAAACAGTAATTACTAACCCATAAGTAATGCACAACAGCAATCACTCCCTACTCAGTGGAACAGTCATGGTGTCACATGCAAGCATAAGGAGAGGGTTTGATTTATGGAAGTAGAGGAACTTTCTTTGGGAGGTGATAGCTGTCCTGAGATTTGGCAGGTGAGCAAGATTCACCTGAGGAAAGAGGGAGAAAAGGGGGTCTGGACAGGAGGAGCAGATTATGCAAAGGCCCTGTGGTAAGAGAGCAGTGGGCAGGGGCAGAGAGGGTGCAACAGAATGGTGGGATGGAGCCAGGAAGGCCAATGGGTCAAACCGTGAACGGTCAGAGGCCATGTCTAAGGCACGTGTCTTTAGCCTGCAGGTGGGATGCTGTACAGTGATTCATGCAGATAGCTCCTGGGAGGATAGCTGCATTTCCCAAATATCCCTTCCGTGGCAGGGGGAGACTCTTTTGTGTTAAGCATGAGGGAATGCAGGTGGAGGAGCTGGTGAAACACTGCAATCATCCAGGCAAGATTTGATGGAAGGCTGGAGAGGGCTGCGGCAGTGGTGGTGCATGGAAGTGAACTTGATAGACACTGGGAAGGGGGAAAATTGGTAGCATTAGATGAGAGGTGGACAGATGGTTCCAGGGAGAAAGGAAAGGTCACTGATTACCCCCAGGTGTCTGCTGGGGCATTCATTGAGAGGGAGAACAATTGGAAAAAAATTTAAACACAACTTTAAGCTTTTCTTATGTAGAGAGCCAAACATCAGACATCTCAGCTTTCCTTCTTTGCTTTCCTAGTCTTGCTCCAGCCGTGGCGCTAACTTTGACCTCAAATGAGAACCTCATCCAGTTCCAGATCCCAGAGCTGCCCTTGAAAGCCGTGCTCTTCTAGACCATGTGTGTGTTGCCCAGACAAGGTTTTCATAACCTGCCTGCAGATCTCTGCTGAGGTCCAGAGTGCAGTCTGCTCTCTGATGCTCAACTCTGAACCCAAATACACAGCCACAGAGCTTTTAGCTACCACTTCAGAGACCTGGATTGACATTTACCAAGCTCCTCAACTAACATTTCAATATGAAGAAGGGTAAATTTTGCACATTGTGGATGACTTTATGAAAGAAGGCATGCTAAATGTTGTATCCACAGGTATTAATTAGACGAGCTGCACCTTTAAGAACTGATTTATCTCTTGGCAGAGGTCCTCAATAATCAAACACCAGCAGAGGAATGGTGGGAGCAGACATATGAGTGTTACAATCAGTAGCAACACAGTGCACACACCCACACATGCACACACACATGCACACGCATGCTGTTCTGTATAGTAGCCTATGTGATAATCAGACAGAGCATATCCTATTGTCAAGGATGATTGCCTGAGCCCAGACAATAATGCTTTTGTTCCTGATGACTGGTGTCTGTGTGTGTGGTTCTGTTCCCATGATGAAACAATGGTCCAGAATGATAATAACACAATGCCAGAGTGTTTCTAATATTATCAAATGATCTAGGGTGTCTTTGCTTTGTACACATGAGATGAAAGACAGGAATGTAGTAACAGAACTTTAATTTCTATGTCGAGGGACTCAATGTTGGGTGTCTGTGTCTTACTGGCATCCTGTGTGTCTTACTGGCACCCTATGAAGGTAGGTGCATTGTCTTGTGTGGTTCTCATCCCTCATTGGGCCACTAGAAAAGCATTTTGGCTTCATGGAAAGAGTATGAGCTGTAGGGCCTGTACATTGATCCAAGCTCCACTACCCATGGCCTGGTGGCCTTGGGCAAGATCCTCATGCTCTTTGAGCATGACAGTGTCTCCATCTGTCAAATGGGCTCATGCCACCCATCTTATAGTTTGTTGAATTAGAAATTCAGCTGGGTGCAGAGGCTCTTCCACTTCCAGTGGTCTCATCATGATTGATTGGTTTGGGAATCAGAGACCATCTTCGAAAAGGAAAAGATATTGGAAGATAGCTTGTGTGTGTCTGCACACCTGCACACGGGTATGTGTAATGTCCTCATGAGTGTTGTATTGAAGATGTATTATATTAAAGTGTCAAGAATGGAAAGTTCAGCCAGGCACGGTGGCTCACACCTGTAATCCCAGCACTTTGGGAGGCCAAGGCGGGTGAATCACCTGAGGCCAGAAGTTCAAGACCAGCCTGGCCAACATAGTGAAATCCTGTCTCTACTGAAAATACAAAACTTAGCTGGTTGTGGTGGTGCACGCCTATAATCCCAGCTACTCAGGAGGTGGAGGCAGGAGAATCGCTTGAACCCAGGAGGTGGAGGTTGCAGTGAGCTGAGATCGTGCCACTGTACTCCAGCCTGGGTGACTAAGCAAGACTCCATCTCAAAAAAAAAAAAAAAAAAAAAAAAAAAAAAAAGAATGGAAAGTTTTCCAGAAATGGCTATTTGCCCCTGGAATGAGTGTTTTAGAGTAAGTACAAATATATTGGTATAAAGTGGCTCTGCTGGTTTTAGTAACATTTTAGAGGAGCGGGGAAGGATGAGCTGAGTTGTAGATGATTCTCCCCCACTCTCTTTAGAAGGTGCTTTTTCCCTGAAGGACCATGCTGGACTTGCCTAGCCCGTGGGCAGCAGTCAACTGTCCTGTCCTTGGAGCACATTTCTCCTTCCCTTCCATTTTATGCACATTTCCGCCAACTCCCTGGAAAACTTTGGAAAGACACAAATGGTGCAAGTCAGAAGAAGTCACCAGTCCCACATGCCTGGAAACCACGTTATGTAACCCATGCTTCTCTTTCATCATCGCTTGAAATACAGAAGATTAAAAAGTCAGGAAACAACAGGTGCTGGAGAGGATGTGGAGAAATAGGAACACTTTTACACTGTTGGTGGGACTGTAAACTGGTTCAACCATTGTGGAAGTCAGTGTGGCGATTCCTCAGGGATCTAGAACTAGAAATACCATTTGACCCAGCCATCCCATTACTGGGTATATACCCAAAGGATTATAAATCATGCTGCTATGAAGACACATGCACACGTATGTTTATTGTGGCACTATTCACAATAGCAAGGACTTGGAACCAACCCAAATGTCCACCAATGATAGACTGGATTAAGAAAATGTGGCACATATACACCATGGAATACTACGAAGCCATAAAAAAGGTTGAGTTCATGTCCTTTGTAGGGACATGGATGAAGCTAGAAACCATCATTCTGAGCAAACTATTGCAAGGATAGAAAACCAAACACCGCATGTTCTCACTCATAGGTGGGAATTGAACAATGAGAATGCTTGCACACAGGGTGGGGAACATCACACACCGGGGCCTATCGTGGGGTGGGGGAGGGAGGAGGGATAGCTTTAGGAGATATACCTAATGTAAATGACGAGTTAATGCGTGCAGCACACCAACATGGCATATGTATACATATGTAACAAGCCTGCACGTTGTGCACATGTACCCTAGAACTTAAAGTACAATAAAAAATAAAAAAAAGAAATACAGAAGATGCCCAAATGGTATCTTGAAAGTGAACAAATCTAGAACAAATTGCAACGAAGGAGCAAATCATTAAAATGAACAACTTCCACCTCCATAGACTGGACTTTTGAGGATGAAAGTGCATTGGAGCAGCTTTGAAATGAAAGAACCAGCAGAATGAACACAGCTGTGTCTAATCCACTGGATTAAAGCTAAAAAGAAATCATGTTTATAAAAGAGTCTTGCCCGCATCCCTGCTTGCGTCTCAGCATGCAGTGTCTGTTGGTTGGTGCCTGCTGCCAGGTTCCTCCCACGACCCAGCTCCCAGGGAGGCTGGGAAGGGCGGCGGAATCCCCGCCTGGACAGAGTTGCAATACGTCCTGGCCAGAGCGCCGGAACGGGGTGGGGTTGGAGATGCGCCACCCAGACAGCGGAGGGGCGCCGGGAACCTGCTTATTGTCTATTTTCCATAAGGACGAACCAAGCATGCAAACATTCTCATGGAGCTGACACGAGCCTCAGGGGGATAAGAATTCTTGCTTCGTTTTTTAAACAGCTTTATTGAGATATAAATCACGTGCCTACAATTCATCTGTTTAAAGCATACAATTCAATGGTTTTGATATGTTGCATTATTAATTTCGGAAAATTGTGGTGATATATACATAGAGCCACACATACGCATATGTGTGTGGGAGGCTGTTTCACACAGGGTGGTCAGGAAGGGGCGACATTTGAGCGCAAGAGCAGGAAGGAGGTAATGGGCCTCGCAGTGCTCCCTGAGGGAGAAGGCACGGGGGACTGACGTGGGAGTGAGCTTGGGACAGAGAGTGGGCCCACGTGGCCAAAGCAAGGAAGCCGTCGGGGGGTGAGGTGGGGAGGAGGCAGAGGCTGGGTCTTGAGGGGTCCCCAGGGCCGAGTGGCGGGGTTTGGTTCTATTCTATGTGTGATGGGAAATAGCTGTCGCTGGATTTGTGCAGCAACGTGGTGCCCACGGGGAACCCACTCTAGGGCTGAGCAGAGAAGCGGCTGCAGCCAGCCACGGAGGTTCCTGCATTAAGTGGGCTCAATGAAGAGACTGGGAGAGGAGCAGCTGGGAGGGAGGTCAGACTTTCCAGGAGAGGAGAGGAGAGAAGGAGGAGAAAAAGGACAAAAGGAAAAACGAGTAGAAGTTGGGAAGAGGAGAGATGTCAAATTCTCCAGGAAAATGCGAGAAAAAGGAGAAAAAGGCAAAAGGAAAAATGAGTAGAAACTGGGAGCCACACCTCCACATCAATCAAGGGTGGAGAATTCTTATGATGGCCTCTGACTTTATCCTAATAGGATGAGAGGCTTCTAATCAGAAGAAAATACAGACTGAGCATGCTTCCTCTGAAAATCCAAAATCCAAAATCCAAAACTGTGTGAGCACCAACATAATGCCACAAGAGGAAAATTTCACACCTGACCTCGTGACAGGTCACAATTAAAATGAAATCAAATGCACAAAATGATTAAAATATGCCATAAAATTACCTTCAGGCTATGTGTGTAAGGTGTATGTAAAACATAAGTGAATTTCATGTTTAGACTCAAGTCCCATCCCCAAGATATCGCATTGTGTATATGCAAATATTCCAAAATCCAAAACAATTCAAAATCAGAAACACTCTGGTCTCAAGTATTTCAGATAAGGGACACTCAGCCTGTACAGCATTGGGCTGCACTCTTTATTCAGAGTTGAGACATTCAGCCTGATGCTCTTCTGCTGTCCTTTATAGCTCACTATATAGATCTCAGTCTGTGGAGTGGAGTCTAGGAGAGAACTGTCCCCCACTCCAAACGCACACCTCACCCCCAGCCTCCCCAGGCAGAACTCAAGGCAGGGTTTAGACTCCATTCCCACAATTCTCACAGGTGTGAAGGAGTCAGCATTAGCCTACATTTCCCTGCAGTATGCTCAGAGCTCTCCAGAGACCTGGAGATAAAAACTATCCCAAAAAAGAAGAGTTCTTCATGGGGCATCACATTATAACTGAAGCCACAACCAACCCTGTGCATGCAGGTGACCCTCCCACCACCTCTGGTGAGTCAGTGGCAGACCCCAGAAGCAAAGCCTGTGACACCCAGGTGGCGTGGCAACGTGGCTCCCACTGTCTCCTGTGCTTCTCTTCTTAAGAAAACACTGGTGGTCTAATTTGAGATCTGTGTTACTCGCTTCTTGCACCACTGTAAATACCTGAGACTGGGTAATTCATAAAGAAAAGAGGTTATATTGGCTCACAGCACTGCAGGCTGTACGGAAAGCATAGCGGCTTCTGTTTCTGCTTCTTGGGAGGCCTCAGGAAACTAACAGTCATAGTGGAAGGTGAAGGGTAAACAGGAACATCTCACAAGGCTGGAGCCGAAGGAGGAGATGGGGGCAGGGGAATTGCCACACATTTTTAAAAGACCAGCTCTTACATGGACTCACTCACCATCATGAGAACAGCACCAAGGGAGAAATCTGCCTCCATGATCCAATCCCCTTTCACCAGGTCCCACCTCCAACTTTGGAGTTTACAATTTGACGTGAGATTTGCGCAGGGACACAGATCCAAACCATATCAAGGTCTTCCTCCTGTTCACTCCATGAACCGTGTCATTCTCATGTCATGTTCCCTAGGGCTGCTGGTCCAGGTGGTCACCTGTACCACCTTGGACACCTGGGCACTTCATGTCAAGCCCCGGACTCTGTTTCACTTTGTCACCTGTCAATGGACACAGGTCTCTGCATGGCAGGTTTAGCCCGGATGCTCCCCAGTACAGAAATACTAGATTCTGGAGGACACCCCTGCACAGAGACCCGAGTCACTGGGACCAGCTGCGTAGATTGCAAAGCTTATGGCAAAATGGAAACACTTTTTAGGATCGGTTCTGAAATGTATTAAGGATTTCAAGATGGTGATGCCTGGCTTTGAACCAAGTGTGAGGCCTACATGCAGAGCCTTGCGTGTCTGCACAGGTTACATTTCCATGGCGCCGGCCCTGACAGCCATGCAGCACAGTCGGAAAGCAACTCTACTCCACTAGGGCAGACCAAGATCAAGGCAGATTGAGTTCCCATCAAGGAATGGAAAAGACTGGGTCAGCCCCAGCTGTGGATACCTAGCCTTGGGAGAAGCACTTGAGTTAAATGGAGATCCTAACCTCTCATTATATTTGCTTATGGTGTTAATATTTAACTCTATATCATGTGCACACGTCCTTTTTTGAAAGAAAGAGAAAAAAAGCATGAACTCATTGCTTGGGATGTTGGCATCTTATTTTTGTCTTCATTTCCAGGTCTAATTATCTACAGTGACTTAGATGGCCAATTAGTTGATGAAATGAATTTGCATCCAGAGCTCAGCGCTCCATCTCTGTAGTCTCGGCTGCCAGGAATGGTAAGAAGAGAAATTTGTTGTAAAATATTCATGCTAATCCCTAACTTGGGATTTTTTAAGGCTAAATTAGGACTTTTTACTCTGAAAATGCTCAGCCATACCTTGCAGCTTCTCAGTGACAATTTTGACCATCACTGCCTCCCCAAGGCAAAGTCATTCTCCCAAAGGAGGTTTAGACTTTGGACAGAAGGAGTTGGAGGCTGCAAGCCATCCAAAATCTCCAAGCCTACTTCTCCCAAGTGGCCAGCTCCCAGTGCTGTGGTCCCTGCATCCTGGCAGCTACCAGTTGGGCATCCCCACACCTTCCTGGTGACAGGTGCCTGCTGACAGGCCAGCACTTTCACAGCACCATTCACCCAGATGTATCCACCTGGACAGACATAAGGTTGAAATGGGCCTGGCAGAGGTAGCAGGCATGCCTCAGAGCAGGAAGCTTGCACCCAAAGGTACAGCGAGCATCCGGCTTTATCCCTGCTGGCTGTGAAATCCTGGCTGGAGGCAGCTTGCTCTAATCAAGCCCCACACAATCCTTTGAGCATCGTGAGTGCTCAGTAGGGATGTGTGTGGGCCAGGATGACTAGCTCAGTTAAATTAAAATATTGGACCAGGTCAAGGCCCATGTGTGATGCTCTGACCCCACAGAACACAGCAAGCTGGGAACCCTTGGACAGGGCTGTCGAACCTTACATATATCTTTCTTCAGAATAAAACACCGTTGTCTTCTCATGGATAAGCTCCTTAAGTATGGATTAATTTTTAGTTATGAATTAATTTTGGCTTTTAAAGGGTTTTTTAAAAGGGTTACTTGAAATATGAATGAAATATTTTTCAAAACCCTTTGTGAGCTTGCTTAGCAATGACTGTCATAGCGGTGATGATAGGAAGCCTCTTCTTATTAAAGATGCACATAAAAGGATGCCATATTTTAATGATCCATGGGAACGTTTGCCATGCAGCTGCATTGCCTTCTGTCCTCTGTGCTTTGATTCACAGGTTCGGGCAAGAGCATCATGGAAACCACGTCCTCCATCCTGATTCACGCACAGTGATGATCTTATGTGTCACTCCTGGCCAGGGCGGTGACAGCGAGGATGCTGCTCAGACATGGTGCCCTTCCCTAGACGCCAGCAGCCTTCAGGGAGGTGCCTGTCTTCCTGAGATGGTTGGCTCCAAAGGGCTGCAGGGAAGAACCAGGATGGCCGTGGCACAGGGGTAAGAGGGAGAGGAAGAGGAAGAGGAAGAGGGGAGGAGAAGGAGGTGGAGAATAAGAGGAGGTGAAGTTAGAGATTCACTTCAGTTTTTGGCTCTCCCTGTCCTGAACATCAGTCAGACCTAGAGCCAAGGGGTAGGGAACCCACTGACATCTGAGTCTATTCACCCAGATGATGGTAAGAGTGTTGCTGCCACTCAGGGAGCCTTACACAGATGTGTATGAAATCCACATTGATGTATAGCAGGAGGGAATGAACCTGGCTCTGTGTTCAGGAGAACCAGAGCACATGGCCAAGGCAGAGTATTTTCAAGGCCCCATATAGGGTAGGGGAGAACCGTGCTTCTGATACCCCATTCCTTTCTCTGGTATTTGCTTAAAATAAACACATGGAGGAGCAGATCAGGGAGTTCTGAAGGGGACAGAGAAGAATGGGTAGAAAGTAGCACGTGGTTTTCTGCATATGGCTAGCCAGCTTTCCCAACACCACTTATTAAATAGGGAATCATTTCCCCATTGCTTTTTTTGGTCAGGTTTGTCAAAGATCAGATGGTTGTAGATGTGTGACATTATTAACGAGGCCTCAGTTCTGTTCCATTGGTCTATATATCTGTTTTGGTACAAGTACCATGCTGTTTTTGTTACTGTAGCCTTGTAGTATAGTTTGAAGTCAGGTAGGGTGATGCCTCCAGCTTTGTTCTTTTTGCTTAAGATTGTCTTGGCTCTATGGGCTGTTTTTGGTTTCAAATGAAATTTAAAGTAGTTTTTTCTAAATATGTGAAGGAAATCAATGGTAGCTTGATGGGAATAGCATTGAATCTACAAATTGCTTTGGGCAGTACAGCCATTTTTATGATATTGATTCTTCCTGTCCATGAGTATGGAATGCTTTTCCATTTGTTTGTGTCCTCTTTTATTTCATTGAGCAGTGGTTTGTAGTTCTCCTTGAAGAGGTCCTTCACATCCCTTGTAAGTTGGATTCCTAGGTATTTTATTCTCCTTGTAGCAATTGTGAATGGCAGTTCACTCATGATTTGGCTCTCTGTTTGTCTATTATTGGTGTGCAGAAATGCTTGTGATTTTTGCACATTGATTTTGTATCCTGAGACTTTGCTGAAGTTGCTTATCAGCTTAAGGAGATTTTGGGCTGAGACGATGGGATTTTCTAAATATACAATCATGTCATCTGCAAACAGAGACAATTTGACTTCCTCTCTTCCTATTTGAATACGCTTTATTTCCTTCTCTTGCCTGATTGCCCTGGCCAGAACGTCAAATACTATGTTGAATAGGAGTGGTGAGACAGGGCATCCTTGTCTTGTGCCGGTTTTCAAAGGGAATGCTTCCAGCTTTTGTCCATTCAGTATGATATTGGCTGTGGGTTTGTCATAAATAGCTCTTATTATTTTGAGATATGCTCCATCAATACCTAGTTTATTGAGAGTTTTTAGCATGAAGAGGTGTTGAATTTTGTCGAAGGCCTTTTCTGCACCTATTGAGATAATCATGTGGTTTTTTTTTTTTTTTTTTTTTTTTTTTTTTTGAGACGGAGTCTCGCTCTGTCGCCCAGGCCGGACTGCGGACTGCAGTGGCACAATCTCGGCTCACTGCAAGCTCCGCTTCCCGGGTTCACGCCATTCTCCTGCCTCAGCCTCCCGAGTAGCTGGGACTACAGGCACCCGCCACCGCGCCCGGCTAATTTTTTGTATTTTTAGTAGAGACGGGGTTTCACCTTGTTAGCCAGGATGGTCTCGATCTCCTGACCTCATGATCCACCCGCCTTGGCCTCCCAAAGTGCTGGGATTACAGGCGTGAGCCACCGCGCCCAGCCAATCATGTGGTTTTTGTCAGTGGTTCTGTTTACGTGATGGATTACATTTATTGATTTGCATATGTTGAACCAGCCTTGCATCCCAGGGATGAAGACAATTTGATTGTGGTGGATTAGCTTTTTGATGTGCTGCTGGATTCGGTTTGCCAGTATTTTATTGAGAATTTTCACATCGATGTTCATCAGGGATATTGGCCTGCAATTTTCTTTTTTTGTTGTGTCCCTGCCGACAACATTGAAGACCTAACTTAGTAGTATGCACCTGTAACAATAGCTGAGTATTGGCCAATCACAGCGGCCATGCTTCAACCACTCATAGACTGCTGAGTGTTCAAACTGTGTTCAAATAAGACAAATGCTGAGCAATAATCAGTCCCACTATTTCTGTACTTCACTTCCGATTTCTGTATGTCACATCCCTTTTTTTGTCTATAAATTTGTTCTGACCACAAGGCACCTCTGGAGTCACTTTGAATCGTCTGTGATTCTGGAGGTTGCCTGGTTCAAAAATCATTTCATTCCTTTTCTTTTTTTCTCAATTAAACTCCATTAAATTTTAAGAAAAAAAAAAGTAGCACCTGGGAGACCTTCTGCTCCGCCCCCCATTAGCCGTGTGATTTCAGCACATTCTTCAACTTCTTTGGGCCTGAGTCCCTAATTTGTCAAATTTGAGGCAAGACTAGCTGACCCTTAAGGTTTCTTTTAGCATTTCTATGAGAGGATCCTGTGATCCCATGAACCAATATTTTAAGATGTGAGATCCAAAGAAACTCATGACAGAGAAGAATTTTAAGAGTGACCGGTTACCAAGGGAGTTTAAGGAATTTTATTCCCTGAAGGCTCCTTAAGAATGAACAGACAACTTTCCTCCTAGTCTCATTTAAGTGCAGTTTTGCCAGAGGGGAGAAGGCTGACCCTGCGGCTTCTGGATTCTGTGAACAGCTTCATCATTCTGTAATTCTGCAACCCCATCTTTTGTGGAGGGTTGATGACCACAGCCGGGAATCTCAGCTGTGTCTCTTCCTTTGCAAATCTGAATTAGGCCACAGATGCTGGCAATAAACACATCAAGAGAACTGGTCCCAGTGCTCCAAAGCCACAAGTTTCACTCCAAGGACATTATTCAGGACATGGAAATTCTCCTCCCTAGTGTGCAATTTCAGGATGAGTGACTGGCCCTTAATAATGAAGCTGATCCTACAACTTATGTTATACGTTCATATTAAGGATGCACATTTTGACTGTGTTTCTGTGCTGCTTGTCAGTTACTACGTAAATTATTTAACACCTTCTTAAAAACTGACTATGGATCAATATTAACAAATTGAAGTCACTTTAATTATAATAGGTGATACGGTTTGAATATTCATCCCCTCCAAATCTCATGTTGAAAAATGTGATCCCCAGTGTTGGAGGTGGAGCCTGATGGGAGAGGTTGTGTTCATGATGGTGAATCCCTCATGAATGGCTTGGCGTCCTTCCCATAGGAAAGAGTTCTTGCTCTATTCATTTTTGCAAAGGCTGGTTGTAGGATAAAACCTGGCACTTCCCTCCCCTCTCTCTTCCTTCTTCTCTCCCCCCATGACACCTGCTCCTCCTTCACCTTGCATCATGAGTGGAAGCTTCCTGAATCCCTCACCAGAAGCAGACGCTGATGCCATGCTTCTTGTATATCCTGCTGAACTGTGAGCCAAATAAGTCTCTTTTTTTTTTCAATAAATCACCCGCCTTGTGTATTCCTTTATAGCAACACGAACAGACTAAGGCAACAGCTACATTTACTACTTTGAAAACTACTGCAAAAAAAAAAATCTTAGTTCAAAGGTCTTAACCTTTAAGTTTTACGAGGTTGGATGTTGGCATATACATCTTCTGTTAAACAAACAACCAACCCAAATACATATTTGAGCATTCAGTGTTTTACTTGGTGAGCTTTTATTTTTCCTCTTAATGTAGAAAATGTTTGCCAATTAGAAGGGTGAACCAGCATAGAGAAGCTCAGGGGGAAAATGAAGAAAATATACATCTGAATTCCTTGCCCTCATGAGTCACTGTTCAGCCATCACATGTTGAGACTACATCTCAGACCCTCTCTGTGGAGAGACAGGGAGGAAGGCATGGTCCTGGGGCTCCAGTGACTGCATTTGGGAGGCAAGGGGGTAGTAAGTGCCACTAGCAAAGCAACTCAGGACCACAATTTCACTGTAAGGATAGAAAAGTCTTCACATTTACCATTTACCATTTACCAGCTGGATTGCCTTATGAATAATGATAAATCTGTCATGTTCTCAAGGAATCTCAATCCTCATTCCCTCTTCCTAACTACCTTGTCTGAGAGCATTATCTTGTTCATTGAAAAGCCAGACCTCGTTGAGAGCCCAGTGTTCCTCCCTGCAAGGTCCGCTAAAGCACCTCACAGCACTTTTCAAAACTCCACTGTAGAGTACTCATCCGAGGAAACACCAGTTCAGCATGCACAGTGGAGGATACCCGTGCATAGGAGCACATGCTCGTCATGCTAATATCATCCTTAGCCACTAGGCTTTGGGTGGCTGGGGACAGCTGGAAATGGGTTATTGTAATCACACTGGGTCACAGCGTGACTTTAGAAACTAATAATACTTTAGTTTATTAGAAGTAAAGTAGTTTCTAAAGTAATTAGTTTCTAATTACTTTAGAAACTAATACTATTTTATTTCTACAAATGATGAGGCAGGTGCCAAAGTCTCCAAGTCACTAAAGGAATCAACCTGTGTTTAAACCCAGGAGAACCAGAAGGAGCAGAACATGACTCAAAATGGAGCAATAGTTTTCCAGAGGACAACAAGTATCCCCATCTGTGCAGAATTACTCAAAGCACAGGGTCAGAGTCATGCCCAGCTCAGCTCACTCTATGACAAATGAAAATGTTTTTGATATAAACATGTGATACCGGTGGGGTGCGGTGGCTCACTCCTGTAATCCCAGCATTTGGGGAGGCCAAGATGGGTGGATCACCTGAGGTCAGGAGTTCGAGACCAGCCTGGCCAACATGGTGAAACCCTGTCTCTACTAAAAATACAAAAATTAGCCAGGCGTGGTGGCATGTGCCTGTAATCCCAGCTACTAGGGAGGCTGAGGCAGGAGAATAGCTTGAACCTGGGAGGCGGAGGTTGCAGTGAGCTGAGATCATGACATTGCACTCCTGCCTGGGCGACAGAGTGAGACACCATCTCAAAAAACAAAACAAAATATTTGATACGGTGCAGATGTGGAGCAACAGGCACTTGTTCATTGCTGGTGGAATGCAAAATGGAGCAGCCACCTTGGAAGACACCTGGCTCTTGCTTACGAAAGTAAACAGAGTCTTACCACGTGATCCAGCAGTGATGCTCCTTGGTATTTACCCAAATGAGCTGAAAACTTGTGTCCACACAAACATCTGCACACAGATGTTTACAGCAGCTTTATTCATAATGGACGAAACTTGGAAGCAACCAGGATGTCCTTCAGTAGGTGAGCAGATAAACAAACTGGCACATCCAGGCAATGGACTATTATCCAGTGATAAAGAGAAATGAGCTATCAATCCGTGAAAAGCCATGGCAGAAGCTTAAACACTTGTTACTACGTGAAAGAAGTCAGCCTGAAAGGCCACAGACTGCATGTTTCCAACTCTATGCCATTCTGGAAAAGGCAAAACTGTGGAGATAGTAAAAGGATCAGTGGTTACCAGGGGCTTGGCTGGGGGGAGAAAGTGAGAGATTAATAGGTGCAGCACAGAGGATTTTTAGGGCAGTGAAACCACTCTGTAGGATACTATGATGGTGGATACCTGTCTTTATGCATTTATCAAAACCCACAGAATGTCCACACACATGATGAAGCTGAATGTAATCTGTGGACTTTAGTTAATAATAATGTGTCACCACTGTCTCATCAGTAGTAACAAATGTAGCACCAATGCAAAATGTTAGCAGTAGAGGAAACCATGGGGAATGGTGCTGAGGGATAGACAGGAACTCTGTACTTTTTGCTAAATGTTTCTATAAACCTAAAACTGCTCCAACAATAGTCTATCAATTTAAACATATTTTTAAAAGCTTATCTAAGAAGTCATTGTGGGAAGAAGTAAGATCATTGGTGGATCTCTTTATACTTGTTCTGTTTTTTTTTTTTTTCTATTTTATGATTTAATTTCTTTTGGAGGGTGGGGAGGAGAGTACCATGCTTGTATCTCTGTGCTAAGGGCCTCTAAAGGTTAACAAACACATCTGTCTCCAGCACAGGAGAAACGAAGTGGTCTTTCTTCACACATAATAACATTGCAGTGTTTCCCGAGTCCTCTAGCAAGGGCTTTTCACCAGTTTGACAGGTTATTACCAGAATATAACAATGGCAGGATTCATTTCTCCCTCTGAGTAATGAAAGCCCCAGATCCCAGCAATCCCAAAGAGCTGGGGTAGAGGAGGTTAAGGCAAAGGTCATCCGGGGATTTGTCCTGATCCATGAGGGCACCATTCCTAACCCCAGGCTGCAGGCTCCCAGCAGGGGTTAGAGGAGGGATCGGCATAGAACTGGCTTTGTTATATATTTGGGCTGAGGGTGCCAGGGCCTCTCAACCATTCCATGTGTCCCACCTCTCTTTGGAGAACATATTTTTCCACATGAAAAATAGGTTAACGTGAACCTTGACAGCAGTCCCCAGAGAGCTAGTCCCCCGACTTCAGGAAGGTGAGAAACCCACAGTGGAGGAGGAGCTTCCCCTGGAGAAGGGGAGAGAAGCCATGTCACTTGGGAGCAAAGACACCTTTCTCCTGCATCTCCAGCTTCCTGAGTTTCTAGTATCTGCCTTTGTCCCTCGATTCTTTTTTTATTGTGGCAAGATACACCTAACATAAAATCCATCATTTAACCGTCTTAAGCGCACAGTTCAGTGCTATTAAATACTCTCTTCTTGCTGTGCAGGCATCACCATCGTCCAGCCACAGAATTCTTTTGATTTAGCAAAACTGAAACTTTGTACCTATTGAATACGAACTCCCCATTTCCTTCTGCCTCCATTCCCTGGCCATTACCTTTCTATTTTCTGTCTCTAGGAATGTGATTACTCCAGGGACCCGGTAGAAGTGGAGTCATACGGTATTTGTCCTTTTGTGACTGGCTCATTTCACTTAACATAATGCCCGCAAGGTTCATCCATGCTGTAGCATGTGACAAGATGCCCTTCCTTTTTCAAGGCTGAATAATATTCCTTTTTGTTTATAGACCACATTTTGTTTATTCATTCACCTGTTGAGGGATAACTGTGTTGCTTCTGCCTTTTGGCTATCGTAGAGAATGCTGCCACGAACACAGGTGTACAACTATCTCTTTGAGACCCTGATTTCAATGCTTTTGAATATATATACCCAGAAATAGAATTGCTAAATCGTATGGTAATTCTATTTTTTATTTGTTGAGGAACTGCCACACTGTTTCCCATAGCGACTGTACCATTTTACATTCCCAACAATAATGCACAAAGGTTTGAGCATCCTCACCCACACTGGTTGTTTTCTGTTTTTTGATAGTAACTGTCCTAATGGGTGTGAGGTGTCATCTCCATGCAGCTTTGCTTTGCATTTGCCTAATGATTAATGATGTTGAGCATCTTGGCAAATGTTTGTTGGCCATTTGTCCGTCTTTTTTGGACCTTCCTTGCGTTTAGAATGAAGAGCTGTCATTATCCTAAGCAAACGAACGCAGGCACAGAAAACCAAATACTGCAGGTTCTCACTTATAAGTGGAAGCTAAACATAGAGTATACATGGACACAAAGAAGGAACAACAGGCATAGGGGCATACTTGTGGGTGGAGGGTGGGAGGAGGGCAAGGATCAAAAAACTACCTATCGGGTTCTATGCTTATTACCCAGGTGACAAAATACCTTGTACACCAGCCCCCACCCCCCTACCTCGCCAACACTCAATTTACTTATATAGCAAACCTGCACGAGTACACCTGAACCTAAAATACAAGTTAAAAAATAAAACAAAATAAAAGGAAGAGCTGTACAGGGTCCCGGGGGATCAGCTGCCCAGCGCCTTCTCCAGCCTCGATGCTGCGGTGTGTTGGGCTCAGTCTGGGCTGCTATAGGCCCTCGAGGTCTTCGTCTTCCTCGTTTGAGCATGGTCCTTCAGTTTCACGAACCTCCACTTACCCGTCTTACCCCTGCCTCCAGGGACAACGTAAGGACAGGTGCTGGGTTCCGCCCACTGCACCTTCTCAGAGCCTCAAACCACTCCTGGCCCACAATACACAGCCAACAAGTGAATCTGCTTGGATTTGACCCAAGTCTTTAGCACTGGGAGTCACAGTGCCATGCTGAAAGTCAATTCTCTATTCTCTCTTCTGGGATACCAATAAGCCCAGAAACTCCATTTTCTCTTCTTCATTCCTGTGATTATATTTTACAGTACTTTCCAGCTTTGCTTTCTCTCTCTTCCTCTCTCTGTATATTCTGTTCAGCCCAGGATATTCTGAGCTCATGGTGCTAGAAGGGACACCTCTTTAGCTCCTCTGAAGAGTCTGGGACCATCTTGTACTTTTCATCCACACTGCGTCTTCTCTCACACCCCTCTGCGCTACACTGAGAGCCTCTCTTCCCATTCTCACAGACCAGTGATTGATAAAAACCATGGGAGGACCTAGCCAAATTCCTCTCATTAATGACAACTAATCAGGTGGTAGCTAGCAGCCCAGATAACCTGAGAAAGGTGCCCTTTCTCTCTTCTTCACAGCACACTCTTATCTTTCTATATTTTCCTCTTGGAGAAGGAATGAACACTGACCCACCACTCCCCAACTGCCAAAAAGATCCAGGTGCATTTGTATTGAATATTCAACTCCAGGCTTACTGACACAGTCTAGTTAAATCCAAACCCTACATTATTGTTCTTCTTATGTTTTCAGAGATTACATTTAGAGACACTTGGTAGGCACAGGAAATATCACCCACACTTTGAAGTACATTTTGTATAGACAAGCTATAAGTTATCTTCACTTTTTAAAAAATCTATGGAACCAATACCTGCCTTGCAGGGTCATTGTAAGAATTAACTTAAATCACAAATTTAATGTCCCCAGCATATTAATAGAACCGCAGCAAATATTTTTATGCAAGTCGAATTTTATTTGGTAACTCTGAAAATGACAATAGCTAACATTGAATAGCCCATTACAGTTTAATGGGGTCTTTCTCAAGCTCTACCTTATTTAATCTCCTTAGCAATCATATGAGGCAGTTACTGTGCCACTAGAAAGAATGCTAATTGCAAATCATCTTGCGGTTAGAGATATTTCCATGTCAGACAGTGTCTGCCAGTAGAATTTTAAGCTTTTCAAGCTGATGTTCTCTTTTTACCCAGAGCAGAGATCTTGGGTGATGTCGCCTGAATGAGCCTTTCCGATATACTTACTGCCAAAGGCATCCAACTCTCCATATCTTTGTCTTCCCATTATCCATCTGTGTGCTAGCAAAGCTGCGTTTTGTCTGAGGTTTTGTATGTTTGCCTCTTTCCTCCTTCCTCTTCTTCCTCCCTCCTCTTTGGCAACAGCAGTTTCTCCTTGGCACTGTTCTTCTCCCTACTTACATCGGCTCCTGGAGCTATGGAAAAGAAATTAGTTGACTAACCTACCACACAAATTTAGGTAGCTTATCTTTTCTTGAGAGAGAACAGAAAAATTTATTTGATCACATGACATTAATTCACAGTTCAGATTCCTGGAGTAGGGGTCTTTAGGGACACACCAGAGAGATAAATCTTTGCAGCAAGAGTTTATAATAAATACAAATGCTACTAGAAAATTGCAAGATATTTTGACCAAGCTCCTACTCTGAAAGAAAAGACTAGAAGTAAACAAACTTTTCAATCCTGGAGCAAGTGTGGGACAAGCAGGAGTCAAGGTGACAAGGCCTTGCCAAGGCTTCTGCAGGAAGAAATCTGTAGGTACCTGGAAACCCTGCAGAACTCTTCTGACAATTTCCTTCTTTATAGGACCTTCACATTGAAATGTGGATGTATAGTCCTTGTTTTGCCAGAACAGACAAGAAAATAGTGCAAGGCTGGTCAGAGTTGACTTCACTGCCTTGTGGACAAAGGAAATCATGCAACACGGACTCAACTCAAAAAGCCTCGGAGAATTCTAGAATCCTTTGACAGAATGGAAACCTCAACTAGCAAAGTGAGCTAATGGAAGCACTGATTCTATTGCTAACAGATAATTTTAAACCAGTGATTTTCAGCTCATTGGCCTCAAAATCAAATACTGACACCAAATAACAGAGACGATTTCACAATTCTGATTTCTTATTCAAGAACAATAGCAGCAGTCTTCTCGTTGAAAGCAGGATAGGTGCCTAGTACTGCCTCCTTAAGAGATGGAGGTGGGGAGGGGCATAGGTTTTTGTTTGGCTTTGCTTCGTTATCATTGTGTGTGTGTATGTTTGTGTGTGTGTGTGTGTGTGTGTGTGTGTGTGTGTGTGTGTGTTTTAAAAGAAGCTTATTTCTAACCAAGCAAGCACACAGGTGGACTCTAGAAAGCCCACAACATAGTCTTTCACTTTATGCCCTACCTACTTTTACCCAACTTATACACCACCCACAGTTGGGTGGGGTTTTCCTAACACATCTTGCCCCTATTACCCAATGGGCAATAGGTCTTTGATGGGCAATAGATCTGAATCTTTGATGCAGGCTTTCTGGAGAGCCATCTTAGACTAAAGAAGTAAAGATAGTCTTTTCATTGGACCATCCCTCCTCCTGTCATATCTTCCACACAGAGCTCTATATCCTCATCTTAGCACACTTCCTCCTAAAGGTTGTTCTGTCCCTTCCTTTTCCTTGAGGTAACGACAAATCACAACCTGCTAAAGTTATTAAAACTACAGGATCTCCTTTGAGAGCTGATGACAGCTTGTCCTGCCAAGCATCAGTTAAATGCTTAAGCAACATCTCTGTAAAGTAGCTTGCAATTCTTTTGGGAGCATTTTGGATACAGAGAGTGTGGACAACTTAGCCCTGATATTTTTTGGGAAGTGGACAACTTGCAGAATAAGGTGCCTAAAATTTGACCTGGATTCTTTCTTCCATTTGCATCCATCCATATGAATTTCCTAGGAAGGTAGGACTTAAAGGTGATTCATCATTCTAATTACCATGTGGCCCCAGTGGGTTATGAACCACTAAACTAAAGTCTTTATAAAGCACATGTTCTTCTCTATCTTTCTACTCAGGGACAATGCATCTTGGGATTCACTTTGACAAAGCAGAGTGAACATGTCCAGGACTCCAGAACACTTAATTGATTTTTGAGTGTCAAACCAACCTTGCATACCTGAGATACGTCACACTTGGTCATGGTGTATCATCCTTTTTATACATTGCTAGGTTTGGTTTGCTAGCATTTTGTTGAAGGATTTTACATTTATATTAATAAGAAACATTGGTCTGTAGTTTTCTCTTCTTGTGATATCTTTGTATGGTTTTGGTACCAGATTGAGGTGGGATCTACTTCCAGCCTTGCTCCCCAAAACTGATTTTAAATTCAGTATCTAAAATACATTCTAAATGTAAATCAAGTCGATCATGTTCTGACCCTACCTCCAATGGCTTCCCATTGCATGCACCATGCAGAGCACTCACCAAGGTCTCCAGTGCCTACCTCTTGACCTTCACGTCTTGATATCTCTCTCTTGCTCCTTTGACTGTAGCACACTGGTCTTTTTGAGGTTCTGTCAATCTGTCATGCTACTTTTCTCCTTAGGGCCTCTATGCTTCCAGTTTCCCTTGTCTGGAATGCCATGAATGGCCCCTTCTGATCATGCAGGCCTGTAGGCAAACATCAGTTACTTAAAGGCCTTCTGCAAAGACCGCACCTAAAATAACCTCTATTCCATGGTCACTCTTTGCCCATTACCCTGCTTAATTTGTTTCAGCACTTATATTCTGATATCACATTATTTGTTCACTTATGTATGGCTTGCCTCCCCGACTACAATGTAAATTCCATGAAAGTGTGGATTTTGTCCTATTCCGTAATGGATCACCAGTACCTAAGACTGTGAGGGATGCTTGGTAAATGCTCATAAATGTTTCTTGAATGAATGAAGTGCACAAAGATTTCTGTACAAGGATATTCATCAAAGCATTATTTATAATAGTAACATATTTACAACTACATAAATGTCCAACAGTAGAGGAATTGCCAAATAAGTTCAAATATCCATAGAATGGAACAAGATGTAGTCATTTAAAATAATGTTTTACATTTTCTAATGACATGAAAAATTTGTATAATATAATATTGTGTGAAAAATATGTTACATCTCTACATAATTTGAGCCTAATTATGTTTTATAATTATGTGTATAAAATAAAAGACGAGCATCAAAATCTTAACAGTGACGGTCTTGGGTAGAGAGTTATGGGTGATTTCAATGTTTCCTTTATACTTTTTTGTATGTTCTAAATTTTCCCTGACATGCACACATTATTTTATGATAAAATTCTTTTAAAATTATTATTGCTCTATAACTTACATATAGCCAGTAGATATATAGTACCTGCATATCATTTTAGAGCATATAAATTTTCAAGCAAGAAGATAAACTCTCTCCTAAGCTGAAGTATTCCTTCTAGTAATCTTTCAAGTAGAACTTTCTACAGTGGTTCTGATTATATAATGGATTGATGGTTTTCTTGTGCTTCTTTTTGCCTGAAGAGACCAGGGACGAGGTTTGGTTTGCTCTCTTTGTAATGCCAACTGATCCCTGATGCCCATGATCCACTTAGCCCTACAGATTGTCACTCCCTGATGGGAGACCACATCCCCTGCGTCTTTCTCCATCCTGTGGAATCTACCATGCATCTCGCCCCGGCTCCATGTTGATGACACTGATCACACAAAGCACAGCCCTCCTTTCACTGGCCTGTGCTCCGTGGCTTCTACCCACTCACAGTAGGACTGACAGGCAGCCTTCCCCTCAGATCTCACGGCTTCAGGAACTCCCAACAGGCAAGGTCTTCTGTAGGATGCTAGGAGTCATGCTAATGACCCCATATGCTCTTAGAGAAAAGAGGGAGCTTCCTCAATGTACGGCTGGTGAGAAGAGAAGGCCCTGCCTGTATACACAGTCTTTCCTCCTCCCTTCCCTTCTCTGGTGTGGATGATGGATCTTTCCAATTCCAGACTAGCTCTTCCTTCCCATGTGCCTGGTGCCATTGGCTGCAGTGGAGTCAGCTCCCCACCAGTTGGCAAGGCTGACTGGGCCTCGCTTCATGAAGGACCTCATCTCTAGAGAAAGAACTATGCTCTGTCCTGCCAAAAGGTGCCAGCCTGCTCTATGGGATGGCTCCAACATCCCAAGGAAACCCCTGTGGGGTGGGGAATATCAGCCTGTCTGCACTATTCTGAAGGCACAGAAATATTCCAAGACTTGGGCTGAACCTGAGTTTCCCAATCCAGGTTGTGGATGTAAATAGAAGCTGAAGCGGCCAAGAAAATCTCACAGGCAAGGCTCGATCGCTCACTCACCGGCCCAGAATGTGTCCTGGCATAACCATTGCCAGGCCCCTGGAATCCTGAAGAGTTTAAAGAATTCCAGGAGGCAGCCACATAACAGAGATGCAGAATAAACTCCAAATCAGCCACCTCCGAAGGGATGAGGGTGCTGCTTCCAAGGCCCTCAACCCCAGCTCCCAGAAGGATAGGGGGTTTTTATGTTTTCTTCTCAGACTCCTTCCTTAAATTGTCTGTAAAACTAAAGCAGCCGAGACATTTTCTCTTAAATGAGTTAAATGGGCCAACATTAATAATAATCACTAATATTCGTTCAGCACCTTTTTCTACTAGGCATTGTGATAAGCTCTTTCTACATCCCCCTGTAGCTCAGTTAGAGCCAAAGTCTTCCATAGAACCTAAGAGCCCATGAGACGGTCCCTACCCCTCTGCCTCCTGACCTCCTCCCCAGTCCTTGTCGTCCTCGGTCCTCAGACACACAGATCAGCTCCTCCTTCAGGGCCTTAGCACTTGGGCTGGCCTCTGCCTGAACAGCTCCTCCCAAATTCTCAATCCACACAGCTCCCTCTCACCACCTCCGGGCCTCCCCATGGACACCTACTCCTTAGAGGAGTGTTTCTTGGCCTTGGGCATAAAATCGTCCCGCCAACCCTGTTGTTTTGTGGGGTATTGATCATCTTCTGACACCTATTGATGTGTGCCCTGGAAAGGTGAGGGTTTGTCTTTTTTATGCCAAGTTTCTATATTTAAAACCGTGGCTGTCCAAAGAGGATATACAGAAGGCCAATAAGCACATGAAAAGATGCTCAGTGCCACTCATCATCAGAGAAATGCAAATCAAAACCTCAATGAGACACTACCCCACCCACTAGGATGGCTATAATAAAACAAAACAAAAACCTGAAAATAACAAGTGTTGGCAAAGATGTGGATAAATTTGAATCTTTGTGCACTCTTGGTGGGACAGTACAATGTGCCACCACCATGGAAAATAATATGGAGGTTCCTAAAAAATTCAGCATGGATCCACCAAATGCAGCAATCCCACTTCTGGGTATACGTCTGAAAGCATTGGAAGCAGAGTCTGAGAGAGATGTTTGTACACCTATGTTCACAGCAGCATTATTTATAATAGTCAGACTTTAGCAGCAGTCCAAGGGCCCATCAGCAGATGAATGGCTGAGCAAGATGTCTTAAGTACACACAACGGAATACTCTGCAGCCTAAAAAGGAGGGAAATCTTGTGACATGCTGCCACATGGATAGACCTTGAGGACACTAAGCTGAGTGAAATGAGCCAGCCACAAAAAGACACACACTGTATGATTCCACTTACATGCGCTATCTAAAGTAGCCAAGGCAGGGCGCATGGCGCCTGCCTGTTATCCCAGCACTTTGGGAGGCCGAGACAGGAGGATTGCTTAAGCCCAGGAGTCTGAGACCAGCTTGAGCAACAAAGTGAGATCCCTGCCTCTATAAAAAATGGAAAAAAAAAATATTAGCCAGGCATGGTGGCATGTGCCTGTAGTCCCAGCTACTCAGGAAGTTGAGCTAGGAGGATCACTTGAGCCTGGGCAGTAGAGGCCACAGTGAGCTATGATCGCATCGCTGCGCTCCAGTTGGGGAAACAGAGTGAGACTCTGTCTCAGAAAACCCCCAAAACAATACATAAATAAATAAAGTAGTAGTAGTCAAGTATATAGATACGGAAAGCAGAAAGGTGGTTGTCAGGGGCTGTGGGGAAAGGAGAAAAGGAAATTGTCGCTCAGTGGGTATAAAGTTTCCTTTTTGCAGGATGAAAATTTTCTGGAGATGTGCTGGGGTGCACTTGGTACCTGGATCCTGGATCATGGTGGATGAGAAGTGTCCTCCAAGTCACCTTCCTACTGCAATGTGGTGCTTCTGGTCTGGAAGAGAGATGACCCTGAGTCCCTCCCTATGTCCACGCCTAGGCCCCCTCCAGGGGTGGAGAGTGACAACAGAACAAAGTCCTCTCCCACTGAGGCACACCACTCCTGTTCCAGGGAAGGGAATATAGGGCTTCAGGGCAGGGAAGGGAAATGGACAGGGCCGAGGATACCAAGGGGCAGTGAGCTGGGAGCCCGGAACCCATCCCTCATGAGAAGAGAAATGGTGACACCGGAAGCGAGCAGGCCCAGGACCCTGAACCGCACTCCATTGTCCCATCAGACTTTACTCACAAAACACTAATTCAGAGAGAAAATGATCTAGAAGTTTAAGACAGTGATCCCAGAGTGTCAAACGGCAAGCAGGGGCTCTTCTGGGTGGGACCCTGAGCAATGACCCCAGTCTCATATCTATGAAGCCAGCCCTGTGTGGGGGATGCTAAGAATCTCTGAAGGGTATTTGCTGGACATTAAGACTTTTCTGACCACCCCAGACCTGGCTAGAATCCTAGCCAGGGCAGGAACCTGGTCATTTGTGTCACAGAGCCCCAGTAATTCTCATGACTGGACAACTTTGGGAAGCACAGCCCACATGCCTGCTTCCTTGCCGAGGGAGTGGCAGGAAATACCGCCTGTGCCTAGGCAATCATTCTGTTATGTTTGTGACCCTGACCCTTACAGTCTGATTAGACCAGAGACAGGTACATGGTTCAAGAACAGATAACCTATAGGCTGGCTGACACCCTATTATGTAGCTTCACACAAAAAAGCTCTGCCAAACAGAAGCAGTGGCGATTGTTCACTCCAATTAGAGTGGTTTTTATCAAGATTGCAAACTGAAACTGGGAGCAGATGGAGAAGGACAGACAGACACACACACACACACATACACACACAGACACACACAGAGAGAGAGAGAGGAATTAGCTGAGTCATGTTGATGATAGAGCAACAGGGTCAGGATGAGTAGACATCCCCTCGTGAGAAGACATTCTCCAGACCTCTTGGCTGGTAGTTCAGCCATTGGGCTCCTAGGACCCTAGGACCATTGCTCAGAGCCTAACGTGATTTGTTCTCTTGGCAAAATGGCCTGATGTCAAGGCCATGCCATCCTTATTTTCAAGAGTTTTCTTGCCTCTTGTGATATAACCTGAGTGATTTTATTCTTGCAACAAGAAAGGATCATTTTCATTTGTCAGATGAGAAAACTGAGGTTCAGGTTGCTTAGGTAACAGGCATGACGTCATGAAGATACGCTGATGCCAAAGGTCAGTGTGGGCTGCCTCCTGAAAGATGGCAATACTTAGAATGTTGATCACTGGTGGGGGAGGAGGGGTGCAAAATGAGAGGCAGAGCAGAAAAGAGGTCCCTGAATGTCACTGGTGCTCCTACCTGAGGCCAGAAGCAGATCAATACCCTAGCTTCACCTGCATCCGGGTCAGATTGGCACAGGCGACAGGGCTCCTTCTTCTCTGACACTGTTTGCTGGCTGCAAGCCTCATCTCAGCCTCCTGGGGTGCTGTACGGATGTTATAATAGCCTGAGGCAATGACAGCTGCAGTCCTGGTGAAATAGCTGAGAAGGAATTTGCTTGTTCCTTTCTGGTGATCAAAAGAGAGAGAAGGCAGTCCCCCAGGCTGAGACAGTGGGTGGGGACCCACGTTGTGGCACCTCCCAAACAGGCCGAAGGGGAGAGAGCCAGCATTTTCTATGGGGCAAAGTCTTGTACACCCTTTCCTTGCTGCTCCAACTTTAATCGCCTTTATGGTTAATGCACACAGATGCCCAGGATCTTTGCAGAATTATTCATTCTCTGCAACTTTCCTCCTGGGGGTTGGCAGGAACTGCTTGGTTTGATTTTTATAACATTCTTAACTGTAAATGCTGTGGCCCAGGCTTCAGCAATGGAGTGGGAAGCTTGGGAAGTGATTGGTGAAATTTCTGACATAGAGCCCAGTGGGCTTGTCTTAAGACAGGATTCCTGTCAATTTCTTTGAATATCCATTCAGGGAGAGTCAACTCAGATGGAGGAGAAACACTCCTCCTGTTCCCATCTGTCATTTTTGCAAGATGTTTGTTTGTCCTAACTAATGGCTCACCTCGGGCCATCAGACATTTGTTTTTAATTTTCCTCCTTGGATTGAACCTGTTTTAGAAAACAGATTGTATGGAATATTCCAGAAGTTCACTTTTGTTCCAATAAACCAAAATATTCAGTCTATAAGGGATAACGTTTAAAAGATTCAATGCCCTTGGGAAAAAAAGTTGCTGAGTCAGAACTTGCAGTCTTTAAAATTTGTCTTAGGCTGCCTTTGCAGACTGAGTGACAGCATTTTCCTTGTCATAAGTCTCAGATTTCTAGGACAGAGGTAAAGGGATATGACTAAGAAAGGAGACTGCTCATCACTTTTTAATTCACAAGAATGAGCACAGAGTTTCCATTTCCGCTGGCTAAATTGAGTATGTCACTGGGGAGCATATCATGACTTGGTTGCATGGGGCTGCAAGAAGTAGCTTAATTCGGCCTCACCCACCAAGGCAGAAGGCCTGTCCTGCTCACTGCCTCAATTCCACTGAGTAGAGGACCTCCTTCAGCTGCTCAAGGGCCCAGCAGGTTGGAGGTTCCCCAGAAGTCCCCGCTGTTCCTCCAAGTGTGAGGCACAAGTTCCAAGTGAAAGACAGACAGAGGGTTTGTAAGCAGTGGGCCCCTGTGCTGTGATGGGCATGACTATCTGGGAAATAGAGCTTCCCTGTCCACACTTGCCAACCAGTCTCCTCTTGGCTGTAGTATTAAGGACAGCAAATGATCGTTGTTCAGCCAAAAGTTCTAATAGCCTGGAAGGTAGGGTACACTGACTTCCCAAGTCCCTGGCCAAGTCCTTTCTCAGCAATTTAAACCCAAATTTAAAACCAGGCCAAAATTTTGATCACTCAGCCGAACTGTACCTGATGTCTGTAGACTTTTTGAAGGTCTACTTCAACCAGTTTGTTGCAATAGTGGTGAAGTCTAAAATGCAATTGAGGGCCTTTCATGCATCATTGTCCTGGTGTAAATGTTAATAGCACTCACAAACTGTCCCACTTTTGATGACAAATTAAGTGGCTCCTCCAAGAGATGAAAGAGGATAGAAACCATAGGGTTTCTAAACCACCTTGCATGAAGGAAAAGACACTCCTTCACATAATCACCTCACCATTGCCACCATCACCATCATCACCACTACCATGACCATGACCACCATCACCATCATGATCAGCACAACCATCACCATCATCACCATTCACCATCATCACCATCACCACCATCATCACCACCACCATTACCATCAACTCACCATCGTCTTCACCATTATCATCATCACCATGGTCACTAACCCTCCTTACATTCAATGCAGTTTAGAAGGTGTTATCTGGTATTCTGACCTGATTTTATCTTTACAACATGCTGTAGGCAAGACAGCAGGGACAATTATGCCATTTGACAGGAGGGAAGGCTAAAACTCAGAGAGACGAAGCTACTTCCCTGCTCAATCTAGACCTCAAAGAGGTTTTCCCAGGGTGTGGCTCTTGCCCTCATGCTAGAAAGTGTTTGTCAGGCTAACAGTGAGGAGAGAGAGAGACAGCACGCGTGTGTGTGGCCTGTGTGCTCAAGCAGGTGTTTGAGGAGGAGAAACACATTCCAAGCAAAGGGAAGAGGTTGGCAACATAAGCCAATACTGTGCACTTTCAGATAACTGCTGTTTCTGCCTGGCCACTCCTTCTGAAGTCCTCTCGGGTCATGTGGCATCCTCTTCAAGCCCTGTCATGGTCTCTGTTCCCAGAGAAGGCAGAGTAGACTCTGCTTAGCATGGCCCCAGCGGCCCTTCCCCATCTGGCCCTGCTGCCTTCCTGGCCCCATTCAGTCTTCCCCAACCCCCTTCTTTAAAGCCTCTGTAACGCCTCTCACTGCTCCTTGAGCTGCTCTTAAACCCACAAGGGCTGTTTTCCTGCACATTATGCCTCAGCTCTTGCCTCCTCCTAAATGCCTTGCAAATCCCTTCCTGCTTGTCTGCCACCTCCTCCATGAGGCTTTGCTGTCAAGTCCTCCTCGGTGCCCTGCTGCACCCTGAGAATGCTTCCATTCTGACTGTGCTTGTCCTTTGTGTGCTGCAGCAGGGCTGTCAGCCTGAGCTGTCCCCTCAGCTGACTGTTTTCCAGGACCTGACATGAAGGAGCAGTCTTGGGAAAGGGCGGGGCTGTCTCTGCCTCGGGTGCTAAGGGCCACCCTGGGATAAGGCTCATGCTGTTTCCTCTGCTGGGGATGAGCCTAACCTCCACTGACAGGGAAAATGGGTGGACTTCCTATAGCTGCCTTTGGGTGGAGGAGAGGCCAAAGAGCCTATAGGAAGAGAATTTCCTTTAAGGGGAAAGGAGCCAGGCAGGATGACCTGGACCCACTGACAGCATTTTGGTTGTCAATAGGAAGGAGAGATTCTGAAAACAGCATCCTGGAAGTTAACTGAGCCCTCAAGGGCTCCTCCTGAACCAGTATCCTGGAGGAAGAGGACCACATGTGCAACCGAGTGAGCGGTGTGGTTGGATTAGTCTGCTGAGGCTGCCACAGAGTACTGCAAACTGGGTGACTTGAACAACATCCATTCATTATCTCGCAGTTCTGGAGACTCAAGTCCAACTTTAAGGTGTCTCCAGGGTTGGTTCCTTCTGAGGCTGTGAGGGAGGGTCTGTTCCAGGGCTTTCCTTGGCATGTGACAACTGTCTTCTCCCTGGGTCTCTTTACATCCGCTTTCTTCTATCCCGGTGTGTCTCTGTATCCAAATTTCTAGACACAGAGACAGATGGGGATAGGACCCTAGTCATATTGGATTTGGGCCCACCCTACTCTGGGATGACTTCTTCCTAGCTGAGATGATTGTAACTGCAATGACCCTCTAACGAAATACGGTCACATTCTGAGGTCCTGGGGGCTAGGACTGCCACATATGAATTTTAAGGCAGCATAATTCAGCCCATAACAATCACTGAACTCTGTGACATACTGGGACCCCAACAGCGCTTCTCCAATGCGGTGTACTATGATGGGGTGTATACAGGCACCACCACATCCGGCTAACACACCACTCCAGGCCATCAGGCAGCCCAGGCACAAGTAGCCTCCAGGAGAAAGCCGCTGAATCACGAGGACTGGCAAGGCCCCTGCTGTGCCCTGCAAAATGGCTCTTACTGGCCCTGAGCCATAGCAGGGACCTTGGTGCCAGGAACACAAGCCTAGCAGAGTGACAACAGGACCACACCTGCCCCATCCCTTAGCTTGGAAGTGGATGTGTTAGGAACCTCACGTGGACTCCCAGAGATTCTTGGCAGGGGGAGAGATCTTTGCAGAGGCAGAAAGGAGCCAGCATCAGGGCTATTTACAACATGCCTCCCTCTCCTACGGATTTGCAGGATGATAAAGGGGTGGTTTCTATCTTAATTCATCTTCATAACCCTAGAAACCAGCACAGCATCAATGCTTAATATATTTGTGGAGAATAAATGGGTAAATGAGATAGACAAGGCATTTTGGATCTCTGAAGGAAAATCAATGCATCAGTGAATCATTCCATTGGGCAGTGCAGGGCCCCATGGAAGATCACCCAGAAACAGGCAACACATGGCCCATTAACTCTGTCGTTTACTCAGTAAACAAGTTATTGAGTGCCTTCTCTGTGTTGGGCTCCTTTACCTGCCAGGGGTTACAAAGACGGCCTAGTCCAGACACTCGGATTAGCAATCCTGAAGAACAGATAAAACCGGAACAGAGGCCGGGCACAGTGGCTCATGCCTGTAATCCCAGCACTTTGGGAGGCCGAGACAGGAGGATCACTTGAGGTCAGGTGTTCGAGACCAGCCTGGCCCACATGGCGAAACCCCATCTTTACTAAAAATACAAAAATTAGCTGGGTGTGGTGGCACATGCCTGTAATCCCAGCTTCTTAGGAGGCTGAGGCAGGAGAATCGCTTGAACCCAGGAGGCAGAGATTCCAGTGAACCGAGATTGCACCACTGCACGCCAGCCTGGGTGACAGAGCAAGACTCTGTCTCAAAAAACAAACAAACAAACAAAAAAGAACACAACTGGAACAGAGTCCAGTGGCACGCTGAACTGTGTGGTCCTGATGGCCAGGCTGCAAACAGAGCATAGAAAAGAAATTGAGGCAGGTGGGAGAAACTGGTACGGGCTTCAGTTCTGGTTCTGCACTGTCCAGGGAGAGGGTGCAGGGTTAGAGCAAAGAAAATGGTTGGAAGTCACACAAGTTGCCAGATGTGGGGAGGAGGTCAAAGAGCGAGGCTTTATTTATTTATTTATTTTGAGATGGAGTTTCACTCTTGTCGCCCAGGCTGGAGTACGGTGGAGTACTCGGCTCACTGCAATCTCCACCTCCCAGGTTCAAGTGATTCTCTGGCCTCAGCCTCCTGAGTAGCTGAGACTACAGGAGCTACCATGCCGGGGTAATTTTTGTATTTTTAGTAGAGACGGGGTTTCACCATGTTGGTCAGGCTGGTCTCAAACTCCTGACCTCAGGTGATCTGCCTGCCTCGACCTCCCAAAGTGTTGAGATTATAGGCATGAGCCACCACGCCCAGCCAAAGAGTGAGGCTCTGTTTTTAATTTTCCCCAGAACAAGTGTTGGGATATCATGGGAAGTGAGGTGAGGTCAGTTTGTGGGATCTAAGCCTATTGGTCAGGGGTTGGGAAACTTCTCCTGTAAAGGACCCAATAGTAAGTCTCTCCAGCTGTGTGGCTGCCTATGGTGTCTGTTGCAGCTACTCAGCTCTGTTGTTGGAGCGTGCAAGCAGCCAAGAGACAAGTAAAGGCATGAGTGTGGCTGTATTCCAATCGAACTTTAGTTATGGACATTGCAGTTCACATTTTGTATAATTCTCACATAACACAAAATATTCTTCTTCCTTTTTTCCCCAATCATTAAAAAAATGTAAAGATCATTCTTTACTTGTGGGCCACATGAAAATAGGTGGCTACAGTGTGCTGGCCTCGGGTGTCCCTGGTGTTCCTCACAGGGTGATGTTAAGATGCAGGTTCAGACTCCGAGGGTCTGGGGTGGGGCCTGAGATTGCATGTCTGACAAGCTCTTGGTGCTGGCGTGGTGGATCCACAGACCACACTAGAACCACTGGTGTGGAGTCGGGAAAGCACAGCAGGAGCATTTGAGCAAGAGACCCTGGGTCACCTGGTCAGTCACCACGTCTACAGCGGGCAGGGTGCCAAGCATCGGGTGCTGACAGGGTAGCAAGGAGCAGCCCACAGTGGGAGTGGTGGAAAGAAGGTCTCTCCGCAGGTAGACACTGTGCCAGCACATCCTGCCCAGCCGCCATGCTCGGGGGAGTGGCCCCCATACAGGCCTTGAGAGCAACCTGGAACATTCCAAAACAAGCTTGAAAACTAATATTTCCAGGCAGGCATTGCCAAGTGCATTGACACTTGCCAATAACCCCAAAGCGGGATCTTTCCCTGATTTGCACGTGTTGCTTTAGCATGGGTGAAGTTGGGGCCAAGTATCCAAAGATGCATTCCCTCTTCATGGCAAATGTGGGTGAACATGTGCCGCATGTCACCAGGCACCGCCGTCCCTGCTCTGTGTGCAGGAGTGGAGAGCCTTGGGCAGCAGCAGCCAGCCATGCCATGGAAAGAAGGCTCCTACAAGGCCAGGGAGGCAACAGAGCTGAAGCCCACGGTGGGAGCCACCTCTCAGGTTTGACTCTTTCCTGGGGCCCCTGAAATGTGGCAGATGACGAGCCAGGCCTTAAGGCCAGCCTGCAGGCCTCTCCTGTGTGCACACTATGTTCTCATGCCTGTATACATGTTTTTGAGAGAAAGCCTAAAACATGCTGTCTTAACAACAGCCAATATAGATCACTTGACTTAATGTACTTCATATGGATTTAGTAATAATGAAAGCATGTGATAAAGCAGATCCCTGAAATAGGATGGCAAGCAGCATGCTGCTATGTGCAAAGCATGCCCAAGTAATGCTTTTTGCATTTGTTAAATAAGATGAATAACAAATGTTTCTTGTAGAAGAATAAAAATACAGCTAGACAAAAAGAGGTGTCAGGTCCCCAACATTGGGGAGCTCACCCTGGATGCCTGCTCTCAGGGGCTTGCTGGGCTGCTCCTGGGCCCCGTCTTGCTGGGAGGAGCCCATGTGTGGTGCCCCTCCTGAGAAACCCCTCCTGTCTCTCATGGATCCACTGCCCATCGCTCCTGTATGGCATTCATTTGATCAACTCACTGCACCCCCGGATGGCTGAACAGTCTGGACCTTTGCTTTGAGCAGACCATGTCTCTTGTCTTTTTGTAACTTCTTCTGATCTCTCAGGAGTACAGTTTCTTTGGTGCCCCCCCACCTTCCCCCTTGAGAACCATCCAGGAAATACCAACCTCTCTGGGCGCTTCCATCATCTCCCATATTCGAGGCTGGGGATCGTGGCCAACCTCCCTGATCTGGCCCACCCTGCTGCACTGGACCCTGCCCAAGGCCATGCTGGAGTGAGGGTGCCTGGTTTCGACAGCACTGGTTGGTGTCCGGTCTGGCAACTTCCTGCTCTCTCATTTGCATGCTGTCTAGCAATTGGAGATGCATTTGGACAAGAAGCTACCCTTTCAAACATGAGTACCCTGGTTGAGTTACTCCTCTAGGCTCTTGTGAGTTACTTTTTTCAAATATCCAAAGATCAGTGGGGCTCAGGGAACCAGCTCTGATGGAGGCAGGAAGGAAGAGCTGTGTGGAATGGACATTTTTGGAAAGTCAGAGGGCAATTCCAGGACCTTGGCACCTCGGAAGATGGGAGAGAAAGGAGAAAGGAAAGGGAGAGCAGAGATGGGCAGGGGCTGAGGTTCCTCCTCCACTGGGTCACTCTGCTGAAGGCTGCGGTGTCTGCAGGGCACTGGAATTCATGTCCAAGCCTTCCCAACTGGCCTGGCTTGCAGTTCCTTAGCTGGTCAATGCTTAAATCAAATTCCCAAGACTGTGGCGTGGAGCATCAAAACACTTAGCTTTCCATTCTCCCATTTTCTCTCGCATTTCCACATCTTGAGGTAGAATCTCTCTCCTTTCCGTAAAGAGGTGTAGAGAGAAAGTGGAAGAAGCAGAAGAGAGAACGTGGAGAGACCAGTGCCGGAGTCTCCAGCCTGTGCCTCCACGCCCCCTCCCTGCCTTCCTCTCCCCTTGTTAAGGGTTCAATACCTGAGGGCTTCTGTTCGTGGTGTTCCCTTGTCCGTGGAAAATCCACCTGTGGGTGAATGCAGGGTCTCCTAGGCTCCCCTCTTTATGAGGATTTGTGCAGATATGGTTGAATTTACTAACAAAGAACATCTTAATTAAGATAATGAGCATCTGGAGGGGAAAAACCTCATTCTGGAGTAGTGTCTGGATTTTGGGCTCAGACGCAACACAGGGTTGTCTCTCATGCAGTGCAAAGTGCTTTTGGTATCTGTCTCTGTCTCTGTCTCTGTCTCCACCCCTGCCCCCCGCCACCAGCACCCCCGCCATCATCTTTCCCTCTGCACTCCAGCCTGGGCAACAATGAGACTCCATCTGAAGAAACAAAAGGAAAAAGAAAGTAGTGGACATGTCCTCCAGCTGGGAGCATCGGGCCTCACCAGCCATGAGCAGCCCCTGTATTTCCCCAGCCCCAGACCTGCCTGGGGACCTGGCCCTGTGAGTGTTAAGGAGGCACGCTGGACCTTCTAACATGTGCTCAGCCACTGTTTCAGGCTGTGGCTTCATATCACAGTCACAATCTCGAAGCCTCCCCTACACTTGTTAAGCTCGTGATGGTAACCTTTGCATCATCCAGCATATATCTTTATTTTGTGACTCATTCCAAGTTTGACCTTTTTTTCTGACATCATTGGGAATCTGTACTACTTCTCCCCGCTGTCCATCACTGTCGCTAGAGAGGATGCCGGGATCTCAACATCAAGGGAAGAATGCTGGGACAAGCAGTCCCAATTTCTTAACCAAACGATGGTGACATCACCCCTTATTAAAACACTCCTCCAATGACTCGAGTAGGGGAACACTGGAAATGACACAGACTCTTCCCTGGTGGGCCAGGCTCCTCCAATCCCAGAAGGAGCAGCCCCATCATTTTGGGGCAGGAGAATAGGGTCTGGAGGCAGGAAACCTAAGGCCTATTCATGCTGAGTGGAAATCAGAGGCTACTCCCTTTTCAATCCCTCCTTTTTCTGCCTGGCAGTTGAAAAATGAAAGTACCTCTAATTGGTCACCTCCTGCAACCAATCAGACTGGTTGTGGGCCTACTCTTCATTCTGATTGGTACCCTCCTGCAACCAGTCAGACTGGTCATGGGCCCTACTTCATTTGCATAAAGTGAACCAATGGGAAACCCCTAGAGGGTACTTAAACCCCAGAAAATTCTGTAACTGAGGCGCTTGAGCTACTTGCTCCAGCCCATTCCAACCGTGTGGAGTGTACTTTCATTTAAAATAAATCTCTGCTTTTCCTGCTTTGCTTTGTTTGTGCATTTTGTCCAATTATTTGTTCAAAATGCCAAGAACCTAGACTACTCTCCACCAGTAACAACTTCTCATGGGGACCCAGGCTGGGTAGGCAGCCAGCTCAGAATGAACTCAGGACGTGGTGGGTATGTTGGTTCTGACACTGCTAAGGAGATCATGGGCCCCTTTTCCCGGGTCAGTCTGGTTTCCACCATTGTCCACCACGTGGTAGATTCTCCCCTCGGCCACATTCCTTCATGTCACCTGGCGTTCTCACCTTTGCAAGGTGACGTCATAGTTCAGCACATCAAGAGGTAGAGTCAGTAGCTTTCTGCTACGTTCAGAGCTGTGCCAAGCACGGGATATAGACATCATAACCAAGCCAGATAGGAGAAGAGTTGGAGGAAGGAGCATTCCAGGCATAGGAGACATCAGTGAGAGGGCAGAAGTGAGAAGGAACTTAGCAAAAGATGCAGTGGGAAAAGCAAGAATGCAACTGAAGCATATTGAAGGGTTGTATGTGGGGGTGATGTGAGTCAGCCTGGGTTGTATTTGCCCCTGTGACTCCTGCACCAAGTGTGCCAGAGAGGAGACTGGAGTGGAAGCCCACACTGAGGAGGCCATTCCTACAGTCCGGGTGAGCGAGTGGTGCCTTGGAATAGACTGGTGTCAGCAGAGATGGGGAGAACGGAGAGATACCACATCTGTTGTGGAGGGAGGGCCTCCAGGGACAGGGTGATGAAGTGAACAAGAACCCACAGGGAAGCAGCACTGGGTGGTTCCATGGGTGTGGTGGGGAGGTCCCCGAGCCTTGGAGGTCACTGGGTTGATGTCCAGGTTCCCAGCTTGAGCAAACAATTGTGGGATGGTGCAATTTCCTGAGGAGCAGGGTGGGATATAGGAAAGAGAACTGTTGGTTTTGCCATCCCAAGCTCGAGGTGCCTATGAAACATCCAAGTGGAATATCAAATAGTCAATTGGATATATGATCTTGGAACTCAGAGAAAAGGAATGGACCAGAGGTATAAATTCGGAAGTCATTAACATACAACACCAAGTGCAAGTTCTCAAAATTAACTTATTTGCATGGTTTGAATTCCTGCTCTTTCATATGTAGTAACCCAGGCTGCATCAGTCAAGTCCCAGCAGGAGGCAAATCGCACGCTTAAATTAAATTAAATTAAATTAAAATAATAAATGTGGCCGACTGAATAATGACCTCCAAACATATCAGGTCTTAATCCCTGGTATCTGTAAATGTTCCTTTATATGGCAAAGACGGCCAATGCAATTAAGGATTTTGAGATGGGGAGATTACCGTAGATTATCCTGGTGGGTTCTAAATGCAATCACAAGTGTCCTTATAGGAGGAGGGAGGCAGGAGATTTGACCGCAGACAGAAGGGGGGGTGATGTGATCCTGGAGGAGACTGGAGTGACGTGGCCGTGAGCCAAGGAATGGCATCCAGACACTGGAGGAGGTGAGAGACAGATTCTTCCCAAGAGCCTCCGGAGGGAGAGCAGCCCTGCCCACACCTTGGGTGCAGCCCAGTGACACTGATTTTGGACTTCTGACCTCCAGAACTGTAAAATAATACATTGTTTTTAAAGTACTAAATTTGGAGCCCTAATAGGAAACATATGCATCGGAGGACCTACTTACAAAGGTTTGGGCAGAGTGTAGGGAAAAGACAAGATTCACAGCAGTACCCTGGGACTGCTCACAGCATTGCTGGTCACTGTGGGATGAGGGGAGGGGGCAGCTACCAAAACCTGGAAAAACAGAAGGCAGATGAGGAGGGCGAGAAGAGCAGCAGCCTTCAGTGAAGGGCCATAGCTTCTACGGGGACCGGCAGGAAGGATGCCAAGGAGATAGAGACCCCAGCCTCCCCTACTCTCATGCTGGGCAATCCCCTTGGCCAAATCTCCAAGCTCAAGGGCCAGGTTGCTGCAGTTGTGCAGGCAGCCTCCTGGGGCTCAGAGCAGAGAGAGGATCTGTTTGTCTGCCCAAGCCTCTGAGGTTTCAAAATGAGAATAGTACCAACTTTGAAGGGTGGTGGTATTAAATGGATCAACATGTGCAGTGCCCCTGATAGATAGCAGGTGCTCAACAAATGTCATCTTGAATCATAAATCCCATGAAGATGTTTGTAGCTCAACGAAGACGGTGAATTGGGGGATACACGACAAAGGCCGTGAGAAGCTACCTTTCTAGAAATGTGAAGCATTTCTATGAGAGGTTTTATTTTAAAATCATTGGAAAATATCAGTCCATAAAGAAATGGCAATCCATGCATTTCCAGTTATTTATATCTGGGCTTTTTAGAAAAGAATTTAGTTACTTGTCTTTGTAAAATTTAACAAGCTTACTATGCTTCCAAGAGGCCTGTGAAACAACAGGTGTGTAGCTGATTCGGCTGTGCCTCGATGACACCTTTTGTTCTGCCACACTCTCTTTTCTTCTCCTGGTTGCATCCACACTTAAACTTGGACTCAACACCAGCCTGCAGGCATATGCCACTTTCACCTCTATTTTCTATATTACCTTTATTTTCTGTGATAATGCAGCCACCTCAGCACATTGTAAATGTGGTGACATCACTAAAGACACAGGAATTACGGGACTGTTCACGTAATGCACCATGGGGCCTCTTGCCATCTGGCTGACTTAATTCCCCTCACTGCCTGCCCTCCACTCTCCACTTGGGCCTTTGGTGTCCTCACATTCCAACCATTTCCAAAACTGGATGACCATGTGGCTGGGCACAGCCCTCCAGAGAGTGTTAATGATAGTGTTGTGCAGCTCACTTGGAAGAACTGGTCATGCACTTTTCTTCCCAGCTCTGCCATTCAGGGAATGTCTACGGGTAGCTTGAAATCAGTCGTGGTGGGAGTGTTTACACAAGGGAAATTGGCAGACACCACAAGTCATGGTGTTTTTCTCTTCAGGAGAGCCCGTTGCAAATCACTGGCTGGTACACCTTGGGAGTGTGGTACTGCCTTCAATGCCTCCTGGTCCACTGTAAGAGCTGACCCTGCCCTGCTCAAGGGTGGCCTGCCTGCCCAAGTGCCCCTGGGATAATACTGGAGAACAAAACACTCTCAGGCTCATTACCTGCTCAAGACTCATCCTCCACCAAGGCTTTGCATCTATCCCCTCCTGCCTTCCCAGGGAACTCATCCTGTGCTAAAGCCTGGGGGTCTTAGCAAAATCCCACTGTGGGGAGGGGGGCCTGTCCTGCCATTGTTTCCCCATGAAACAGCTCCTCTGCTCCTCAGAAGGTGGTGCAAACACATCATTGTATATTAACATGCATAACCCTTGTGCCAAGGGGTGCAATTATTTAATAGGTCAAATGAAGTCAGAATCCAAGCACTGTCCATTGATTTTGCTCAGACTGATGCACACCCAAATCCAGATGCCATGTGGGATGCATAACCATCTTCACATGCAAGGGGCAGCTTGCTGCAGGGATGCCCCTGCTGGCTAAGCCAGCCAGTGAAGGAACCATATGAATAGGTGGCAGAAAGGCAAGAAATGGGGTGGTCAAAAGGTTTCCTAAAATACAGACTCTGAATTGTGTATTTGTGTGTGTGTGTGTGTGTGTGTGTGTGTTAGTGTTGGTGAGGTAACACATTTGTTTCTTCCCTTACGTGTCTCCTGGTAGATAGCTGCTTCTTGGAGTGCTGTGTTGAAAAGCATCAGAGGGGAAGGCACGGAACTGGCAGGGATGAGGAGCAGCAGGCGGACCACACGTCCTGAAGCAAGAGACAGAGATGGGACTGTGGGGAAGTCAGTTCTCACCACCTGACACCCGCAGGCCCCCCTACAGGGATGCAGTGGGTTGTGTTACACGCACAACTGTTGACTTTCATTTTGGCCACTGTTGAGGAATTTACAAATTGAACCAATTTGGAGACTTAAATTTGTTGGCTGGATTTAACCCCAAAACTAGGTTTTCTCTAATCAGTGGAAAGAGGTCTTCTAGCTCTTTACTTGAAAGTTTAAAATAGAGAGTTTATGTAAGACAATAAGACCTTCCAGAGACTCACTTGGAATCTTTTCACCAATTACTCTCCTGCTGAGGAGCTTCTATGCTAGTCTCAGGTAAGTCCATTCCCAGCAGCCAGGGAGGCCAGCTCTTGCTTTCTTTTGTAAAAGTGCACACAGATAGCTCTTGACCCAGGCACTCCAGAGATGTAATAACAACATGCAGAGATCTGTATGTTAGAATCAAGGCCCAGTTTCGCTCTGGGGGAAAAACTCAAAACAATTCTCACAGGCGTTCATTTTAGGGCGCTTCAGAAGGCTCCATGACCCAAAATCAGGACACCTCCTGGCAACAGTGCAGAGTTGAGATAGGGGTGTGGGATGTCACAGCCAAGGCCTCGCCACTCAGCCCCAAAGGGCTGTACAGGAAAAAGAGGAGCTGTTGAGCACAAACTTGTCAGAAAATTCATGAATCTCAGGCCTTTGCTTCCCTCCAGGAGGCATTCATGTACTGGCTTTACCGGCTCACAGGAGCTAATGTGACTTTTTTGGGAATTTTGCAAAGCAATTGTTAAACACAACCAATATTAAAAATTAAAGTATACAAACTTGGAAATAAAATTATATTTAAAACAAAGTAATAAAACTCAAAACACAACACTTCTTGCTTATTTTACATTATCAGTGGCCGTGAGACTATTTCCATCTGTGTGCCTGTGTGGTGGAAATCCTAATCCCCGGCAACTAGTGTGCACTTCTTCCCAACGTTGCATTGACTGATGTCATGTTTGTAGCTTGAAACTGGCCACAGAAATAGGCAAATGCTGATCAGAGCTTTTTCTCTCTTCAAGAAGCTTGTTGGTTAACATGCACCAGCAAACCACTGCTTTTGACTGCACACGCACACTTTTTATAACACAGAGAGGAAAGAGCACATGGACAGAATGATATGGTCCTGGCAGCCTGGGAGAGTGAGGTGGGGACGAGTGAAGGGAAGATGCAGAAGACAAAAACAGGAGAAGTTTATGCATGAGAAAAGACAAACACACACACACACACACACACACACTCACACATATGCCCCACTCCCATCGCTGGCTGGGGAAGCCCTTTGAAATGGCTGGCTGGCACTGGGTGCTCTCTCATTTCTTGGATCACACATGCACACTGAGTTGCCTCTGGGCTACTCTGTTCTTCCTGGCCACAGGGGGAGGAGAGGCATAGAGACAGCTGATGGCCTCCCAGGAAGTAGCCATCACAGAAGGTTCTTTCTCCTCCAAATTCCCAGACTTCCATGCACAACCTGGCAGACACTCCACCAGGCAGTGCGGACCTAGGATAGTGGGAACAGGGGCCAAAGAGGGGAAGTGTGAGCCACAGCAGGAGCAGGTGTGCCCTGCCCATCTGCACCCAGGGAAGGCTTTCCAGGTGGGGCCCCGGAGTATGGGGACCAGCCCACATGCTGATGACCACTGTTAGCTGCTAATGTGATACATCAGTTGGAGCAGAAAGCAGCGCGAGAAGCAATCCTTTGGCATGAAGTGGGACAGGGCTTTGAGCTCAATAGGAATCTGCTTCAAATTCTGACCTTTAAGGAACAGGGGAGAGCAGAGCCCTGAAACAGAATCCAGGTGGAGGTACCAGCGGGCACTCTTTTGGAGCGATCCCCACTAGGGCTGGCAAGGTGACTACAGAACACAGTCAGGAAGGGAGAGACCTAAAGTGCTAAGACTCAAAAGAGCAGGAGTTGGGAGTAATTTGGCAATATCTGTCTAATCTAAAATTCAGATGTACTTTGACCTGGCAGCTCCCCTCGCAGATATATGCACAGCTCCACTCACACAGATATTTGCCTGGTGAGAAATGGTTACCACCGAAATGACCCTCAATTAGGGCCAGGTATATCCATGCCAAGGAAAACACATTTCTTTAGTGTGGCATTTATCTGCTGGTTTTGCCTACCTTATGTCCGTTCCTTTTTTTACTGACTGGAGCATGTCAATTTTCATTTAGGAAGTCCCCCTCCCTCACTCTCAGTCTCTATGGTTTGAGTGGGTCAGTTCTAGGATGGGGGTGTGTGCCTCAGGCCTGACCAATAAGTGCATCCATTCCTCTTGCCACAGACAGGCACATGGCCCAAGTGTGGGGGATGCGATCCAGCTCCAGGGTGTTGCTGGAACTATTGGGAAAAGCAGCCGGGTGTCCTCTGGAATTGCTGGCTGTGATTCTGATGGAAACTTGGGCTCCTCAGGGAGCACAGACAGTGGGATCGATTGTGCCCGAAAATAAACCCAACACCGTGTGAGCTCCGAGCTCCTACTTGAAAATGGAGGAAGAGCAGCCCTGAGAAATGGAGAGAGAAAGAGACCCGGGCTGACGCCCAGGAAGCCCAGGCCCCAGCCGTCCCTCCGGATAGTACAGGCACCAGAGCCACAGTTCTTTTTGTTGGCTTCAGCCAGTATGAGGTGGGTCTCTGTTATTTATAATTGAAAGAATCCTGACCAGTATATGCAGAAAAAACTTTTCAAAGTCTTCCTTTTCCTTGGTCAACTGCTTCACGAAGAATTTCCTAACAATTCCAATTCCTACCTGGGCTCTGCCGCTCCCACCCAGCACAGCAAAGCAGTGACTGCACAGTGGGAAGCCCAGGCTGACAGGAGTTGAGCTCCCACTGTGTGCCAGGTCGAACCCCATGAGATTTTATGACATCATCCTATATGATCCTCCCAATAATTCCATGAGGTGGACACTTTCTCTTTTAACAGATGAGAGAAACAAGAATTGGGGAAGTTAAGTACTGTGCCCAAGAACACGCAGTAGTAGGTAGGGAAACCTTCGTTCTAAATTCCCATTGTTTATTGCCAACTGTATGTTTCTCATATATATAGAAGAATATTGGGTCTGGTGCAGTGGCTCACTCCTGTAATCCCAGCACTTTGGGAGGCCAAGGCTGGTGGATCACCTGAGGTCAGGAATTTTAGACCAGCCTGGCCAACATGGTGGAACCCCGCCTCTACTAAAAATACAAAAATTAGCTGGGCACAGTGGTGGGCACCTGTAATCCCAGCTACTTGGGAGGCTGAGGTAGGAGAATTGCTTGAACCCAGGAGGTGGAGGCTGCAGTGAGCTGTGATCGAGCCACTGCACTCCAGCCTGGGTGACAGAGTAAGACTCTGTCTCAAACAAAACAAAACAAAACAAAAAGTATATTAACTCTATTAGTCTGTTTTCATGCTGCTAATGAAGACATACCTGAGACTGGGTAATATTTAAGGAAAAGAGGTTTAATAGACTCACAGTTCCACATGGCTGGGGAGCTTCACAATCATGGCGGAAGGCAAAGGAGGAGCAAAGGCACGTCTTATGTGGCAGCAGACAAGAGGACATGTGCAGGGGAACTCCCCTTTATAAAACCATCAGATCTCATGAGACTTAGTCACTATCACGAGAACAGCACAGGAGAAACCCGTTCCCGTGATTCAGTTACCTCCCACCAGGTCCCTCCCATGACATGTGGAATTATGGGAGCTACAATTCAAGATGAGATTTGGGTGGGGACACAGCCAAACTATATCATTAACTCTCAAGAAAGTCAACATCGTTGATCTCCACCTTGTGCCTAAAAGTTTATCCAAACACAACCTGAAAGTTTATCCAAGTGTAGCCGAGGCTTGCCATTTGGAGACAGGTGCAAGGATATGCAGCTGGGAGAAAAGTAGCAAGAATCTGAGAACTGGAGGCATGGACTAAATACAAGAGGAAGTTTAATCTATAAATGGAAAAAAAAAAAAAACTGTCCTCCCACAATGCAGGTGCTAATATCCATGATGAGGCTCACGTGTGTCCTCAAGGCTTAAAGTCTCACAGGGTCTACAGTGGAGACTGCTCAGTCATATCCATGCGGTCTCCATTGCTGTAGATGTTGGGCTTATCTGTAGCTATTCATGAAATGCAATTGCATGTGTCACATGGGCAGTATTTTCTAGAAACACAGCACAGCTGGAATAACTGGGTTGGTGAGTATGTTGATAATGGAAACTTATAAACAATCTTGGATGATAATAATTTAAAATGATAAGGGGTGGGGGATACCAGGTCCAGATGGCAGATTGAACTCTTGGTTTACTAGCCTTCCTCTCCAAATCTTATTTAAATGACAAAAGAAATATTTAAAAAGCAAAAGCCTGTAAAATTCAGTGGCAGGTACACAGGAGTTTATTATATTATTTTCTCTACTTTTTGTGTATTTAGAAATTATCATTTGAAAAGGTAAGAAGGAGAAGGAGCTCATCACAATGCCAGAAGATAGGCTAGGCCACCAGTAACTCGAGAAAATTGTTCAAAATCTATGAATGATGCAAAGCAGAAAGGATGGCAGTGATGAAATTTAGTCAGAGCTGAAACAAATCACAGCCATCAGAGGCTGCAGGAAAAGTGAGTGGACCACTTTTTCCTACACAGCCTGGGAAATGCCTCAAACTCAAATGCAGGGAGCAGGCTGGGGCTGCGAGTCGGCAGCCAGATTCTAGGAGGGTCTAGGACTGTGCTGCAGGTCTATGGACTGTGTGAGAGCATCAGGGCCATGCAGGAGGCTGGCCCTGTCCCTGGGCAGCTTCCTGCTACCACTTCAGCACGGAGAGGTAAAAAGCAAAAAGCTTTCAGCATAGCAGTGAAGTCCCCTAATCAGTGTTTCTAGATGGTCATTCTGGGACCACCAGCGTCAGCACCTACTGTGTGTTAGAAAGATGGGCTGGGCGCGGTGGCTCACGCCTGTAATCCCAGCACTTTGGGAGGCTGAGGCAGGTAGATCACCTGAGGTCAGGAGTTTGAGACCAGCCTGACCAACATGGAGAAACCCCGTCTCTACTTAAAATACAAAATTAGCCAGGTGTGGTGGTGCATGCCTGTAATCCCAGCTACTTGGGAGGCTGAGGCAGGAGAACCACTTGAACCCAGGAGACGGAGGTTGCGGTGAGCCAAGATTGTGCCATTGCACTCTAGCCTGGGCAACAAGAGAGAAACTCTGTCAAAAAAAGAAAGAAAGAGAAGAAAGAAAGAGAAGAAAGAAAGAAAGAAAGAAAGAAAGAGAGAAAGAGAGAAAGAGAGAAAGAAGGAAAGAAAGAAAGAAAAGAAGGAAAGAAAGAAGTAAGGAAAGAAGGAAGGAAGGAAAGAAAGAAAGGAAGAAAGAAACAAAGAAAGAAAAGGAGGAAAGAAGGAAATAAGGAAGGAAGGAAGGAAAAAGACAAAGAAAGAAGAAAGAAAGAAAGAAAAAGAAAGAAAGAAAGAAGGAAGGAAAGAAAGAAAGGCAGAAAGAAAAGGAGGAAAGAAGGAAAGAAGGAAAAAGACAAGAAAGAAAGAAAGAAAGAAAGAAAGAAAGAAAGAAAGAAAGAAAGAAAGAAAGAGAAAGAAAGACAGAAAGAAAAAGAAAGAAAGAAAGACACATTCTCAGGACCTACCACCCCAGACCCCCCGAATCAGAAACTCGGCAGGTGGTGCCCAGCGAGGGGCCTGTTAACACACCCTCCAAACGATCCCCAAACTTACTAACCTACTCCACTCCCAAGATACCTTCTACCTTTCTTCCTTCACAAAAGAGAACCTCCAGTCCAGGAACTACTTCTCTATCCACACAAACCAAAGAGAAGTGTCTACTGGCAAATATTCACCTTCTTGCAGCCATGGGTAAGCCCACCCCCAAACACACAGCCAAGCCTTGCACACCAGGGATCTACCTAACTAGAGAATCAAAGCAGTGGCTTTCATATTTTCAAAAGATGCTCACAACAGTTACCAATACTGATTAAATTGAGATCTTCATTGACAGATAAAAGCCCACAACAGGAATCATGAGTCATTTGAGGGAAATCAACTGGCTTAAAGTGGCAAGCAAAGCAAATGGTTTTCAAGGAAACGTGGTCCACACAAGAAAGAAAAAGACATTTTTATAAGCCTAATGAATATCTGTAGAAAACTTTAAGAATCCATACTCCATTCATGAAAGAAGAACAGACTGCTAAGAAAATGATCAAAGAGAAGATAGTCAACATGTTTTAGAAATTAAAGACAATAAAACAATAATAACAATCTAAACAAGAACTTGGTGGACTAACTGGTAGTTAAATGGATGTAGCTGAAAAACAAGTGAGTGTTTTAGAACACAGAACATACAGCAAAATTACAAAGGAAACAATGTTTTAATGAATACACTGAAAGAAATTCACACTTAGAGAGGAGGAGAACTTTCATATTTAACTTCAGACATTTCTTGTTCGTTGAATTGTCTACATTAAGCATGGGATATTTTGCAACTTCATTTTATTTATTTTTATTAGTATTATTTTTGAGATGGGGTCTCCCTCTGTCACTAGGCTGGAGTGTAGTGGTGCAATCACAGCTCACTGCAGCCTCAATCTCCTGGGCTCAAGCAATCCTCCCATCTCAGCCTCCTGAGTACCTGGGACTACAGGCACCTGCCACCATTCCTGGCTAATTTTAAAAATTATCTATAGCGACGAGGTCCTGGCTAACTTTTTACATTATTTGTAGAGACGAGGTCTTGCTATGTTGCTGGTCTCCAACTCCTGGGCTAAAGTGATCGTTTCACCTCAGCCTCTGGAATTGCTGGGATTACAGGCATGAGCCACCAGTCCCACCCAATTTTGCAATTTTAGGAAAATAAACATAAATTTGAATCTTAGGATTGCATTTATTAAAACTCTATGTGTATGTTTGTACACTGTGAGATGTGTGAAGGAAGCTCACCAAAATGTTAAACAGCTCTTTTCTCTAAGTGGTGTGGTTTAATAGTCTGCATCTGTTTCAATAAATGCTTGTTATTCTTATAGTAAACTTTAAATTGCCCAGTGCTGATGATCTAGTTTACAGATTGGCTGCATAATGTAGGGAAGCCAGAGAATGCTCACTTTCACAGCAGTCTGAGTGCTGGCTTTAGAGATGGGAGTTGATTGAGTCAAGGATCTAAAGAAAGTGCTCTTTTCCAAGCTGGATGGAGAGGCTCGAGTGCCTTGCAGTTTGACCTCCCTGCTGCTCCTGTCAGATTCCAGGGCCAAAGCCCACTCCTCTTCCATCCTGGTGGGGGCCATAATCAACCTCACTAACTACTGGTTCCCAAGCCTGGGAGGACACACCCCAGGGCTCTGCTTCATGGTATCCACAGCTTATGCACAAGCCAGTGCTGTTGTCGTTTGGCTTTTATCATGATTTTATCTCATCTATAATCTCTTTACCCTCAATATCTCTTATAAAGAGTTATCAGTTAGTTGCTGCTGTGTAACAAACCTCCCCAAAACTTAGCGGCTTAAAGAAACAATCATGCATGATTCCTTACAAGCCTAGAGTTTGCCTGGGCAGGTTCCACTGGACTTGTTGGTACATCTGTAAGCAGGCTGGATGATAGCTGGTCTAGCCTGGTCTCAGCTAGGAAGATTCACCTCTCTCTGTTCCATACATACATTTAGTCTCTCTCCTTCTAACCACTTAGCCTGGGCTTGTTTTCACGGTAGAGGCAAGGGTCCAAGTGAGACAGCAGAATTGTACAAAACATCTTGAGGCCTAGACTCAGAACTCAGTCGCTTCCACCCCACTCTGTTGGCTAAAGCAAGCCAAAAGACCAGTTCGATTCAAGGAACATAGAAATGAACTCCAACTCTTGAGGGAAAGAGTGCAAAGTCACATTGCAAAAGGCATGAGTGGAGGAAAGGGCAAAACATTGGGATCACTTTTGCATCCTCTACTGAAAGTCAATTATGTAACCCTGCTGGTTACATCGTCTCTGCAAGGGCATGTAGAGACTGGACGTAAATAGTCACACTGTGGGGCCATTTGTGAGCTGCCACTTTGCCATCAAGGCAGCTTTTTGTGCACACAGAGTTAAATCTGGATGGGTGCCTGGGAGTCTCCTGTCTACATGATTTGGTGTCCCTCTCTTTTTCTGCCACATCTGTCTTCTCTTTCTCATCCCTTGCCCCAGGAACCCTTGCTCAGAAAGTCCATGGAGATTTTAGTTTTGCAGAATTGCCCCGGAAGGGCAGCAGTTAACCCTGATACTCTTCCCCCAAAATGGGCTTGTCACACCATCCAGCTTCTTCCTGCAAAGTATCTACAACACACCCACATTTTCCCTGGCTGACTGACACCTCTCAGAAGATGGCTTTATTGCTTTATTGCCCTAATTCACTTTTCCACCAAAGGTGAAGAGAGAAAGGAACCATAGAGTGAAGGGTTATGGGAAGGGACTTTCCAGTAGACTTACCATAAACAAATTTGAGCTCTTTTTATTTGGGGGGTGACAAGAAAGCAGATGACAGATGGAGGAGCCTCTGTGGAAATGAAGACTATGTCCACAAAGCCCTCCTGGCGAATCCTCCCAGTGTTAAGATTCCAGCGTGTTTATGGGTGGTGGGCTGCAGACGTGCCCTCTTCTCTCTGGAACAGTAAAAGCAAATGCCTCTTCCTCTTCCACCACTGTGTCAGGGAAACAATGGGGCCCTTTAACTCCATTGGTTCTTTTCCAGGCCAAATGATGACATCATTAAGGCATCCGATTTTCTCCTTACATAAAAGAAGATTAATGGAAGACCACAAGAGGAACTATTGTTTTGCCAGCTTTGTTCAAATGTGTGGTTAAAATACTTTCTTTCACAAAACACAACATTGCCCCAGAGGTAACAAAAAACCCTTCTGTAGTGATGTGCCCTCCCTTCTTGAGCGAGACCACACACAAGAAACTGAACCATGCCCACAGTCAATGCCCCTGATTGTCCTGGGTCCTGATTCCTCACCAGTAGCCCCAGCTGCCAGGAAATTGGAACCGCATGTAAAAAAGCCAAGGTAAAACAAGCCCATCTGGACCATGGTCAGAAAAAAAATTCTATTTGCCAAATCCTAAGGTCTTCATCCATAAACAGAGTCAAGGATGCTGGAACTGGAAGCCTTGAAGGTGTGAAGGTGGATGGGTGACTTGTACTCTCTCAGCTGGGCTCCATGTCCTTTCTTATCAGTGATGAATGAAGACACCATCTGAGAAGCAATGGAGAAAGCTTATTTCTGAGATAATGATTCCAATCAGTTCATTATGTCACCTGTCATGGGGCCCCTGGCATTTTCCCAGCCGTGAGCAGAGCCCCCTCTCCATTCTATGGAGTCCTTGGGTCTTGGAGCTGTCGACAGGAGTTTGCCAAGGTCTGGAGGAAATTGGGTCCCTGTGGGTGGTATCCCCACATGGACAGCCAGCTGTGACGGGATGAACAATCACTTCTTCAGGCTGTCAGATGCTTTGGTCCTTGGGCTGCTCCTAATATTTTTTTCCACAAAGCTAACACAAGATGGGATGCTTCCTCTTTGCCTAGACTTGGCAAGCGTCTTATTGTTCATATAAACAATAGTGAGAAAGGCTATCCATGGCTTTGTAAAATATCCTTTGCCCAAATCAATACAAGTATTTCTGTTCTGAAACCCAATATATTAAATTCTGTACCAGTGCTGTCCAATGGAAGTTTCCTGTATGATGTAAATATTCCATGCTGTGCTATCCCATACATATTTGCATGTGGCTAGTGAGAAGCACCTGACCTGTGGCAATTGCAACTGAGGAAGTGACTTTAAATTTTTATTTTATTTAATTTAAATGTGAGTAGCCATGTGTCATCTATATAACTTTTACAGTTATGCACTTGCTTATAAAGTTTAACATACACTGACACATGACCTAGCAAGTCTATTCCTAGGTATTTATCCAAGAGAAATTAAAGCAAACGAACACACAGAGAGTCATACGCAAAATGTTTGTAGCAGCTTCCTTTATAATAGCCGAAGATAGGAAACCACACAAATATCTATCAACTGAGGAGCAGAAAAACAAATGATGGTATCAACATGTAATGGAATATTACCCAAAGGTGAACAGAAACACACTTCTGATACACAGCAACACTTTGTTAAGTGAAAGAGTGTCTAATTGTGTGATTTCACTTCTCTAGGGAAGGCAAAACTACGGAGACAGAAAGCAGAGCGGTGGTTGCCTGGGAGCAGAGGGGAAGGGAGGACCACCAAGAGGCACAAGGGGCTTTTCCCAAGAACGGACACATTCTATTTCTTGAATATAGAAAGTGGTGGTTGCGTGACTATATACTGTATACTGTCAAAAAACTCATTGAGCTGTACACTTAGAATGGGTGAATTTTGGTGAGCCCTGGGTGTTGCTGTGGAAACAGCTTAACCAGTGCCCCTCAGGACTCTGAAGCCATGCATGCCATCATGGGAGCCAGCATATGGTGCCCTGTGCCGGCCCCACCTCTACTTCCAGGGAGTTCATCCAGCCACATCAGTAGGACTGAGGCCGTTGTCTCTTCCTGCAGTACCAGGCTCTGCCCAGCCTCAAAGTCTACTTAGGTGCTCCTCTTTGCATTGCTGTTGGGTGGGAGCAACCCCTTCCAAGCAGTATAGATGTTGGCCTGCAGAAGAAGATGCCCTTTCTGTATTTTTCCAAGGCAGGAAGTCATTATGCAACTTACACATTTTCATCAGATTTCCTCCGATATCCTCTGAAGTGTGTGTGGGAATGATGTGCGCTGCCAAGAAGTGTGGCATCTGATTTTAGCCTCCAGCTAGCATCTTAATCTACGAGAATGAAATTCAAGGGGAGAATTCGCTCGCGCATTCTGCCAGTTCAAAATTTTTCAAAGTTTTCAGGTTGCACGCAAGCGGCTGAACAGCTAAAGAATAACCTACGACACGAGAGTTACCCGTAACAAGGATTCCCGAGGCAGCTAGAGAAGCTATCCGGTTTTTTACAAGGTTACCTGTGGAGGCAGAGTTGGGCAGAAACAATGGGACAAATTGGACCGGAAACAACCATTGATCCTGGAAAAGACCTGAACACACTGGATGACAAGGAGCTTGCCAAAAGGAAGAGCATCATGGATGAACTTTTTGAGAAAAATCAGAAGAATGATCCAAATTTTGTTTACAACATTGAGGTCAAAATCCCACAGGATGAACAGCTGCAGTCCTGTGGCTGGGACACAGTCAGCTCATAAGTTCTGATACGAAACACTCAAAAGATTTATTGGGCTAGCAGAATATTCATGTTTATATAAATAACATAGATTGGTTCTAGAAAAATCTTTAGAGAACACTAAAATGTATATGTTGAGTCACGGGGGATTGACTATATTACTTTTCAAAACCAGGACATTTAGAGCATCTACTATGTAGGTGCATGAGGAAAATAGAAAAAATGGAATAAAGGAATCTGCCTTATTTTTTGCTCTTTTGAGACAGGATCTTTCTCTGTTGGTCAGGTTAGAATGCAGTGGTGAGATCTCAGCTCACTGCAACCCCCACTTCCTGGGCCCAAGCAATCCTCCCACTTCAGTCCCCCAAGTAGCTGGGATGACAGGCGTGCACCACCATGCCCGGCTAATTTTTTTGTTGTTTTTTGTTTCTTTGTTTTTTTGTAGAGATGGGGTTTTGCCTTGTTACCCAGGCTTGTCTCAAACTTCTGGACTCAAGCTATCTGTCCACCTCGGGCTTCCAAAGTGCTAAGATTACAGGCATGAGCCACTGCACCTGGCAGGAATCTGCCTTTAAGGAGCCTATAATCTAATTGGAAGATGTCAAAACTTGTGAAAAGCTAATTAGCAGTATTAGGCAACCAAAAGATTAAAGCCAGATGCTTGATAATGGCTAAAGGTCAGAGCCTAGATGACTGTAGAGTAGAATAGCAAAGGAAGACTTTGTCCTTTAGTGAAGGACTTTGCTGGCCCTTGAAATGGTAGTATTTGGGTAAAAGCTTGTGTAGGATTCTAGAGAGGAGCAACTGAAAAGAAGGGGAGGGGAGATAGTAAAGAGATAAGAAATTATATATATATACACATATATAACAGTAAGTAATTTATAGTTTGGTAAGATTGGGGTGGGAAGTGATCTGGTTTGGCTGTGTCCCCACCCAATCTCATTTTGAATTGTAGTTCCCATAATCCTCACAAGTCGTGGGAGGGACCTGGTGGGAGGTAATTAAATCATGGGGGTGTTACCCTTATGCTATTCTCATGATAGTGAGTGAGTTCTCACAAGATCTGATGGTTTTATAAGGGGTTTTTTCCACCTTTGCTCGGCACTTCTCCTAGCTGCTGCCATGTGAAGAAGGACATGTTTTCTTCCCCTTCTGCCATGATTGTAAGTTTCCTGAGGCCTCCCCAGCCATGTGGAACTGTGAGTCAACTAAACCTCTTTCCTTCATAAATTACACAGTCTCAGGTATGTCTTCACAGCAGCGTGAGAATGGGCTAATACAGCGGCCATATTTGGTTACCAGGGAATTATCTTTTTATGTGTTTAACTCTGGAGAAGCCTCTGCAAAATGCCCTCAGCTGCAAGTAGCTGTCACCTGATGGACAGAAGGGGAATTCCACCCCTTGAGTATCAGGAAATATACACTGAAGACATTCTGAAGCCCTGAACCTCCTCCCATAAATAACATGTTTGTTTATAAAATGGGAAATCCTCCTACAATAAATGAACAATAGGTACTGCCAGTTTAGGCCTACTCATGACTTTGGATCTACAAGAGAAGATCTTTGTTTAGCAAGATTATCTGTGACTTCATACATCTATTCTTACTACAATATTAATTGCTAGAAATTCTATGTTTTCTATAAAAAAATTAATATTCATTAAATAAAACAGTAAAAAAATTTTAAAAAGTTGGTGAATTTTATTCCATTTAAATTATACTTCCATAACTGAGCTTTTAAAGACTCTATATAGCTTTTAAAATAAAAATTAGGAAATTAATTTCCTTCAGGCTTCATTCTTTACATCTCTCTTTACCTACATAGATGACCACAGAAAACACTAAAAGCCAAGTTGTAGGTAGCATCAGCTAGCCAGTCAGTGAAAGTAAGTTCTCCTAGATCCATCAGGTCCATGATTTGAAAGAAAACAAATGATTTTCCAAGAAACAGCATGTCCCCTTGGAGCTGTAATTGCATCCATCGCAATGAAGTCAAGCCGAGGCCAGACAAGATCGTCTCATGAGCCGCCTTTGCCATCTCTCAACGGAACGCTTCAGGCTCAGTGTAGATGCAACACCAGGGACAGAGGCAAGTGCCCTGGGGGACTCCATCACTCCCAGGCTGGACCAGGAAGCAGGGATGGAGCCAGCCAGCCTAAGCCCAGATCACCCCTGAGCACAGCCACGTAGAAGTTAATCTGCTGTGCTTTGAATGCTCACAGCGCCCAGCATCGTGAAGTCAGAAAGGGATCAATTTTCATTAATATGAAGAACCACACTTTGAGGGACGAGACTGAGTCCATTAGACTCCTGGAGAGGCACATTCTTAGTGAAGGGTGCGACAAAAGCATTGGATATTAGCTGATAAGATTGCAGGAGACCCAAACACTCCCAGGACTCACGAGGGGCTCTCTACCAGCCCCAATTCAGAACCTCAGGGTCATTACTTATCACATGAAGCAGCTCTTACTCCTAGTCACCAGCTGTTAGGATCCAAAAGTGGAATGAGAATTCCTCACATCCGGAATGACTCCCAATCTGGAGACCTCCCCTGCCAGGAAGAGAGTCCTTATGAAAGCCACCCTCCAGGTCTAAGCTTCAGAAACAGTGGCTGCTGAATGCATGGAGGGCAGGTGAGGGAAGCTGCCTGTAAATTTCAAAGCACTGCACACACGCATTCACCCCGTTTCCTCCTGAGACCCCACTAAAATACAGCAAAGGTTTTCACTTGTGTCATTTGTTTTATTCTTTAGTCATACATTTCCAAGGGCAAATAGAAGAGAAGACAAGACAATAGCAAAAAGGATTTGCAAGCCAAAGAGCGGCAGGACCAATTGCAACTGAACCATCCAAAAAACAGGAGAATCCTAACTTAGCAGCTGAATTTGAACCCTAGAGAGCCAGGAAGCTCAGGGATTGGTGGCATCCAGCACTCTGGAAGGGGATGAGGGTGGGCTAAGCACTGCAGGAAGAGTTGAAAGTCGATTAAAAGTACAGAGACTCCCAGATCTCCTTACCCTGCCCACCAACCAGATGACCTCACCTCCATCCTAGCAGAGACTAGAGGAGCTCCCGGAGGGGAGAACAGACAGGGTCTTGTGTGGAGGAAACAGCACCTCTGGGCCAGAAACACTGTTCTGAAGGCACTAGGGGAAAAAAAAGACATCCACCCTGCTTCTACCAGGGGGCTCCCAGAACCTCAGCCTTTGAGCTTCTAAGAATGAGTTTGCTGGAGTCCAGGAATCTGAATCAACATAAGAAAGCAATTCCCCAAATTGAACAGTTCATGCAGAACACCTAGAGCAAATGCGCTTCTTTTTTTTTTTTTGAGATGGAGTCTCACCCTTGTCACCCAGGCTAGAGTGCAGTGGTGTGATCTGGGCTCACTGCAACCTCCACCTCCTGGGTTCAAGCAATTGTCCTGCCTCAGCCTCCCAAGTAGCTGGGATTACAGGCACCCGCCACCATGCCCGGCTAATTTTTGTACTTTTAGTAGAGACGGGATTTCACCATGTTGGCCAGGCTGGCCTCGAACTCCTGACCTCAAGTGATCTGCCCTCCCCAGCCTCCCAAAGTGCTGGGATTACAGGCGTGAGCAAGTGCGCTTTTATCAAGACCCATCTTCCTATATGGAGCTTCCCACCGGCTTTTTAGAACATACAAGGAGACAAAAACTTAAAAAAAAAAAAAAACTATCAAAATCCCAGCAAGGACTAAAGAGCAAAAATATAATGCTTTTAAAAAAGTAATGTAAGGGAATAACAAGGCTTCTGAAATTTAAAAAAAAAAAAGAAGAAGAAAATGGTAGCAGTTAGAGAGAAAGAATCAGCTCTAGCACTCCATAGTACAGGAGGGTGTCAATAGTTAACAATATCTTATTATAAGTTTCAAAGTAGCTGGAAAAGAAGATTTGAAAAGGTCCCAGCACAAAGAAAGGATGAATGTTTGAGGCAATGGATATTCCAGCTAACTTGATTTGATCATTACACATTGTAGGCATGTATCAAAATATCACATGTACCCCATACATATGTGCAATTACTATGTGTCAATTTAAAAAAAAAAACAAGAATAAAAAACAAAAGGAGAAGACAGAGGAAGGCAGAAGGAAAGTCCAGAACTGAAGTATGTGGGTTCCCAAAGGGCAGGGACCAGCCAGTGCACAGCACAGCAGATGCAAATAGTCTTCCCAGGACACGTTGCCTTGAAATTTCCCAACACTGTGGGCAAAAATAACACCTTCCAGCTTTCAGAAAGGGCGGGGATAGCGTCAGACAAAGGATCCAGAATCAGTGTGCACTTTGGACTTGGCAAGAGCAATGCTGGGACAATAAAACAGTGTCTTCGAGACTCTGAGGAAAGGTGATTTCCAGCCTAGAATTCTATAGCCCTCAGTCTGAAGAGAGAGAAATACATTTCCAATTGCCTCTGAACACCAATGAAGATGTGCTTCACTGAATTGAGGGAATAAAGCAGGCAAGAGAGGGCACAGAATCCAGGAATCCAGGAGTGCGGAGGGTGGTCCCACAAGGCAGTGAGACCCAGCGAATCCTCCAGGGTCCTGGGAGGCCAACCCTGCAGGGCCCAGACTTTCCTGCAAGGCAAGAGGCTTCCATAGCACCCCAGAAAGAGACTTACATGTAGAGAGCACTGGATGGGACATTTGGGGATAAATCACTGTTAACTACGTTGGAAACTAGGCAAATAAAAACCAAGACCATCATTAACTCCTAGAAAAACAGAAGGATGTAGAAAGCTTATATATTCCAGGCTTAGCTGATATATTAATCAAGGCTCTCCAGAGAAACCAAACCTGTGGAACATGTTAGCCATACACACACACACACACACACACACACACACACACACACATATATATATACACATGCACACATACATACACACACATATGTATGTATGCATACATAACATAAAAAGAGTTATTTCAAGGAATGGGCTGATGTAATTGTGGGGTTAGCAAGTCCAAAATCTGTAGGGCAGCTGGCAGGCTGGAAACTCTCAGCCAAGAGCTGACACTGACATGTGGAGGCAGAATTTCTTCCTCCTCAAGGAAACCTCAGTTTTGTACGTAAGGTCTTTCAACTGATTGGGTGGGGCCCACCCACAAGGCTTAGGATCCTCTCCTTTGATTAAAGTCAATGATTGTAGACATTAGCCGTTTGTACAAAACACCTTCACAGCAACCCCCAGGTTGGCATCTGAATTAATAGCTGGGCACTAGAGCCTAGCCACATGGACACGTAAAACTAACCATCACAGCTGGGCATCGCATTTACGAGTTTAGATGAATGTAAGCACTGACTGTTGATCTCACTGAAGTTACTATATCACCTAATCGGGAGGTGGAGGGCAGGACACAGCTCAGGTGCGTTGTGGAGTCAAAGGAGTAAAACAGAGCCATGTCCTCAGGCACTGTGGCTGCATCGCTAGATAAGGACCAGGATTGCTACATCCAGCGCTGCGGTGTGATCTCAGACTTGCAGGTAGATACCAAGAGAATCTGCAGCTGTTGGTGAAGGCAGCTGGCCCCGGGAAATAGGAAATGGCGGTGAAGAGGATCACCATTGTCTAGAATGAACTTTGCAGAACAATTCCCCCTTTCAATCTCTGGGCATGTGAAATGTTGAGAATAGAACAACTAAATGAAAAAAATAATAATAAAATTTAAAAAAAAAACCCTATAAAGGGTGACTTAGGCTCTTCGTCCAGTTCCTCCTGATCCTAGTGTTAATTAATTCCCCCGAATTTCGCTGCTCAGAGTAATTTCCAGGCCTGGAGACCTCTCAAAGTCCCCTGTGTGTAAGATGTCAGCAGGCTCTGCCCATTCCAGCATCCCCAGGCCTCTCTACCCACTCCGGGCAATGGGCAATGTCCTGGGTAACTCCTAATTGTGAAGAGGAGAAGGCTGAGCTTTTTGGCCAGATGCAAAGGCCTCTTAGGATGGAAGGAGAGGATCCTCTGTCATCTTGCTTTGCTCTGTGAAGTTGGATTGGGGTCTTCAGGGAGAGCTGGGAAGGGGACGCGGGGTTGGCGCATGGGGAGAGAAGGGGAGGTCTGGAACCATGGGAGCTACTTGGGGAGGGGTGGACACTGGTGTGTAAGCTGCTGAGAGGCCTGAGCCACATATGGAGTTGGAGACCAGGGGTCTGTGGTGCTGGGCTGAGTTCCTGCAGCCCCATTCAGCATCAGTGTGGGAGATGTGATGCGAGCTGCTGGGCGTCCAAAGACAGGGAGGATGTGGGGCCAGGAATCTCTGCAGTCGAGCAAAGGGTGAGGAGCTGGGCTGGCAGGACGGGGAGCAGGAACAGGGCTGGGGCCAACGCTGGGACCGAGCAGCATGGGCAGAGGGAGGCAGAAGGGTAGGGCCTATGGCATGAGGCTCCCACTCTGTGCTTCAGTGTGAGCTGCCCATGGGTGTTGGATGGTGGCTGGCAGCATGGGGCTCAAAGGGGAGGAATCTGGAATGTGCATTAAGCCAGGAGCAGGCTGATCTCTCGCACCCCGTCTGCAACCCCAGGCAGGAGCTCTGGCAGAACAAAATCCTCTAATAGAGAGAGTGGAGCAGGTGCTGGAGGTGTTTAGGAGCTTCAGTCCTGGCGAGGCGGGCAGGATCACGTGGCACATTGGTTTGTCACATTAGAAAAGAGTGGGTTCAGGGGGGTCGACGGAGACTGTGTTACCAGGAGGGATCTGAGACAGCCTTCAGAAGGGAGCTGAGAGGAAGATAGGGGGTTAGAGTTGGGAGCAGCGGGGAGGAAGACGAGATAAGACAAGGTTGGCTTATCTGCCGATAGGCCTGGCCTCATATAGTCAGGCTCAGGACTAGAAGCTGACAGCACATTAGCAGAGAACCTGGGTCTCGGTGCCCTCACATACAGATACCTCCCCCAACCCAGGCCTGTGCACACAGATACTTCCCCCAACCCTGGCCTCCACATACAGGTGCCTCCCCCAACTCAGGTCTCCGCATACAGATGCCTCCCCGAACTCCAGGTCTGGGCATCGGTTTTCTTTCCAACCCCGTGTGTACTTTTGCTTGTCAGACAACATGACCAGGAAGCACAGTGGGTTCATCTTTGAACAGAAACTGCAACAACCAACCAACCAAACTGCCTTGAGGTGATGTTCCCAGTCTGTAGATGAGGTACCTGGTAAAATCTGCTTGTCTCTTCGAGTCATTTTGGGTTTTGATTGTATTCATTCTATTTTAAGTTTGTAAACAACCTCAAATCATTTTTAAAGACCTACACACACTCTAAGTAAAAATTATTAATGAATTCACCACCATCTTTTAGTTTGATGAATAAGTACAGCCAAGTCCCAAATGATAAATTAGGCTAATAACCAGCAATTATTGGTTTCATATTGAATTTCTTTGGGACTTAAGCCAAACATAAACTGGAACAAATTGTTCTAATTTAGAAGACAGAGAAATGAACAGGTCAAATCTAATATTTTAAAAGTATTTTTCAAAAATGGCAGGAGAGTCCAGCGATAGGCAGAATAACCACACCCACCCCCCAAATGTTCACATCCTAATCCCTGACATCTAATCTCTGAACATCTGACTTTACATTTTGCATTTTGCAGATGTAATTCAGCTAAGGATCTTGAGAAGAGGAGGTGACCCTGGAATAGGTGAGCGAGCCCAACGTTATCACAGGGTTTTATTTATTTATTTGTTTATTTATTTATTTGAGACAGAGTCTTGCTCTGTCACCCAGGCTGGAGTGCAGTGGCCTGACCCTGGCTCACTGCACCCTCTGCTTCCCTGGTTAAAGCAATTCTCCTGCCTCAGCCTCCCGAGTAGCTGGGACTACAGGCGTGCGTCCCCACACCCAACTAATTTTTTATATTTTAGTAGAAACGAGGTTTCACCACATTGGCCAGGATGGTCTCGATCTCCTGACCTCGTGATCCACCCTCCTTGACCTCCCAAAGTGCTGGGATTATAGGTGTGAGCCACCGCGCCAGGCCCATCACGGGGTTTTTATAAGAGAGAGGCAGGTCAGAGTCAGAGAGGGCAATGCGAGGACACACTTTGAAATGGAGAAAGGGACCATGAGCCAAAGAATGCAGGTGCCTTCTAGATGCCAGAAGATGCAAGAACGAATTGTCCCTGGAGCCCTGGGAAGGAACGCAGCTCTGCCGACACTTTGATTCTAGCCTGTAAGACCCGTGTCAGGCTTCTGACTTCAGCATGAGATAAGTTTCCACTGTTGTAAGCCATTAGGTTTTTGGTAGTTTGTGACAGCAGCAATGAGCAGCAGATGCAAGTCCAACCCTTAGTATAAAATATTATCCTGGAAAGTCAAAAGAATCTCTGAACCGACCGTGGACTCACACTTCATGTAGATCAAGTTTCCTCTCCGTCCCTGCCACTGGGGACTCTGCAGACTGCCAGCGGATGAGAAAATTCCATTGCCCGGGCGCTGGTCAGTCACAGTGACGAGTCGGTGGCTTAGATGAGAGATCCTCCCACCCAGCTCACCCACTATGCTGTGACTTCGGAAGGACCCAGAGCCCCTGGTGACACCAATCACAGTTAAGGCCCTAGGGATGTAGCTGTTTCTGGGGTCTGGGCTCCCTGCTCCTGGGGCCTCCTCATCCCTGCCCATTGCTGATGGGTCTCAGCTACTGGTGCTGGACTTTTCCCCCCAAATCCAGCTCGGCACTGTACCATATTCACAAGTTCCGGGGATTAGGATGCGGATGTCTTTGCAGGTGGGGGCTATTATTCTGTTTACCATAGGACTCTAGGGCCATTTTTGAAAAATAATAACTTTGATTCGAAAGCTCCATCTTAAGTGTTTATTTCTATCTCCCAAATTAGAACAATGTAATCCAGTTTATAGTTAATTTCAGTCCCCCAAAAATTCAATATGCCATGAATGATTACTTGTATTTAGGCTGATTTTCATGTACGATTTCAGGGTGTTGGAAAGACCATGGAGGTGTGGATGAGAGCTAGGCTTCTGGTAGCTGTGGATACCTGGCCTGGGGAGACAGAGAGGGGTGAATAGTTCAGTTTAGTCACATGAGGCCTTTCAGCAACTGCAGAAAGCTCACAAGCTAGCCATCCTGAAGCCTGTTCTGATGACCTGTCACAGGAATGACTGGGTTGATTTCAGGAGCCATGGCAACCACTTTGGGGCCAATGGCCTGTGGTATTATCCCTGGAAGGTTCAGAGATTTTCAGACCCCAATATTTAGGAAAAAAAACAGGCCTCCTTGAGGCAGGATACTAAGAAGGAACCCTTCTTCATAACCAGATCCTGCAGGCAGGGCTCATGTTGTTGACTTATTTATTTGTTTCTACAAAGCAGGCAGCCAGATTCTCAAGGCAGTGGGTGGGTTTGCCCGGGTGCAGATGACAGTGGGGGTGTTGGCATTGTCTGAAGTATGTTGAACAAGAAAAATAAAAACAACTAAAATCCAACTGCTTTTTATTATCATCATATGCCAGCAATCCTAAACAATGTCAATAATAAAAAATACTCCCACGTGAAAAAGAATCTTGTTTTCTATTTGTTTATTTATTTATTTTTGGTCTCAGTCAAAAACAACTGCTGTAGTCACTGTTTTAATGATATATATGTAAGCTTCAGCAGAGCACCTTTGTTACTACTCACTTTACTAAACATTGTATTCTGCATGGAAGGTAATTCAGAGAACTCCCTGTTATGTGGATGGGGTTTGATAAGGCTGTGGGGTGCAGTTTGGATCTCCCACTCCAGTCTATGCATAACCCCTCTAACAGGGGATTTGCAACCAGTTGTGGCAGCATGGAGAAGCAAAGACCAAGAACCAGAATGCTGGTGGCTCATGCCTGTAATTCCAGCACTTTGGGAGGCCAAGACAGGAGGATTGCTTGAGACCAGGAGTACATGACCAGCCAGGAGTTCATGACCAGCCTCAGCAATATATTGAGACCCCAATCTCTACCAAAAAAATTTCTAAAAATTGACCAGGTGTGGTGGCATGCGTCTGTAATCCTAGTTATTCAGGAGGCTGAAGGGGAAGACTCACTTGAGTCCAGGAGTTTGAGGCTGCACTGAGCTAAGATCATGCCACTGCACTTCAGCCTGAGCGACAGAGCAAGACCCTGTGTTTAAAAACAAAAGCAGCAACAACAACAGACCCCCTCTTTCACGTTGTGTGCCCAGCTGAAGTTTTAACTTTTGTTTACAATTTAGAGCGGTGAGACAGTGACACTTTGGAGGTGTAATATTTTTATTTGGTTTACTTCATATGTCAACTATTGGTGGAATTTAAATAATATCTTGAAAATGAAGTGTATTCTGTAGTCATTGTCAATTGTTTTAAAACAAAAGTAAATCGAGCAAATAAAATTTACAAAAATGAAATGATTTAGTAGTTGCCTAAACCGTATCTTCTGTAGATGATTCAGTTTGATTAACATCTACTTATTGGTTACTGGACAATTATTTGCACAAAATATTACACCAAACTGTTACCAAGGCGTCAAAGTTGAAACCAAGATGTAGATTTTTAGACTCTTGGGAAAAAAACCAGGCCTTATTTCCTTTTTTGTATTATGATGTTTGCTTTATTTTTATTCATTTGTTTTTTTAATTATATTTATGAAATTCAATAAAAGAAAAATTTTCACTGGTAATGTTTCCTTTCTGGCCATCACTATTATTTGTTTCATTTTATAATCACCATAGCAAGTAATCCTATCTTATATAGAGAGAGGTGTTGAAACATAAGCTGCTCGGGGGGTCAAACATGCTGGGCACACCAGGTGACTGCCATCTTCTTCCGTCCCCGGGAACTTCATTTCTCCTACTGGAACGTGGCGTGGGAACCACTCACTACGTGTGGGGTTAGAGTCCTTTCGCCCCCTGGTGGTTGCGTGAACATTGGTTGCAGGGATGAACAGCTCTGGGCCTCCATCCCGCACATCGTCCATACCCTCAAGCAGCAACGCAGATGGACTCGAGGTGCGGTGTTCGCCTACTGCCTTGTGGAGTCCGACGCTGTGTCTCCCTCCACGATCCGGTTTTGGGGCTCAGATGCTGCAGAGTTGCTCCAATTATTTTTATATAGAGAGGGATAGATTACCCTCAGAAAGAAAGGGGACAAAGACCCTGCCTCCCTTTACCTCAGGCTCAGAAATATGAAACTATGCCTGAGGGGTTGGGGTATCTCTAATGTGATGAATTGAAAGGAAGGACCCTGGAATCCTGAGAGGAAATCCACCTCAAGAAATGGGGGAGACTGGAACCATGAGCACTGAAGGTTCACACCACCGTCTAAAGGCTGGCTCCGGGTCAGCTGAGTGGTGATAAGGGACACCATTTGGATGCAGCAACCCTGGTACCATTTGTGTCTGGTGAAAGAGGCCTCCCCGAGTGTAAACTGAAAGAATATCTTCAAGAGTGAATTGGAGGAGGGCTGTCCAAGGGTGAATTGGAAAAGGTTTATCCAAGAGTGAATTGGAAGAGGCTCCCCATGAATGAATTGGAAGGGGCTTGTCCAAGGATTGAAAGAGCTCACCCAGGTGTGAATTGGAAGGGTGTGTGTCCAAGGGTGAATTGGAATGGGCTTGTCCAAGGGTGAATTGGAAGAGGCTCACCCAAGTGTGAACTGGAAAGATGCTTGTCCAAGTGTGAACTGGAAAGGACTTGTCCAAGGGTGAATTGAAAGAGGCTCACTCAAGTGTGAATTGGAAGGAGGCTTCTCCAGGAGTGGATTGGAATGACCTTGTCCAAGGGTGAATTGGAAGGAGCTTGTCCAAGTGTGAATTGAAAGAGGCTCATCCAAGTGTTAATTGAAAGGAGGCTTGTCCGAGGGTGAACTGGAAGGGGCCTGTCCAAGGGTGAATTGGAAGGGGCCTGTCTGAGGGTGAACTGGAAGGGGCCTGTCCGAGGGTGAACTGGAAGGGGCCTGTCCGAGGGTGAACTGGAAGGGGCTTGTCCAAGGGTGAATTGGAAGAGGCTCACCCAAGTGTGAATTGGAAGGGGCTTGTCCAGGGGTGAATTGGAAGGGGCTTATCCAAGGGTGAGTTGTAAGATGTTACACTTGGGGTCCAGGCAGCTTTTCTGTGGGATACTCCTGATTCCATATCCTCCTTCTCTTGAGGAATCATCATAGTCTAGATACAAAGGGGATGGTCTATTCTACCAGTGAAGGGAACAGGCACCTATCAGACAGCTCAGATGCTGGACTGATTCGTGAACGTGTACAAGCACCTCTAGGCTTATTTAGGAATGCCTGAGCAAAAAAGTATTCAGAAAAAGTTTGGATCCATTTCAGAAGAGCCGGTGGGGGCCTTTGAGTCTGGGCATAAATGTCAATATGGCCTCATTTGTATTCCAGCAGCAAAGCCTGCAGCAAAGAACAAGTCACAAATTACAAAGTCAACCCCCTAAAGCAATAAGATCCCAGTAACATTATGCACCACAGGGCTAAGCGGCTTATAGGAACTAATCAATTCAGTCATTTGCAATCTACTTCTAGAGAAATTGTTATGTGTCCAGGCACTGGCTATTTAAGCAAGAAACATGCTTGCTTTTTTCAAAAGAGCTGCAATCTTTTTTGCTCTATAGGTATATACTGCATCCAGAAAAATGTCAGCAGAAAGTCATCTTTAATGGCAGTTTTTTTGAGAGCTCAGAAACAAAGGAGGTACAAGAGGGAAAAGAGACCAAAAAGAGGTATACAAGCATCAGGGAAGGAACACGCTAAAAAAATCAATCAAAGCAAGCCAGGAAAAGCAGTTGCAGACCACAGGGACATTAGTGAGAGAGAGCTGCTGCTGAAAGGAGCTCCCAAACCACAGCTTGGGCTTGACTCTGAGCTCCCCACACTGCTAGGACAGTGCTGGAGGCATAGCTGCACTCCTGGAGCCCCAGGAAGCCCAGTCTGTATCATCATCATTTCCCACCAATAGTCTCTGCCCTCCCTCTAGGACCCTTCTGGCTCCCCACAGCTCCCGCTGTGATCTCAGTTTCTTATCCTTCCCTCCCTCCCCCACCTAAAAAGGAAACCTGCTCAGGCCAACCGCTTCCTCCTGTTAAGCCCCATTTCCTAGCAGTTAGGGCCACCCTGCTTCCTGACACTTCCTGCTCATTCCTACACATCTCTGAGCTTTCCATGGATTCATGATGTGCAGAAGGACAGAGCTGGTTAGGGGGAAGGACAGAGGCTGCCCTTGGCAGGCCAGCTGAGGACACCATGATTGCAGCTCTGGCAAAGCCATCGTTGGGGGAGAGGAAGTCTTCCAACTATTTGTCAAGCAACTATTTGTCAAACTATTTGTCAAGCATGGTTTGAATTTAAGCCACAGTGAAATTCTAATTCTAATGACAATTAATAAAAGTAATTAGCAAAGCTAGTATTCAGTAATCGCCATGAACAGTAATGAGTAAAATGAACTGAGCATCATTTCAAATATGACAAATAACTAGTAATGTTTATTACTGGCATCATCTATAAAAAGATTCTCATTTTGCTCACTTAAAATGGCCTTTCATTGAGTTAAGACTCAGAAGGAACAAAATCAAATAGATCATGTCTTTGTGTGTGTGTGTGTGTGTGTGTGTGACCAGGACTCCCTCTGTCACCCTGGCTGGAGTGCAGTGGTGCCATCACAGCTCACTGCAGCCTTGACCTCCCAGGCTCATTTGATCCTCCTGCCTCAGCCTCCTGAGTAGCTGGGACTAAACGTGCACACCACCATACCTGGCTAATGTTTGAATTTTTTTGTATAGACAAGGTTTTACCATGATGCCTAGGCTGGTCTCATACCCCTGGGCTCAAGTGATCCACCTGCCTTGGCCTCCCAAAGTTCTGAGATTACAGGTGTGAGCCACCGTGCCCAGAAACCACGTCTCTTTAAAGTCAAAGGTACTCAGTGGCCCGAGGCCCATGACTTCTTGAGCACCAGTGATGGCCCTTGGAATGATGTTGCCACACTCTGGCATCTCCGCCTTCCAGAAACTTCCAATGAACTGGGCTCTCTCCACAGAAATTACAGTCTGGGAAAATAAAAGAGATAGAAGGGAAGAAAATAGTTCTTGTGGACTCTAGGGGAAAGGAAGGAGGCTATAAAATCTCTCAGTGTTTTGTTTTAGATTTCCTGGAGGACAGGAAGCTGCTTTGAGCAATTCACAATTTTAATAAAGAAAGCTGTTACTAAGTCTTCTTTTTATGCCTGGGAAAATAGCTTTATCCAATAACCAATGAGCAACAAAAACATATCAACTTCCACTCTAAGAAGAGCATTGAACTGTGAATTAATAGTCCCATCTGAGCCCTTGTTAAGTAACATGCGTATTTTGTTCTTTTTCCCCCCTGCGCCCTCCATAGGAAGAGAAGAAATAACAGGCATATTTGAAGCAGTTAGTAAACTCCAACTGGCTTTAGAACTTTTATTTTATTTTTTTAAATTTATTATTATTATTTTTGAGACAGACTCTTGTTCTGTCATGCAGGCTGGAGTTCAGTGGTGCGATCTCTGCTCACTGCATCCTCTGCCTCTCGGATTCAAGTGATTTTCGTGCCTCAGCCTCCCAAGTAGCTGGGATTACAGGCATGCGTCACCCTGCCTGGCTAATTTTTGTATTTTTAGTAGAGATGGGATTTCACCATGTTGGCCAGGCTTGTCTCGAACTCCTGACCTCAGGTGATCCACCCACCTCAGCTTCCCAAAGTGCTGGGATACAGGCATGAGCCACTGCACCCAGCCTGGCTTTAGAACTTTCAAAATACCAGTCTTGATGCCACATTAGAAAATGCAACTGCCTTCACATATTCTTCATTTTTAATGACATTATTACCAGATACATATCATTTCAGACACTGTGATACAATTTGTATCTGTAAACCTCATTAAGAGGTGGCATTTTCCAGTAAAAAGAACACCAGCGTCATCCTATTCCCTGCAATCTTTAGCTATGCGACTGGGGCAGATTCTTTTGTCCAAAGACGGCCCCAGCAAAATCTCATTCCACAGGCTCTTCTGTGTTGTGATGTTGACATACCCCGTCAACAGGAGGGCTTAAGTCCCCTTCCCTTGAATCCAGGCTGGTCTTAGTGACTGCTTGGCCAGTAGAACGTGGTGGAAAGGATGCTCTGGAAGTTGGGAGAACAGTTCAGAAGACTCATAGCTTTTGCCCATGGCTCTCGGAAGGCTCACTCTTGGTAGTATCCTCTTAAGAACCGAGCCTCCATGCCAAGAGGGAACCTCGTGCAAGCACTCTGCTCCGGGGCCCAAGCCGAGCTCCCAGGACACAGCCAGCATCAACTGCCAGTGTCACCAGGAAACAGTTCTTTCCCTACTTTGTATTGGTTACAAAGAAAGAACACCCAATTGTAAAAAAAGGCAAGCAGAGTTTATTCAGTGGCCAGGAAAGGAGAAGGAGAGCTCCTTCTGCCCAGGCTGTAGGAAGCTGGGGAAATTTAAGGCATTCGATGTGGGGCAGGGAGGTAGGCAAACACGTGCAGGGAGGAACTCCATCGCGCAGGCGCAGGTCATAAACACGCGCCTTCATATGTCACGCAAACAGAAAATGGCAGTGATTTCCTTTTAGGGTTGGGGATCCTAGCCTCATCATCATATATTAATGATCTAAAGGTAATAAGGGGTTGTCGGTTCTGATTTGCACCGGCTTCTTGCAGGCCTTTTCTTCCTCTGGTATTTGGCAAAAGACTACGAAGTTCCTGCAGTGTTCTAGGCCAGCTGGAGATCTTTAAGCAGGAGCACCTATAGATAAAGAGACTAGAAAAAGACTGGATATGAAAATAATGAGCTTTTTCAGCTCTTTCTCTAGGGCTGCCCTGGTAACACTAGACTCGTGAGTGCACCATCTTGAAGGCCAGCCCAGTGGGCCTTCAGGTGGCCCAGCCCCAGCCAACAAGTGGCTGCAGCTTCATGAGAGACCCAAGTGGGTGCAGCTGAGCCCAGTCAATCCACAGAACCCTGAGAAGTAATAATCAATTGTTGTTTTAAGCCACTAAGTTTTGAGGTGGTTTGCTATGGGGTAAGAGATAACTAAAACACGGCTTGAGGACCTTGGTCTGGTTCCTCAACTTTTCAGATTTTATTTTTGCATCTGTTAAAGAGAGAGAGAGAGAGAATGATTTTCAGGACTGACCTATACTAGAGGCTTTGGTGACTATCAAATAAAAGTACTTTAAAGATCTATTAAGTGCTGTGCATTGTTACTGCTTTTATCTATCAGTTCTTCCTTCTAATTCTATTGGTATTTCTTTTTTTCTTCTATTTTAAAAATTGCCCCTCTGGCAGGGCTCATGCCTGTAATTCCAGCACTTTGGGAGGCCAAGGTGGGAGGATCACTTGAGCTTGGGAGTTTGAGACCAGCCTGGGCAACCTGAAGAAACCCCGCCTCTACAAAAAATACAAAAATTAGCTAGGTACGGTGGTGTGAGCACCTGTAGTTCCAGCTACCCAGGAGGCTGAGGTGGGAGGATCATTTAAGCCCAGGAGCCAGAGGTTGCAGTGAGCTGAGATGGCACCATTGTGCTCCAGCTTAGGCGATAGGAGTAAAACTCTGTCTCAAAAAAAAAAAAATAAAATAAAATAAATAAACAAATAAATAAATAAATAATTACCCCTCCGATCACAAGAATAATACAAATTTACCATAAAAATGTGTCAAATAGACAAAAGCTACAAGAAGATATTATAACTATTTACAATTCTTTCATAGAGCTAGAAGTATGGTAGCATTTTGGAATACATCCCATCAATCTTTTCTATAGATGGACTGATATTCACACATATGCAGTAGATGCCCTCTTAGCTGAACAGCGAGAATGATTACTTGGTTGGTTAATCAAAAAACCGATAGTAGAGAATCATAAAAAATACATAAATACATTAAATGTTTTATTTGAATTTAAAACCTGTAATAAATTAAAACAGACAGTATCTTAATGCAACGCTTTGACTCTGCCTGGAATTCTGAGTCATTTTTCTTACGTAAACCGCACCCAGAATGCATTCTTTATGATGTATTATTTTGTATTCTGTAAAGCCAAGTAAGTCCTTAAGGACATGCAAAAGAAATCTAAATGCAGAATCTTTCCAGATTTTATACTTTTTTCCCCAGCCTTTACAATTATCTTACTAAAATCTCATCACTGAGTTTCATATATATTTTTAAGCAAATCACTTTTGTTTGTATTTCTACAGGATTTATCTTCAATTTCATAGAAAAACTATGTTGATAGTTATATTTCATTTGTTTATTGTATATATACATTGCTTAATTATAATAACAAGTACAATAAACCAAAACTGATTTGGAAACAAATGAAATGCATTAGTCAAAATTAATCAGAAGAGCTGAACAACACAACTGTTAAACTTGAAAGCTGTCCCCAACTCTAGTGAAAATACATTATTTTCAAATAGCCATAAAAGTATCCATGAAAACATTGACGATGTTTTAGACAAAAAGAAGCTACAATAAATGCCGTAATGGAATAAATTTTGAATTAAGAAACAAAACCTAAAAAGTACCATATGACTGAAAACTAAATATTATATTTCTAAATAAAGATTGAATTTAGGAGTAGACATCCTAAAAATGGTAAAATATTTATAACTGAATAATATTAAAATCCTGCGGGTCAACATTTTGAAAACCAGAAAAGTCAGTATATAGAGAAAAATGTATAAATATACTTACTAGGAAGCAGGAAAGATTGCAAACAAACAAGTTAAATATTTTTGTCTAGAAAGTTGTAAAAAGAACAATTGCTCAGATATTAATAAAAAAGGAGTGAAATAATAAAAATAATGTCAGAAATCAACAAAATAGAGAATAAAAATAGAAAAGATTAACAATACAAAAAGTTGGTTTTATAAAAAGAAAATTAGATAAAACCTAGGAAGATAAATTAAGAATCAAAGATAGAAAATGCAAATAAACAATACAGAGAATGAATAGGCCAGGTGCAGTGGCTCATGCCTGTAATCCCAGCACTCTGGGAGGCCGAGACGGGTGGATCACCTGAAGCCAGGAGTTTGAGACCAACCTGGCCAACATGGTGAAACCCTATCTCTACTACAAATAAAAAAATTAGCCCCGCATGATGGTGTGTGCCTGTAGTCCCAGCTACTCAGGAGGCTGAGACAGGAGTATCACTTGAACCTGGGAGGCTGAGGTTGCAGTGAGTTGAGATTGCACCACTGCACTCCATCCTGGGTGACAGAGTGAGACTATCTCAAAAAAAAAAAAAAAAAAAAAAAAAAAAAAGAATAAATAGATGGGAAGCTACAGATTTTTAAAAAAGAGAATATCATGAACAACTATGCTCTGATAAATTATAAAAGCTGGAGAAAATAAATAAATTTCTAGAAAAAATAGAGAATGCGAAAATAGGCACAGAAAAAAATAGAAAACTTGAACAAAACCACAAAAATGTAAAAGCTTAAATGAAAATTAAAGACCATCCTCTCCTGAAAATAACCCCTAGGTTCAGTTTGACAGGTAATCAAACTTAGATGGAAGAGATAATTTCCATCTTACATAAATTATTCTAGAAAATGGGAAGCTTCCAAATTAATTTTTTGATGCATGTGTAACTTTGCAAAATTGGGTAAGGTAGTACAAGAAAAATATATATAGTTCCATTTCATTTCTGAACAGTCATGTAACAACCCTAACAAAATACTAGTGAACCTAATCTAAGAAGATATTTTAAAAATTACATCTTAATCAAATGAGGTTTATCTGAGTATTGTAAAGATGGCTCAATAGCTGAAGAATCTAAGAATGTATTTACCACATTGTTAGTTTAAATGGTTTGTCTGTGTCCCCACCCAAATTACATCTTGCTCTGTAGCTCCCATAATCTCCACTTGTAGTGGGAGGGACCTGGTGGGAGGTAATTGAATCATGAGGGTGGGTTATTCCCAGCTGTTCTCGTGATAGTGAGTAAGTTTCACAAGATCTGATGGTTTATAAAGGGCAGTTCCTCTGCATACGCTCTCTTGTCTGGCACCATGTAAGACATGCCTTTGCTCCTCCTTCACATTCCACCATGATTGTGAGGCCTCCCCAGCCATGTGGAACCGTGAGTCCATTAAACTTCCTTTTCTTTATAAATTACCCAGTCTCGGGTATGTCTTTATTAGCAGTGTGAGAATGGACTAACACATTAGTTAAATTTTAAAAGCCTTAAGATTATCTCAATAGAGTCAGAAAATACTATTTAATAAAGTTCAATAATTATTTATATTATTTAATCTTCTTAGCAAACTAGGAAATATGGAGAACTTCACAACCTACAGCAAACATCTTATTTTATTTATTATTTAATTTAAATTTTTTTTTTTTTGAGATGGAGTCTCACTCTGTCTCCCAGGCTGGAGTGCAGTGGTGTGATCTCAGCTCACTGCAACCTCCACCTCCCAGGCTCAAGGTATGCGCCACCACACTCAGCTAATTTTTGTGTTTTTCTAGTAGAGATGGGGTTTTGTCATGTTGGCCAGGCTGGTCTTGAACTCCTGATCTCAAGTGATCCACCTGCCTTGGCCTCCCAAAGTGCTGGGATTACAAGCATGAGCCCAGCTATTATTTAATGAAAAGATTTCAGCTACTAGTATCTGAAGAAATACTGGTGGTAATGACATATAAGACAGTTATAAAAGAAAAGTGTTAATAGTGTTTGGAAGAAATGATTTAAAACTACATTTTGCAAATGATATGATCCTATTGACTAAGACTCTCTCCACGACCAAACTGAGCCCTCTACTCCACTAGGCCTTGAGCTTGGCCTGTGAGAACTGCAAACTTTCATCACAAATGATTTTTGTCCACCCGCCACACTAAGAGACTTGAACATACACTTGCATAGTTTCTTTTAGCTCAAGCCCATGTCCCTAGGATGACAGCCCCAGTCTCCTTAAGTTCCTGTCTGAGAAAGCTCAACACGCCAAAAGAATTTACTGTTTGTTCCAGCCAAATCCTGACTAAAGGCCCCTGACCTCCCTTTTCTTAGAGCATTTACTTTAGAAACTTGCATTTGTAAATCCGGTCTCTGTTCCTTTGAGATGCATCTTCTACAACACAGGAATGTCTTTCTTAAGGACCTGGGAGCCAGCCAGGTCCTTGTTGACATGTAATCATCAATAAATATAGGGCCTTTGCCTCCCCATCTGTGTGGAAAGTTAGGAACCTAAGTTGGATAAACACTAGTTGGCAGACACAGATGGCCTAACATTGACCCACCCACCATCGTCTTCTGCAATTGTCTACTTTCCTGACTTTGCTGGAATCCCTGTTTATTTCCCCTTCTTACTCTCTCATTCTCTCTTTAAAACACCCAGTCATCTCTGCACAGATCAGAGTTCAGCTCAGTTCTGTACTGAACTCTCTCCCTCCTACTGCAATAGTCTGAATAAGATCTGTGTTGTCATTTTAAACAAAACTCTGGGAAAAAATTTCTCTCCAACACTACACTTAAAAAATAAACATAATTGACTATTTAGAAACAATGAGAGAGTTTAGAAAAGTCAACTAGATACCAGATCAAATCACAAAAACACAACAGCATTTTCTGCATAGGTAACTACAACTAGAAAATATAATAAAAAATAATATGCAATTCACAGCAGTAACAAAACTATGCAATATCAAAGAATCTCCTTATGCATGTGAACATTATGAAAAAAAGTGCTATGAGAGAATAAATAAGAAAACTAAAAACAAAAATGTAAAAGTATGCTATGGATGAGGCGAATTACCTTTTAAAGATGTCAATTTTCCCAAAAGATCATCTATAAATTTCAAGCAATTATATTAAAATGTTCAGATAGTTTTTTTTTGAAAATTTTAAGCATCTAATTGATTTGTATGGAAGAATAAAATTCCCAATAGGTAAGTGAACCTTGACAAAAGAAGATCAAAAAGACAGACTTGACCTACTAAATTAACACAGACACAGAAGTTATTCCAACAGTATGGTATGGTGCAGGTAAAGGTCAGATAAAGGCAAATGAAACAGAGCACAGATCTTAAAGTTCCTTGAAAATTAAGAACTTGATGTATAGTAAAGACAGCATCAATGAAGAAAGACTGTTTTGTAGATATTATTGGGAGAGCTGGCTCATTGTACAGAGAAAACAACACTGGATCTTACATCATAGACTCAATAAAAGCACACTATACTAGATGGATTGAAAACCTAAATGAAAAAGGAGCACTCAAGTGAGCACTGTCTCAGCAGTGGCCCAAATTAGTCAATGACTAGAGGCTCTTCTGGTCCTGCCTAACAAAGTCTAAAAGCAAGCCCCAAAGGATTAGCCTGTTTTCAAGTAACTTAGCCATGTCCCAGGACAAAACCTAAAATAATGCTAAGGAATAGAAAATCATCCAGTCCCCCAAAACGTAAAATTTATAATGTCTAATATCCAATAAAACATGACCAGGTGTGCAAAGAAGCAAGAAAATATGAACCTTAATTAGGAGAAAAAACTAATCAATAGAAACCAAACCAGAACTGACAGAGATAATAGCATCTATAAGAACATTCAAATAGCTATTACAAATAGACTTCATATTTTCAAGAGGGGAGAGGAAAGCATGAGCATACTCAGAAGGGACAGGGGAAAAAAAAGACCCAAATCAAACTTCTAGAGATAAAAGCAAATACAAGATCTGAAATGAAAAATGCAATGGATTGGAATAATACATATTAGACACTACAGAAGAAAGTAAACTTGAAGACAAAGCAATGGAAACTAAATAAAGCATGCAGAGAAAAAACCTGAAAAAAAAATCAATGAACTGTGAGATGGCTTCAAATCATCTAACATATGTGTATTTGGCATATACTTATTAAAAGAAATTTAATTCGTAGTTTAAAACATTTCCACAAAGAAAATTCTGGTCCTAGATGGTTTCCCCGGTAAATTTTATCAAACATTTAAGGAGGAAATAATGGCAATTCTATCTAAACTCTTCCAGAAAATAGATGGGGAGGAATGCTTCCCAATCCATTCTATAAAGCCAGCACTACTTTGGCAACAAAGCCAAACACAGACATTGTAAGAAGAAAATAAGAGATCAACATCTATCGTGAAAGTAGACATAAAAATTCATAACTAAGTTTTAGCAAATCACATTCAACAATATCTAAGAAGAATAATATATTATGACCAAAGTGTGGTGATCCCAGGAGGGCAAAGCTAGTCTAACATTGGAAATCACTCACTTGTCAGACTAAAGAAGAAAAGCCACATGATCACTTGAATAGAGGCAGTAAAAGCCTTTGGCAAAATACAATATCCACTCATAAAAAAAACTCCCACAAAACTATAAATAGAAGGGAACATCTTCAACCTACTCAACGACATCTATGAAAAAACTCCATTCAGTGTCATAGATAATGGTCAAAGATTAATCAAAGATTAATGCTTTCTTATAAGATCCAGAACAACGCATAGATGTCTGCTCTTACCACTTCTATTAAATGTTGTACTGGAGGTCCTAGCTAGGGCAATAAGGCAATAAAAATAATTAAAAGGCACCCAGATTGGAAATGAAGAAGTAAACTAGTCTTCATTCCCTTATGACATAATCGTGAAATCCCGTGGCATCTACAGAAAATTTACTAGAAGTAATAAGTGTGTTTAGCAAAATTGCAGGATATAAGGACACTATGTAAAAACCAGTTATATTTCTATATACTGGCAAAGTCGGAAATTGGAATTGAATAATTAATACAGTTTACAATAGCATCAAAAAATTTTAAGTACTTATGTGTGAAGTTGGCAAAAGATGTGTAAGATTTGTATGCTGAAAACTACAAAACATTGCTGAGAAAATTTAACGAAGACCTAAATAAATAGCCCTAAATAGAGAGTTCATTGTCTAAAAGACTCAATATTGTTAGCATGTCAGTTCTTCCCAACTTTGATTTATACATTCAGTGCAATCCCCGACAAATAAAAATTCCAGATTTTTTTTCTTGGAGTTGGGGGTGGGGGGATTGACAAACTGGTTCTAAAATTTTTATGGAAATATAAAGAAACTAGAATAGTCACAACAATTTTGAAAAAGAAAAACAACATTAGAAAACTTAAACTACTTGATTTCAAGACACTATGAACTACAGTAATCAAAGCAGTGTGGTATTAGAATAAAAATGGATCAGGTGCAGTGGCTCATGCCTGTAATACCAGCCCTTTGGGAGGCCAAAGTGGATGGATCCCTTAGCCCAGGAGTTTGAGACCAGTCTGGGCAACATAGGGAGACCTCATCTCTCCAAAAAAATACAGAAATTAGCTGGGCATAGTGGCATGCCCCTGTGGTCCCAGCTACTTGTGAAGCTGAGGTGGGAGGATGACCTGAGCCCAAGGAGGCTGAGGGAGCTGTGATTTTTCGACTGCATCCCAGCCTGGGTGACAGAGTGCAACCCTGTCTCAAAGGAAAAAAAGAATAGAGGTAGACATATAAATCAATGGAAGAAAATAGAGTCTAGATATAGACCCATATTACATGGTCAGTTGATTTTTGACAAAGGTGCAGAGATAATTTAGAGGGGCAATAACAATGTTTTCAACAAAAGGTGCTAGAACAATTGGACAGCCACATACATAAGAATTATCTTTTCCTCACATAATACACAAAAGTTAACTCAAAATAGATTATAGACCTTAATCTAAGAGTCAAAACATAAAGACTTTCAGAAGAAAGCATAAGAGAAAATCTTAGCAATGTTGGGTTTCCCAAGGATTTAAAAAGTAGGATTTAAAAATAAAAACTACTAATTCCAAAAGAAAAGAATCAGCCAACTGGACCTCATCAAAATGAAAAACTTTGCTCTTCAAAAGACAGTGTTACAAAAATGAAAAGACAAGCCACAGACTGGAAGAAAACATCTGTAAATCATGGACGTAATCGAAGTCATACACAAAGGACTTGTGTATGGAGAGTACAGAAAGACTCAAAAATACAATTGAAAAAGAAAAACAACATGATACAAAATTGACCAGACACTTCACCAAAGAGCATATACAGATGGCAAATAAGCATACACAAAGTTACTCATGAATCATTAAGGAAATGAAAATTAAAACCACAAGGTACCACGACACAAGTATTAGAATGTCATCGATATAGATAGATAGATATAGATAGATAGATAGATAGATAGATGATAGATAAATGACAATACCAAGTGTTGGTAAAGATGCAAAGTAACTGGAACTTTCATGCACTATTGATGGGAATGTAAAGTGGCTCAACCACGTCGAAACAGTATAGCAATTTCTTAAATATTAACTATCCACTTACCATACTGACTTTTACCATACATGGCTTTTATCCATGAAAACTGGAAACACATCCATACAAAGACTTATGCACAAAGTACAAGTATTATTACTTATACTGTTATAAATTTAAAATTATAAATATGTTATAAATTATTATTGTTTATACTAATCCAAAACTTGAAATAACCCAAATGTCCAACAAAAAGAAGTAAATGGATAAAATCGTGGCCTATGTACGCAAGGCAACACCACTCAATAACACAAAAGAATGAGTTAACACACAACATGGATAAAATTCAAAATAATTATGCTGAAGGAAAGAAGCCAGACCAAAAACAATATATTCTTGTGCTTCCACTTATATACAATTCCAGAAAATTCAAACTAATTTATAGAGACAAAAAAATGCGTAATTTCTGGGACTGGAAATGAGTGAGAGAAAGAGATGGATTATAGGGTCTTGAGTAAATTTTGGGGAGTGATGGATAGGTTCATTATCTTCACTGTGGTGATCTTTTGTGGGTGTATATGTATTTTAAAACTTATCAAATTGTATATTAAATAGATGTAATTTATTGTATATCAATTATATCTCAATAAACCTACTTAAAAAAAGAAGAAAACAAGGCGGGGAATCCCTTTGGACCCAGGCAAGTAAGCGGTTCTTTAAAAAGTCAAAGTAGTACAATTATAAGGGGGGAAATTATTATTTGATTATATCAAAATTAAAGATTTCTGTTCTGTAAAGTACCACATAGATAATAACAACAGACAGATGAGTGATTGGTTAACGATATTTGCAACATCTATGACTAACAATGAATCAATGCCATGAAATTACAATCTTGTTTCTTCTGTAAATAAACAAGAAGACCAGAAGCCCTATAGAAAAACAGGCAAATATGAACAAATAATACATAGAGAGGAAATGCTAATAGCTAGCAAGAATATGAAAATGATGTTCAAGATTGTACTACCCAGGGAAATTAAGATATCACTTTAATCTCATCACTATGACAAAGTAGAATAATATCTATATTTGCCAGAAAAAAGAGAAGCATGGGAGGACTCCTCATAAAAGAGATTGTTGCAGCCATTCTGAAGAGCAATCTTCCAGGATTTGCGAAATTGCACGCGCGCGCGCGCACACACACACACACACACACACACTGTTACTTCACAATCACACTGGCAAATACGTATCCCAAAGTGATTCTCACACAGGTCCGTGTGGAGACAAGTAGAAGGATGTCCTTCGCAGTAATTTGGGGATAGTTGGAGGCAACCTAGGTGTTCATCGCTAGGGGAATAGATAAGAAAATGAAGTTGAGGCAGGTGAAGAAATAGCTGCCAGGCTTTGTGACAATACACCAGATATTGCAACAGTAACATAGGGAGATCTTAAGAGATATAATGAAAAGATAAGGAACCATTTAATGTAAAGCAAGGAACTATGTCGTTTACACTTTATGTGAATTAACTTCACCACCACTCCCCACCCCGCCCCCTGCCAACACACACACATTCACAAACTTATTTTCCAAAGACACATATCAAACCCTCTAGGGCAGCTCCATCTGAAGAAAGAACTAAGGAGGAGAGAATTGGAGAATGTGGAGGCGGGAAAAAAATGAATGTATTAAAAGCCAAGAGGGAGTCTTGTACAAATCATGGTGATGTTGTACCTTGAACTGAAGAGAATAACTAATTTAAATCTCTGCAACTGAAGTGCCAAAAAGAAAAGTAAAACAGAAAAGTATCTGTATGTTCTTAGCTTACAAAATCTTTGTTTTTATCAAGAATGGATCTGGCCCCCCCTCCGAAATCTCTTATTTCATTTGTTCCTTTTATCTACTTGATTAAATTTATTAAGAGAATAATTGTGTTTCACTGTATGACAATACCATAATTTATATATTCATTCTACTATTCAAGGATATTTGCATTGTTTTGCATTTTTAGCTTTACATTTAATGTTGCTATGAATGCTTTTGCGCATATATTTTGGTATATTTGTGCATGGGCCATAAAATATGTGTATATTCAATTTTAATAAATAATACTAAATAGATTTCCAAAGTGCTTATATCAATTTACTTACACTGCCACTAATAGTGCACATGAATTACTCCACATCCTCATCAACACTTAATGAAGTCAGTCTTTTAATTTCAGCTCATCTAGAATGTATTTAAGAATTTAGCTAATAAAATGGTAGTCTCTTACTGTGTTTTAAATTTGTATTTCTCTGGTAGCTAATGAAGTCGAAGTTCTTCTTAGATTCTTTTGGAAAGTTCCTGATCAAATTTTTTACACATTTTCCTTTTCATTGATCTTGAATATAAGCCTTTGGTCAAGTACATGGTTCACAAATATAAACATTTATATTTGTTGGTATTGCATTTTTATTCTTTTAAAGGTCTATTTTGGTAAACAGAAATGCTTAATGTCAATCATCAATTTATGTTTAATTTATCAATTATGTTCATTAGGTTTAGTGTCTTTTTAAAAATCTATTTCAGAAATCGGTTCTTACATCAAAGTCATGAAGATATTCTCCATCTTTAGTATTTCTTTTAGTGCAAGTCTACTGGATACAAATTTTCTCAGCTTTCATTTGTCAAAAATTCCTTATTTTGCTTTATTTTCATTAATATTTTCAATGTTTATAAAATTTTAGTTTGGCTGATACCTAGCCCTTTAAAGATGTCATTCCACTTGCTCCCATGAGTATGTTGTACAGTCAGCTGTAAGCTTTATTCTTGATCCTTTGAAAGTAAAGTATTCCCACTATTCCCGCCTGCTTTTAAGATTTTCATTTTGTCTTTGGTTTTCAGCAGCTTGACTAAGATGTGCCTATTCTAGTTATCTTGGGGTTTGCATAGACTCTTGAACCTGTGGGTTGTTGTCTTTCATTATATTTTAAAACATATACTTAGCCATTCTGTCTTCAAATATTATTTATGCTCTTTTCCCTCTTCTCCTTTGGGGACACAATATTCTGTATATGTACACAATATTCTGTACTGTTCATTCCATTATTTTTCTCTCTTTGCTTCAGTTTGAATAAATTCTATTCCTCCCCATCTTCTGTTATGTCCAGTGTACTGTTAAATTCATCTAATGAATTCTTCATTTCAAATATTGTATTTTTCAGTTCTAGACCGCCCAGTTGCTTTGTTCATATATATTCAATTATGTTGAAATTCTCTATATTTTCTCTTGTTTTTCCATGCCATCCTTTATTTTCTTGAATGGCTAATCAATTTTTAAAATTTCTCTTTGATAACTCCAATATCTAAATCACCTGTGAGACTATATATAATGTTTACATTTTTCTTAACGTTTGTTTCTCTTGGTCCTGTCTTTTTTACCATAACCTTTAATTTTTATATTTTATTTTGCTCATTGTAGATAAAAATTGTAGAGGCTCCGATAATGATGTTTTTCTTCAAAGAAAGTTTTTTTCTTCCTGTCAGGCAGTTCTCTATCAGTGAATCACCTTGGGTCCCATGGAGGCTTGATTTTCAGCTTTGTTAGAGGTGGTCTCTATTCCTCATGCAACGATTTAAAAAAATTCCCACAGGGAAAACAACCAGGGTTAATGTAGACATTATCTTGTGTGAGCACTATTCGCAATAGCAAAGACCTGGAACCAACCCAAATGTCCAACAATGATAGACTGGATTAAGAAAGTGTGGCACATACACACCATGGAATACTATGCAGCCATAAAAAATGATGAGTTCATGTCCTTTGTAGGGACATGGATGAAGCTGGAAACTATCATTATCAGCAAACTATTGCAAGGACAAAAAACCAAACATCGCATGTTCTCACTCATAGGTGGGAATTGAACAATGAGAACACATGGACACAGGAAGGGGAACATCACACACCGGGGCCTGTTGTGGAGTGGGGGGAGGGGGGAGGGATAGCATTAGGAGATATACCTAATGTAAATGACAAGTTAATGGGTGCAGCACACCAACATGGCACATGTATACATATGTAACAAACCTGCACGTTGTGCACATGTACCCTAGAACTTAAAGTATAATAAAAAAAAGAGAGAAAAAAAAAGAATACCAGAAAAGAAAAAAAAGAAATTATCTTGTGTGCTTCCCTTCTCTCACTCTCACAATTGTGCCTTTCAGTACTGTCTACATTAGTTGCTGCCCACTGCTTCACACAGTCATTTTGTACATTTTATTCAGCTTTTATAGGATTTTTTCTTGGCATGAAAGTTAGTCCAATTTAAGTCACTCCATTATGTCTGAAAGCAGACACTTGATTTGTCTCAATTAGAGATATTTTACAAAGCTTTTATGGCCTCACTTTTTACATGCCTGATTGGAATATAGAATGTTGGCGTTGTGAGTATGTGCGTGTGTATTTGTATATACACATACTTCTACTGCTTTCATGCTTCTGTTAATTACTCCTTGTATTTCAGTTTTTGCTTTATGTATTTTTAAAGCTGTAGATGGCACTTTCTATAAATTTAAATGTCCAATTTTGTCTCAAGTATTTTTTCTAGCCATTGCTGTCATAAAATTTCTTTCTCTCGCTAGTAGTTTGGTAGCCTGGAAAAAATAGGAGTGGAGAAACTCCAGAGACCATAATAGCAGGGAGAGTTACCACCTTACCACTTTGTTTCTTATCGTCTTTGCCAAACCATCCAAACATTTATCTGTTTTGTTCACCGTTGCCTGTCATGCTTTCCATATAGAATAAACTTTTAATGTTATTTAATTGTAACTTCTCTTTTAATCAGCAGTCTATTGTGGTTTTGTATTCTAATAGAAGATGGAAGCCTTTGCCTTTTAATAAATAGCACTTATTACGTGTCAGATTTTATGCTTTTTTTTTCAGTCACCTTGATATTTCTTTTTTGTTATTCCATTTACTCTAGGAAACTGTGATTCACTTCCCCATGTAAAACTGATCCCCAGGCATTCAATCTATTCCTTAGTCGTTAGTGGTTGCCCACTAAGTTTCAAGCGAGGAGACAGCTTCCTGACTTTCAATCCATTAATACATTTTGATCACAGTCCCACCACTTAACTATCTTTGTCATCTCAGGTAAGGTCCTCAGTTTTGTCACCTCTAGAACAAATCAATTAAACAAAATGATTTGTTCTCTACAAGTATAAAGGTTTAAAAGATAGTATTCCACTAGGCTTTTTTGCTTATTTTCTTAATAAAAACACCCCAAATATTTCTAAAGCAGCAGGCTTCTTAGCTTTCTCTGAAATTACTTCAGGCAAAGGCACTATTCAATTATGCTTATCAGCTCAGACTGATGGGCTATATGTCTAAAATTGGCCCATAAAGGTAAAAGCATTATTAATTAATACATGAAAGCTTAGGAAATAAAGTACTTTGGAAAATCTATGAATTTTCATTTGAATAACATTACAAAAGAATTTAAGTTGCAAGACCATATACAACATCATAAGTTAGGGAGGAAAATAAAGAATAAAAAGAAATTTCAGATACAGAACCAATGGAGATGGAATTACTAGTTTGGGATGAACGGACTGGAAATAAACAAGCTACTGTTTCCTTCCTCGTCTTTTCACAATCCGCTGCAATGGATTCAGAAAAAGAAAGATTGTAATTGTTACAGCCTGTTTATTTCCACCAGGGGGAGGTATAGTATTGCAAATAAAGTTAAATTATTTAACAAACAGAGTAATAAAATAGCTATTGACTGAAAACAGGCTTTTTTTTTCTGGTTTTGCAGAAAGAAGGTAGGGAAGAGAGAGTTCTAAGACTGTGTGAATTAACCTTTCATGCTTAATTCCTGTACCATTTGATAAGGAGAAGAGAAACTCCTGTGTAGGAATTCAATAAAATTTGTCCTTCTCCAGAAAAAACTTCATACTATAATTTTGAAAAAAATAAAATATATATTGACATAAACTTCACCTTTGTATTAACTCTTCCTAAGATATATGTCATTTTCAATGAAAATCTATGAAACCTTTGTCAAAATTGACCTGGAATATGAGTGAAATGATAATAATTGTGGGTTTTACAAATTAATTTGAAATAATTTAGAATGTATCAAGCACTGGTCGATGAGGGAAGGATATAAACAACACACAACTAAGGGCTGCTGCCCAGGAGGCACCAACAATTAAAGGCTGAGATCGTGGTAAGCAGATCCAAGGAATGAAAGGAAAAAAAAGAAGGTGTTTGAAACAAACTCTTGGAGGCCCCAGAGTCTGCAGTGAACACAAAAACTGCAGGGGCTGGAAGCAGAGGAGCAGGGGCAAGTCGTGGGGGAGAGGATGGCTTGGCCTGCAGGATGGGAGCATCGGGAAGGACCACGGGGTGAGAGAGGCAGAGCTTCACTTTCAGGAAAAGTGGGAGCTAAGGCATGGCTGGAGAGGTGGCTTCGCATTATGGATGACCTTGAGTGCAGAGCCAAAGATGAGAGATGTGGCCAGATGAGGCACGATGACAGCAGCATCAGGTGGGGGTGTGCGGGTGGAAGGGGACTGAGCTGAATGTCCCTGAGTCTCAGACCAGAGAACCAGGCTCAGCCAATACTTTCTCATGCTCACATCTCTGGTCAAGTCACAGAAGGACTCACTTCCACCACCTCCTCTATGCTGCAAACGAAATGCCACCCACACGGTACCCTTCTTTGTTTGAGTTATGTAAATTAAAAATAGTGTGATATAGGAAAGATTAATAAAATCTCACTCCAAATGAGATGGATCTTCTCCAAACTAGGAAGAAGAATCACTGAGAATTGCATACTGTAATTTCAAAGCTTGCAAGCAGAGTCCATTCTAGCTTGTCTTTATGCTATTGTCATATGGCAGGAATAGTTCCACTGTGTACAGAAATTCCTACCCATCCTTTAAAAAATTATATGAATATTTTAAAATTTCAAAGCCGCTTGCAAGCTTTGAAATTACAGTATGCTATTCTTGGTGATTTTTTTTCTTAGTTTGGAGAGAATCCATGTCATTTGGAGTGAGATTTCATGAATCTTTCCTATATCAAATTTACATAGCTCAATATAAAACAATAGACTTTCAAAAACAGATGCGTCATTAATTATCATTCAGCTGATTTTCTCTGCCATGTGAAATCCAAATATATCTCAATGGTCCACGTGGCCCATTCTCACCATGGTGTCATCCAAAGCATGCGAAGTAACTGTAATGCCAATCACAGTCATGTCTCTAAGAAAGTTAAATGACATATATTTCACACACGACAGTAATCCTTTTAAAATTCCTTTTCTTCTTTTCTTTTTTCTCCCTCTCTACAAGCCCCTAAACTTTTCTGAAGCCTACCCATTTGCTTTTTCTGTTTCTTCTCTGCTTTGCTTTTTCTGCGTTCTAAGTCAGCTTAGCCTTTCTACTTTCTTTTAGGTTTCTTTCCTCTACAACCGTGAGCAGATTCTCCATAACCAGTGAGATCTCAGATCTGACTCAGGAAAGGGTGTCTTCACCATGTAGCCAACACTTTTATTTTTTATTACCCTTGCTTTGTTATATAATATTTTAACATAAGGCTTCAACTACCTCCATACTACTTTGATTTTTTTCCTCCGCATCATTCTTAATGTTTTTCAGTGGCCTCTTCTAAAATAGCAAGTAGTATAATAGTGCTTCTTTGGCCTCCTCACCATTGACTTTTTTGTGTTTTTTTGGTTTTTTGTTTGTTTTTTGAGATGGAGTTTCACTCTTGTCACCCAGGCTGGAGTGCAATGGCACAATCTTGGCCCACCACAATCTCTGCCTCCCAGGTTCAAGCGATTCTCCTGCCTCGGCCTCCCAAGTAGCTGGGATTATAGGCGCCCGCCACCATGCCTGACTAACTTTTGTATTTTTAGTAGAGATGGGGTTTCACCGTGTTGGCCAGGCTGGTGTCGAACTCTTGACCTCAGGTGATCTGCCTGCCTCGGCCTCCCAAAGTGCTGGGATTATAGGTCTGAGCCACCGTGCCCGGCCTGTCACCACTGACTTCTGATTTAAGGACACAGATTGTCACACAGCAACGGTACCACCACTTCTCGATGGCTTAGATGACGTTCCCATAGGAGATAATAACGATGTTAAAATTGCACGACAATGGTTGCTCACAGAAGTTCAGATGCAAACGAACAGCCACGTGCTTCATATTATTCTTTTAAAAGCTGGGTAGGAATTTCTTTTCAGTGGAAGTATCCCTAGCATATGACGACAGCACGAAGACGAGTCAGAATTGGCTGTGCTTGCAAGCTTTGAAATTATAGAATGCAATTCTCAGTGACTGTTTTTCTTAGTTTGGAGAAGATCCATCTCATTTAGAGTGAGGTTTTTAAAATCTTTCCTATATCACACTATTTTAATTTACATAACTCAAACACATCGAAGGTGGCGTTTCCTTTGCGGCATAGAGGAGGTGGTGGAAGTGAGTGAAAGTGTGCTGGATAAAGCCCAAAAGAGTCTGGAATCAGATCCCAAGAAGGACCCAAAGCAGGTGGGGCTGGGTGGAGGTTCGGGCTCTGCCTAGGGTGGGAGGAAGGCAACGGGCAGAAGGGCCCAGCAGAGAGCACTGGGAGTGCCGGGGCAGGTCCTGGTCCTGCCACCATCCTCTCCCTGCCCCGCCCCCTGCACGGACCCAGAAGGCGCTGGGCCCATCCCTCCATCAGCTCCCTGCCTGCAAGAGTCCTCCTGGCTCTGCCGCAGGCTGTTGCAGGGCTTAAGGGCTGACCTCTGGTGGAGCTGCCTGCACTTCACACCACCTGGATCACTACCACCCACACAGAAGCGGGGCTGCTGGTCTTGGAGATGAGGGGCCTGGGAATAGGCTGAGCGGCTAGTGAACACATGGCAGGGCAAAGCCCCTCTGCTGGTATCAAGTCTCAGCAGCCACGAATCACGCACAGGCAGGCTCCGTCGCGCTCTGACTTCACCGGACAGCCCCCACCGGGGCCATAGACACCTCTATGAGGAGTGTGGGGGCTGAGAGACTTTCTTCTTCGGGGAAGCAAAGAACAGGGAGCAACAAGGTCTGAGCTGCAAGGCAAGGAAAGGCATGGAGCTCAAAGAAGGAGGTGAGAAGAGGAGGAGAGAGGACACCTCGAGATGGGGCTGCAGAGAGGGGAAGACTCTGGCTCTGGAAGAGATTAAAGAAAGGACAGAGTAAGGACTAGAGAAAATTCTAGAGTCCTGGAATAGCTCTGAAGAAAGTACAAATTTACCCTTATATTAAGTGTGTTTTATCAAAGAAAATGCCAAAGAACAAATAAGAAACCAGTAAATAAAGTTCAGTATTTTCACCTAAAAGCTTGACTCATATTTTCATGAGTACCAATGATTGATTTCTAAATCTATTAGTCAAGGTTCTGCAGAAAAATAGAACCAATATGAGATACACACACACAGACACATATACACACACTATATATATATATATATATATATATATATATATATATATATATATATGTATATATAATGGATATATGTATATTCACTTGACCCTTGAACAACAAGTGGGTTGAGGGTTTCAACTCCCTGTGCGGTTCAAAATCTGCATATAATTTTTGACTCCCCCAAAACTTAACTACTAATAGCCTACAGTTCATCTGAAGTCTTACCCATAACATCAACAGTTGATTAACACATATTTTGTATGTTATATGCATTATATACTGTATTATTGCAATAAAGTATGCTAGAGAAAAGAAAATGTCACTAAGAAAATCATAAGGAAGAGAAAATATGTTTACTATTTATTAAGTGGAAGTGTATAATCATAAAGCTCTTCATCCTGGTCATCTTCATGTTGAGTAGATGGAAGAGGAAGAGGAGGGGTTGGTCTTTTTCTCTCAGGAGTGGTAGAGGTGGAAGAAAATCCATGTATAAGTGGACCCATGCAGTTTGAATCTGTGTTGTTCAAAGGTCAACTGTATATAATGTACACACACACACACATACACACACACACGAAAAGAGAGAGGGGGCAGGGAGAGAGAGAGCAGGAATTAGCTCACACAATTATAGGAGCTGGCAAGTATGAAATCTGCAGGGCAGACTGTCAGGTTGGAAATTCCAGTAAGAGTTGATGTTGCAGTCTTGAATCCAAAGGTTGTCTGGAGGCAAAATTTCTTCCTCTTCAGGGAACTTCTGTCTTTTCTTTTATGGCCTTCAACTGATTGGATGAGGCCCACCCACATTATGAAGGATTCTAGGCTTTATTCAAAGACAGCTGATTTAAATGTTAACCACATCTAAAAATCGCCTTCACCGCGACATGGAGACTGGTGTTTGACCAAACAACCAGGCACCATGGCCCAGCCAAGTTGACGCATACAATTAACCATCACACAAAGCAAGTCCCTTTTTGATACTTTTCAATTTAATACATCTTATATCCTTAGTCTGAATTTTCACATCTTCAAACTTTGAGGGAAATAAGTAAGGATTTTGAAAAGCGCCAGGAGAGTTGATGTGCTTCACATGAGCTAGTTCCCAGCGGTGGCCTCCTGAATACGTTTCTCAGATTTCTATTTCAAGAGAGCGTAAAGGATCCATTGGTGTTTTTATCCTACACACCGTGAAAACTCTGCCACCTCCAGGAAATAAAAGGCCAATGTTGGTTTTATTAAGATCACAAACCTATGCTGGTGGCCTGGGCTGAAATGCCAGCTTCACCCTGAAATGCTGTTGTTCTGTTAGGAAGCTGAGAACATGACTTCAGGGATGAGGCTGCCTGAGATTAACACAAAGCATTTCAGCATCTGAGGACTCGCTTTGGGGTACTTAGATACCCTTAGATACCCTTAGATACAAGGGTATCTAAGAAACACGTGCTCTGCAAGGCCTGAGTTATCATTTCATGTGTGTCTTGCCCCTGCAGGTTGGACTTCTCCCCTGGAAATCTGAGGACCTTACTCCACTGGACAGACCATGGGTGACACTGACTCCTTCCTTATGAATATTGGCTGTGAAAAGGAAAGCTCTGTGGACAAATATAAAAACCAGAGGCTGGGTGGGATTATGTGCAAGGATTCCCTGGCCATGGGGCTTTGAGCTGCTCACAGAAAACCCTGTATCCCAGTGTTCTCATCAATAGGAGGTGGCTGTCGTCCTGGCGATATCTGAATATCTGAAGACCCTTAGCAGCCTCATATTCCATGATCCAGTGATTATAAATTATACCAGTCCAAAATCTCAAAATGGGCTTTCCTGAAGGTGACTTCTAGATGCTGGAGAAAAGTCATTTCATTCTGAACCTTCAGACCTGGGCCCCTTATTACTTGTTTGGGCTTGTCTTCTTCACCAGGTCACAGCCTGCTGGGGCAGAGAATGGGGGCTCTTCTTGTTCACCCCTCTGCCCCTGAAATCACTGTAGGCCTCTTAGAAAACATCTTGTGATTCATGAAAGAGGGAAGCAACGTGTGAATTAGTAGCAAATAGTTTTTTAAATTGTGGTAGAATACATGTAAGATTAAAATGGACCATTTTAACCATTTTTAAGCACAGAGTTTAGTAGCATTAAGTACGTTCTCATTGTTGAGCAACCATTACCACCATCCAGTCCCAGAGCTCTTCGTCTTATAAAACTGAAACTCTGCACCCATCGAACAACTCCCTATTCCTTCCTCCTCCCAGCCACTGACAACCACCATTCTTTCTCTCTCTATGAATTCGACTATTCTAGAGGTATTAGCTAGGGTCTCCAAAGAAACAGAACGGATAGGGTAGACGATAGATAGATGATAGATAGATAGATAGATAGATAGATAGATAGATAGATAGATAGATAGGAATTTATTATGGGAATTGGCTCACATGCTTATGGAGGCCAAGAAGTCTCACAGTCTGCTGTCTGCAACCTGGAGAACCAGGAAAGCCTATAGTGTGATAGAGCCTGAGTCCAAAGGCCTCAGAACCAGGAGAATCAATTGTATAAGTCCTAGTCTGAGTCCGAAAACCTAAGAACCAGGAGAATCAATTGTATAAGTCCTAGTCTGAGTCTGAAAACCTGAAAACCAGGAGCTCCAATATCTCAGGGCAGGAAAAGATGGATGTTTCAGCTCAAGCAGAGAGAACAGACTCATCCTTCCTCCTTTTTGTTCTCTTTGGGCCTTCAACAGTTTGGGTGATGGCTGCGCACACCTGTGAGCACAGTTCTTTTTTAATTGGTCTACAGATTCAAGTGCTAACCTCTTCCAGAAACACTCTCAGAGACACATCCAAAATAATGTTTTACCAGCTATCTGGGCACCCTTTAGCCCGGTTAAATTGACACAGAAAATTAACTATCTCACAAGGTGCCTCCGGTAAAAGAAACTGTGCAGTGTTTGTCCTCTTGCGACTGACTTATTTCACTTAGCATAATGTCCTCAGCAATCATCCATGTTGTAGTGTGTGTCAGAATTTCCTTCCTTTTAAAACGGAGTATGATTCCCTTGTGTGTATACACCACAGTTCGTTTATCCATTCATCCAGTGATGAACACTTCAGTTGCAACCTCCGTTGTTTGGCTTTTGTGAATAATGCTGCTAGGAACATGAGTTTGCAGATACGTGTTCAAGACCTTGCATTTAATTCTTTTATGTTTTTGCCCGGAAGTAGAATTGTTGGATCCTATGGTGATTCTGCTTTTAATTTTTTGAGGAACGACCACACTAGTTAGCAACAAGTGATTTTGAAATAAAATTGTTTCATGAAGTGATGCTTCTCTACAAAGGCAGCCCCTAAGAGCCCTTTGGGGGCAGGAACCAAGTCCTCTCTTTTGTATTCTTGGAGTGGGAAGCACTACAGGCATCAGAATCAACTATGATTTCCGCATTACTGCTCAGAAAAGAGGAGCAAGCTTCCAGAAGCAGACCTGAGAATTCCTGAACTCAATAACGGCTCCTGTAACAAAGCTCATGTCCCCTTTTCACAGCTTCCCAGACAAGACCTCCTCTCCAGGACACCTCCCTGATTGAACCCCCCTATTTATTTATTTATTTATTTATTTATTTATTTATTTTTGTTTTGAAACAGAGTCTCACTCTTATTGCCCAGGCTGGAGTCAATGGTGCGATCTCTGCCCACTGCAACCTCTGCCTCTCGGGTTCAAGTGATTCTTCTGCCTCAGCCTCCCGAGTAACTGGGATTACAGGCATGTGCCACCACGCCCGGCTAATTTTTGTGTTTTCAGTAGAGATGGGGTTTCACCATGTTGGCCAGGCTGGTCTTGAACTCCTAACCTCCGGTGATTCACCTGCCTCAGCCTCCCAAAGTGCTGGGATTACAGGTGTGAGCCACCGCGCCTGGCCAGAACCCCCTTTATTTTGACATTGGTAGCTTTAAAGTGTCTTGCTGGCCTTCTTTAACCTCCTTGTCCCCAAGTCAGGCAATCCCTTTTAGAGACAGTGCCCCTAACGTAACATTTTAATAAGCCTAAATGCTTACCCCAATACTTTTTATAAACCAGAATGTCATATGTTAGAACCAACCTGAGCAAGTTTTACTTTGGAAGAAATCAATAACAGCAGGTTTCTCCTAGCATCTGTGGTGTCTAGGGCAAGGGTACAAAAGGAGACCCAGGTAGTGTGCATGTGTGTGCACGTGTGTGTGTGCATGTGTGTGTGCACGCATGTGTGTGCACGCGTGTGTGTATCGGGAGGTATAGGATACAGATATAGTAGAGAGATATTTAAAAGGTACAAATAAAACGAATGAATAAGTATGTTTCATCATTCTATCTTGAAAAGCATACCTTCATAAGAACAAAAATGGAGCGATATATGTAAAGCTGTTGTTTTAAATGACAGAAAGTTGGTAAAAATCCAAGACATCTGAATTTAATAATCATTGTGTATGCCTAAATATCCCGTGGATAGGCTACACTGTTTGAATAAGTAAGTAACAACATACATAATTGATAAGTTATATATTATCCATAAATTTTTGTCTTTTCTTAATTTTAGCAAAGAACACTAATTACGTTGTTAGAATCAATATTTTCATATAATTTGCATTCCATTGATAGTAATGACAAATTAAGCAAACTTTCTGAAATCATTAAGGTTCTCAGATCATTTTTTATTAGTTTTATTTTGAGGAAACTTTGACCCGCTAAAGCTATAGCTATTGGAATTGTCGATAAGTTTTAGGAAAGTACTGTGATGCAGAAACGTACCAGGAATTTACATAACTTATTCAAACATTGTAATAGGGCTGCACAAAAGAGATTGTCATTGTGGCATAAAATACAAAATGTTTTAATTTTATCATTTAAATTATTACCACTCGTATGATTTTTCCCATCCCTTAAAGCAATATCAAGATTCATAGATAAATAAAAAGAATCAGCTTTAGCATCACATATGTTGTATCTAGATCTATACATATAAAATGTAATAAGTGACACAAATTGTTTAATATTGAAAAATGTTGGTTGGGCGCAGTGGCTCACACCTGTAATCCCAGCACCTTGGGAGGCCGAGGTGGGAGGATCACCTGAGGTCGGGAGTTCAAGACCAGCCTGGTCAACATGGCAAGACCCAACATGGCAAAATTTAGTAGCAATTTTTCTTCTATAAATACAAAAATTAGCTGGGTGTGGTGGTGGGTGCCTGTAATCTCAGCTACTTGGGAGGCTCAGGCAGGAGAATCGCTTGAACCGGGGAAGTGGAGGTTGTAGTGCACCAAGATCATGCCACTGCACTCCAGCCTGAGCAAGGGAGCAAGATTTTGTCTCCAAAAAAAAAAAAAAAGAAAAAAGAAAAAGAAAAAACTTCCTGAGACACCAGGTGCAAGGGCTTCGAGTACTCTATTTATCTATGAATATTTCTGAAATCACTAACAGAAAATGGATTTTCAGCACTCCTGGGAAAGGATTTGGTTATGCAAGAATCGGTTGCATCCATGCTCTCTGCAAGGAAGAATTTGACAAGTCAATTAGTTTGTATCTTCTTTTTCAAAATGGTCGCAGTTCAGTGACCATCTCTGATAGCTGCAGTTGTGCAATCTACAAACCTCACAGCTTTTGGATAAAGTCACCTTTGGTCTCGAGACACAGACCTACAGAGAAGCATTTCCCTGGGGCCTACACAGTATTATTGACCAGAGCAGATATTTAGAGTTTAGGGTCACTTTTGCCAGAGACAAATTTCAGACCCTGAGCAATATATGTAAAGCTGTTGTTTTAAATGACAGAAAGTTGGTAAAATATCAAAGATGTCTGAATTTAGCCACTATTGTGTATGCCTGAATGTCCTGTAGACAGGCCATGCTGTTTGAATAAGTCATTTTGACCCTCTAATGCTTGGGGCCAAAGGAAGGGGCTCCTCTTGCCAATGTCAAAGGCAGAGTCAATGTGCAACTTTGCCTGAGAACTAGATGGATGGGAGCTCTTAGACTCCTTGTCCCAGGCACAGAAACTGACCAAAGAAGTGAGCTTTGGGAGTCAGCAGGTGGCGCCTGGTTTCCAATCAAAGGCTCTGACTCCAATCAAAGGCTCTGACTTTGCTCCTGACAGCCGTGGGTCCAGGGTCACTTTCCCATCCCAGTCCGGAAATGAAAAAGGGAGATGCAGCATTCTCAGGGGAGGGTGGGGCAAGGCAGAGGATCACTATCCAAATCATTAACTTGTTTAAATCCTGCTGGATTTCGCCATTAAGAGGCTGCCCACCACCCCCGTGAAATGTCCAGCAGCAGTTTGCAAGAGAGACACGCCACTTTCAGGCAGCCCCACAGATGGGGGTCGGGCTGGAGACGAGCAATGTGATCCCAGGGCCCAGTGCAGGCCATCTCCTGGAGTTCCTCAGAAGAGATGCTGATGGCAGAACTTTAAAAAAAACTCTTCATTTTAATTGGAAGACGGGGCTGCTTTTAGGGCGAGGGCTGGATTTGGTTCCATGGAAGACCAAAAGTGTGTCTATTTTGGGGCATATGATCCAAGGAAGCGCCAGGCAAATGGGGCCCTCACACCATGTGAAAGCTTCTGGGGGTCCAGTGAGGACCACCCGCCAACAGAAGCGCAAGACAAGAATGCGTTTTATAGGGCATGGGCTCACACACTCCACATTCTGTGCTTTACAAACAGGTGCCTTTTGGGTCCTTACAGAGCCCTATAAAAGACATCCTATTATTATCACACCATTATACACATGAGGTCAGCAAGGCATAAAGACTTGGAGAAATGGCCCAGGGGTGTCAGTTCCAAAGCTCATCCCCTTAACAGGTTAAGGGCTGAACACACGTGGGGCCAACCATGAAAAGAACAAGAGCAACAGCAGCAGCAAACCCACAGGGACAGGCAGGACGGCAGTTTGCGTGGGTACCAGGCTGGCTGGGGAGCGAGCCACGCTCACTCTCCCGCAGCTTCCCCTCCCCAAATCAGCTCCAGCCTGAAGAGCAACCACTGGAAACAACACTTGCCACAAACCCAGCTTCAAGCAGGTGACCCTCCCAACCCTTCCAACCAATCCCCACTCCTCCAGTCCTCACCCCTTCCCAGGAACGTCACAGAAACTCTGTCATCCCCACTGTCCAGCGAGGCAGGGCTGCAGCCGCTCCTGGAGTGACAGGCTAACCGTGGGACAACTCACAATCAAATGAACCCTCTTCCGCGTACCCAATGCAGATGTCAACACCGACACACACCTCCATGGATGACGACGTGCACCCACGCATCCCCACAGCGCACGTCCAGCAAGCTCAACAAATCATCACAAAGTCAAGGGCTTAACACAACACCTGTTTATTAGCTCATGGTTCTACAGGTCAGAAGTCCGACGACATCTGGGTGGAGTCACAAGGCCGAAAGCAAGGCGTCAGCTGGGCCGCACTGCTTTCTGCAGCTCTGAGGATGACTCATTGGTGGGCAAGTCTGGTTCCCCGCAGTTGTGGAGGGAGGTCTCATTTCCCTGTGGCCTCCACTGGGAGCCAGTCTTTGCTCCTCGAGGTGACCTGTATTCTTTCCACTTTCCACGTGGCTTCTCCTCCAGCCACAGCCACTCCGTCCCTCCCACACTCCAGATCCTACAACTCTCTCTGTGGCAACAGCTTTGGGCTGCAGCTGGACAAAGTTCTGTGCTCTTCAGAGTAAAGGAAATCAAAATATTTCTCCTCAAAATATTGAGAACTGTTAGTTCAAGACACTGAAAACGCAGGGAAACACTGCCTTGGCCTCCGCTTACCTGATGGCAGGACTTCAGTCCCTCCTTCCTGGAGACAGTGCTTGTCATCCACCCAGAGAAGGCAGCAGCAGACACCAGAAGAGTCTGGGAATGCATTTTACCATCTTCCTCTAGTTTCCCACCTTTTAAAAGATGAGAGCTGCTCTCACCTTCATCTTGTCACTGTATAGAATTTATGGCTCTTCATTAGAATACTGTTTACGCAAGGCCTCTAAGCCACTGCCTTCAGAGAGAAATACTTTTGAACTGAGACCTCTCTCATGTGATGGGTACAGCAGGTGTTAATAAACGTCTGCTTGTTTTTCTTTAGTTAATTTGACTTTTGTTTTCAGGAGAGTGTCTCAACTAAGAACCCAGAAAAAGGGAAAGGATAGAAAAGAAATTATGTTTTGTCTCCTACAAGGGCTCATGTGATTAGATTGGGCTCACCCGTATAAGCCAGGAAGATCTCTCTATTTTAAAATCACATATATTTTCTTTTGAGACGGAGTCTTGCTCTGTCTCCCAGGCTGGAGTGTAGTGCCGCAATCTCAGTTCACTGCAACCTCTGCCTTCCAGGTTCAAGCGATTCTCCTGCCTCAGCCTCCTGAGTAGCTGGGACTACAGGTGCCAGCCACTGTGCCTGGCTAATTTTTTTTGTATTTTAATAGAGACGGGGTTTCTTCATGTTGATCAGGCTGGTCTCAAACTCCTGACCCCAAATGACTCTCCCGCCTTGGCCTCCCAAAGTGTTGGGATTACAAGCAGGAGCCACTGGCGCCAGGCCACAAATCCATAATCTTAACCTCATTTGCACATTCCCTTTTGCCACAGAATGGTACCCATTCACAGGTCCTAGGTATAAGGGTGAGGGTGAGAACATCTTGTTGATGGGGGAGGGGTGTGAGTCTGCCTGCAAGTGGGCTGGGGGAAGATTTTATGGACCTCATTGTCTTTACATGATAAAAATACCACTTCCAAGTTGAACTCGGCCTGTAAGGTTTTCCCCAATTTTCAAGTCTTTTCTCCTAAACAGAGTCTATCAGTTGTAGTGGCCTCTGGGGAGGGAGGAAGGGTCCCTAGGCAAGAGTGGGGCAGGCAGACTGCTTGTCACTGTTTTCTCTTTTGTATCCTGATACTTACTCCATGAGCATGTTTTGCCTTTTACAAAAAATTTTGTTTTTTAAATGCCTTTTACTGCATGGCAATTATCCATTTCTCATATCAATGACCACCTACCCACCCACTCTGACTGCTATTTTGAGTTGGAAGCTGTTCACTTACACAAAAATTACAGCTTCTGGTGTGTGTGTGTGTTGTTTAATTGTTTCATAGACATTAGGATGCGGGTATGGTTTGGCTCTGTGTCCCCACCCAAATCTCATGTTGAATTGTGATCCTGAGTGTTGCAGGTGGGGCCTGGTGGGAGGTGATTGGATCATGGGGATGGTTTCTCATGTTGCAGCACCATCCCCCCAGTGCTGCCTCGCAATAGAGTTCTCACGAGGTCTGTCTGTTTGAAAGTGTGTAGCACCTTCCCCTTTGCTCTCTCTTCCTCTTGCTCCTGCCATGTAAGGCATGCTTCCTTCACCTTCGCCTTCCGCCATGATTGTAAGTTTCCTGAGGCCTCCCCAGAAGCAGAAGCCTGTACAGCCTGCAGAACGATGAGCCAATTAAAACTCTTTTATATAAATTACCCAGTGGCAAGTATGTCTTTATAGCAATGTGAGAACAGACTGATACAGACAGGGACTCAAACTTTGTTTTTAAATCATCTAGCAAATTTATTGAAAATGCAAATTCCCGGGCTTCATTAGGACCCCTGAGAATTCCGATGCAGGTGGTCTATGGAGCACCCCTTTAGAAATGTTGCTTGGAAGAAGATTTCACCCCGTATTTCCAACTAGCTGTGGGACTAGACAAAGTCTTAATGTCCTAATATCTCTGGAGGCCGGTTGACTTAGCAGAAATACTGGGGTTAAAATACCTGCTTGTACACGGGGAAAGGGACTCTAGCTGCAAAGTACAGGGCCTCAGAACCAGGAGCGCATGAGTACTTGGCTGTTACTCTCACATTTCATTTATACCAATGTGTGCTGTTTGGGAGGACTGGGCACCCAAGACATGAATCATTCATAGGATGTTAAAGAAAGAAAAAATTAGCAAGAGACTAAAAAGTCCAGTGGTACAAATAGCAGACAGTGGTTCGTGGAAGACAAATGTCTTTGGAAAAGCATTTTAAGAAAGAAGGAGAGGGAGAAAGAAAAGCAAGTGCATTTGATTCCGATAATCCAAGTAAAGAAATCGAAGGAGCTACAGATTTGCTCTGGGCAGGAGCACATTTGTCCCTGGGGTTGGCAGGTCAGTGGTGTGCCCTCCCCAGCTGCTGCCCGCACTCAGAACCCAGCCGCAGCCCGGGAAGCCACGTGCACAGGCTGCTTCCTTGGAAATGAGTTTTCCTGGTGTATAATCTTCCTTTTCCATCCGTAACTGTTGGCATCATCCACATCCCCTTCCCTTAAATAGAAACACTTATGAGCAAAGCCCAAACTTCAGCGTATATTGGCTTAAACGTTATCCTCCGTCGCCAAGGGCCAAAGCAGCAGCTGAAACTGGGGCCCATATTGTGTGGCTGTTTAAAGTCACTGGAAGTGCCTTGATGAGATCTTTGCCTCCCTGTGTGCCAGTCCAGTGTAAAACAAAGTTGAAAAAAATAGAAAACAGTTCCAAGAGAGAGCACTGGCTTGAGGCAATTCTCTGGTACAATAACATCCTATTGAGAGGAAGGGCTCCTAAAAACTTCCAGATGAAGCATCCCGTTCCTGGCTAGAGGACTCAGCCCGTAGCATCCTCCAGGAAACGTGAATTCAGGCAGCAACGTCCCTGAGAACAGAATGTGTGCCACTGCTCCCAGTCCGAGCAGACTGCCTTGCTAACGGGGGCTTCAACTCCCTTGAATGATGCTGGCATTTCTTTGTTGGACCCTCAGTCTCTTTCATCGAGAGAGGGGGGAGGCAGAGTAGGAGGACGTTTAGAAGCTATTTCCCAGACTCCAGTAGCTGCAGAAATCAGAATTTACAAAGCCAGGGAGCAGTTTCTTCTGCTTGCTGATAGCTCCTGCCCTGTGTCTTTTGTTGGCATTCCTCTTTAGGGTAGATGGGTGTTTCTTGGTCTGGGAACTAAGCGCCTTCAGACAAAAGTGGTACCTTTGGCCCCATCAATTGCATTTGTAGATGGAGGGCCTCGGTTAAAGACGTGTTTTCAGGATATGGTGTTCTGCAGTGAGAGAGCAAAAGTTTTTCCTGAGGTTGAAAAATGATGACCAGCTGGAGCTGGGAGGCCTCCAAACCTCCTTGGCCCTATGGTCCCCAAGTTCTCTTTCCCACGGAGCCTGTGCATGTGAGCCTCCACTTAAAAAGAGCCTCCACTTACCAGCCCAAATGCCCATCAACCAACAAGTGAATAAAGAAATTGTGGTATATATATATTATGTATATATAATATCCCAGCTCCAGCGGGTCATCATTTTCCAACCTCAGGAAAAACTTTTGCTCTCTCACTGCAGAGCACCATATCCTGAAAACACATCTTTAACTGAGGCCCTTCATCTACAAATGCAATTGATGGGGCCAAAGGTACCACTTTTGTCTGAAGGCACTTAGTTCCCAGACCAAGAAACACCCACCTACCCTAAAGAGGAATGTGACCAAAAGACACAGGGCAGGAGCTACCAGCGAGCAGAAGAAACTGCTCTCTGGCTTTGTAAATTATATATATATAACAGAATACTACTCAGTTATAAAAAGGAATAAAATAATGGCATTTGAAGTTACCTGGATGGATTTGGAGACTATTATTCTAAGTGAAGTAACTCAGGAATGGAAAACCAAACATTGTATGTTCACACTCACAAGTGGGAGCTAAGCTATGAGGATGCAAAGGCATAAGAATGACACAACGGACTTTGGGGACTTGGGGGAAAGGGTCGGGGGAGTGAGGGAGTACAGTATACACTGCTTGGGTGATGGGCACACCAAAATCTCCGAAATCACTGCTATAGAACTTATTCATGTAACCAAACATCACCTGTTCCCCTAAAACCTATAGAAATTTAAAAACAAATAGGAAAGGAAAAAAAGAGCCTCCATTTAAAATGTGTTCTTATTCTGAAATAATTACTTCTCCATTTTTAATTCCTCAGCTGCATGGCTGAAGATCATTATATTATAACTGGTGTTAGAGAGTTGATATGATTCCATCCAAAAACAACAAAAAAGTCACATTTAAAATGTTGAAACTGGGCTGTCTTTATTTGTATAACGAGACTTCCTTCTTGATCTTGCTTCTTTCCTTCCTTCCCTCCTCACTCCCTTCCTTCCCTCCCCACTCCCTTCCTTCCTTCATCTCTTTCTCTCTCTCTCTCTCTGTTTATTTTTGTGAGACAAGGCCTTGCTCTGTCGTCCAGGGTAGAGTGCAGTGGCATGATCATAACTCATTGCAACCCCGAACTCCTGGGTGCAAAGCAATCCTCCCACCTTGGCCTCCTGAGTAGCTGGGACTACTGGTAAGCCAACATGCCTAGCTAATTTTTTTTTCTTTTTTGTAGAGATGGGATCGCCCTATGTTGTCCAGACTGGTCTTGAATTCCTGACCTAAAGCCTTCCTCCCACCTTGGCCTCCCAAAATGCCAGAATTACAGGTGTGAGGCACCACACCCAGCCTGCATTACTTTCTTGACGGGCCTTCTAGAGGTCCAAATCTCCAGGGTGAAAATCACTGACTGTCTCATACAAATGAGAGAAAGGTGGCTCAGAGGGGCAGAGTGACTTTCTCTGAGCTGCACAGCAAGCTGGAGGCACTGATTATAGCATGCCTTGGCCTAAGCTTGTGCTGTCCCTGTCCTGGATGTCGTCACCCCAGGGGTCTGTGTGGCCCCTACCTGCCTACATTCAGATCTTGCCGCACATTTCATCTCCTCAAAGAGGACTTCATGGACCATCTGCTATAGAATATGAGCTCCACAGGGCAGGTGATTTTGTGTAGTATGTTCGTTGCTGCATCTCCAGCACCTAAAGAGTAGGTGACAGCAGTGTAGGTCCTTAAAAAATGTGTGCTGAATGAACGAACGATCCTATACAGAAGACAGGAAGGTATTATTACCTCCATTTTATACACCAGAAAGGGGAGACACAAAGAGGTTAGGGAACTTTTCCCAGACCACTAACTTGTGATGTGCCAGGGCCCCTTGGTGGATACACAGGTGCATAAAGGTGCACACACCTACACAAGAAAAAGAACCCTGCAAAGCTGTCGGCTTAGCTGGAGTAAGTGAGAATGGAGGGATAAAAGACAAGGTGGAGACGCTGACAAGACCACATAATTTGGCCTTTTAAAAAATAAACCAAGGAGGCTGACTACTGCAAGGGTTTACACGGGAAAATGAACGTTAATATTCATCGCTTTTGTAATTGAAAGAGACAAACTTGGAAATTATTGGCATCGTGTTTTGAAACTAACAGGAAACTTAAGGAGCAATTTTGCTGCATCTCCTCATTGAACAGGGCCTAACACTAACATGCTTAGCAATGAAGTGACTTGTCTCCGTTAGCCTGGCACGGCCATGTTCTTTGACCCCCAGCACAGTGCTAGTTCTTTTAAATGATGCATTCAGGGTTCTCAAGTTTTTAACCCAATACCAGCAATCCTTTATTCTATGACAGATGCATAAAATTCTTTTTAAAACTCTTACTGAGGTCAGCTATACTGATTTCTATTCTGATATGATCTGCATTCGTTTTCTATGCTTGTATAACAAATTGGCACAAACTCAGTGGCTTAAAGCAACATAAATTTATTTATGTCTTTATTTTACTACATGAGAATATACAGCAACGGCACAAATGTATTATCTCACAGTTTCTGTAAGTCAGGAGTCTCCAGACAGGTTAACTGGGTCCTCTGTCCAGGGGGTCACCAGACTGAACTCAAGGTGTCACTGTAGGGGCTGTGGTTCTTTTGTAAGCCTCTGGGTCCTCAAAGCTCATGTAGTTGTTGGCAGAATCCAGTACCACGAGGCTGCAGCACTGAAGTCCCTGTTTTCTTGCTGGCTGTCAACTGGGGGTCACTCTCAACTCCTAGAGCGTTCCTGAAGTCCCAGCCAAATGGCCCTTTTAGGACATGGTAGCTCACTGCACAGCTGTTTGGTTGGTCTTCAAGGCCAACTGGCTGGTCTTGGAGTCTTATATGACAAAACATAATCACAGGAATGACTAACCTTTGTTGTATAACAAAGCCTAGCCTAAGGAGTGTCTGTTCCTCAATTCCGAGGTGAAATGCAGGGGGATTGCACACGATATGTGCGCCTGGGGGCAGACATCTCCTGGGCCACCTTAGAATTCTGCCTCCCACACCATTCATTTTCATTGGAATTCCAGCATCTCACTGGAATTCTTTTTAGTTCACTTCTTACATGATTTCTGAGAAAAACTTCACACAAATTTTGTTGTGCACACAAGTTGACCTTTAAATATTTCACCACTACTTCATATTTCATTCGGACATTATACAGATTCCTCTTTGAACCTGGCTTTACTGAGTATATTTACTCTCCACCAGAAATGGTATGCTTGGAATGTGATTTCATTTTATATCATCCACATCCCTAACTGCCAAAACACTGGCAGAGTTCACTCTTGAGGTTGCCCAAAGCTCTTATTTCCCAAAACCATCTTCCACCACATGTGCTAGTGACACGGTGCCTGCAACTTCGAGACTCTTCCTCCTTGCTTTTCAGCCCTGTCCTCCCTGGGCTGACCGTCTGCCTCCTTCAATAGTGGATGCCCCGAAAGGGAAGGAAGATGGGTTTAGAATCAAAGAGCTTCCAGAAACCCCGCTTTCCACTTTGATATTTTGAAAAGAATACAAAGTTCGTTTGGTTCTGGAGCTCTCGATTAATGAAAAATCACCAGGAGGCACAACTGTGGGACTAAATCAACAAATCCCAAATCTAGGAAGCAGATGCTTCGAGGACCTATTTATTTATTCAGCATGTACCTGCGTGGCATTTGTGACTCAGCTCCATAAATGCTCTTACAAGAAGGAAAATCCTCCTCTGAGGGTTTTTTGTACAAAAGAAGGGAAGAAGAGGCTCCTTTCCTGTTCCTGGTTTCTTAGCTTTCCTTTGATGCTTAATACCTGGCTCTGAATCTCACAGTTTTCTCTCTGCTCAAGTTACTGTCATCTGACCTCTAGCGGGTCACCCACTTGTTACAGCAAATCTCCCAGACAATAACTCAGGTTATAAATTACCACAATCTGCTAATGTTTGCATTTACTATTGTGTTTGTCTCTAAGAGGAAACAGTATTGCTCTATTTTAAAAAATGGCTTTGCACTAAGAGGTTGTTCTACCGTGTTCATCTCCAGTTGAATTATTTTTATCAGAGTAATAAATGATTTTAGAAAGCTTAAGGGATTGTGAGTAATTGTTATCAATCTAGAAGAGTATGGTTTCTGCTTTCATAGATCTAGATTTATAATAAAATAAAACTCTGACTCTAAGAATGTTTGGGGAGTTGATTCTTTGGTTAATTTAATTTATGGTTACATAAAAGCCAATCTAAATGTTTGTTTCAGTTACTGTTGTTGAAAGTCCGTCTAAAATGTGATGGTTGAAAAAAATATATAGAGATGCCTTTATTGAAAAAAAAATCTGGCTAATTCTATTTCTCTAATAAGTGTATGGAACTGAGTATAAGGTGCTTTAAAGACTTTTGTGGTAGACAGAGAATACATTTGGGGATATCTGTTCCGCTCAAAATGACCTCCCTAAGCTGTTGCTCTCTGGAGAGCTCTGACCATGTGTGTGTAAAATAATCCTGTCTTCTGGCCACAGTGGAGATGGCACCTGGCCCCAAGAGAGCCAGTCAGAACCTTTTATCTGGGAATTTGAGACTAGGACTAATAATAAAAGGGCAGTTTCTTCCAGTGGCTGAAATGATAACATGTGAACTTCAGAGCTCGGGACAGCCATTTTCTCGACAGCAGTTGGACTAAGGGATAGAGATGGCTGTCCTGTCAAGGAACTGGATTGAAATCAAATAGAAAGCCAGCATGTTCTCCCTAGGTGCCCACTGGCCTCCCGTGCCCGGCACTGGCCTTTCCTGAGGTCCAGTTGCATTTCTGCCATTAGCTTCAATGGTTCCTCTCTGTGATCTTATAGGAAACTCCCCATTTCTGCTTAAGCTGGCTGGTGTTACTTGCATCCCAAAGAAATTCACGCTTGTAGTTCCTGAAGCCATCATGCCGACCACTGGTCCTCTGGTCTGGCTCTGGTGTGGTCCTCCTTCCCTGTCCTCTGTGGTGTCCTTGTACAGCCCATCTCCCATCATCCAGGCATGAAACTTGGATGCTACTTTCCATGTCTCCCTCTGCCCTGCAGCCAAGCAGACGCCAGGACCTGTGCATCCCTCCCTGCTCAGCCTCTCCATATGCCAACTTAAAAAAACAACAATACCTTTTTAGTTTGGATGCTTGCACATTCATATGCAGTTGTAAGAAATACTGCAGAGAGATCTCATATAACTTTCGTCCAACTTCCCCAAGGGTAGCATAACTATAGTATAAGGCAATATCACACCACCAGAAAAATGACGCTGATACACAGAGAGACACGGGGAAGACAGCCCTGTGAAGGCAGAGGCAGAGATTGGAGGGGTGCTGCCATCAGTCAGGGAACCCAGAGCTTCCAGAAGCTTAAAAAGTCTGGGCTTCTTCCCTAGAGCTTTCGGAAGGAGCCAGCCCTGCCGACACCTTTATTTCAGACTTTTGCCTCAAAACACCACAATAGAATAAACTTTTGCTGTTTTAAGCCACCCAGTTGGGATAATTCTTTACAGTAGCCTTGGCAAACTAATACTAACCTTTTCCAGATTTCATTCATTGTGAAATGCGTTTGCGTGTGTGTGTGTGTTTAGTCAGATGTAAATTTATCACATATGTAGATACATGTGAGCACCCCTATAGTCAAGATACAGAAAAATTTCATTTCAATGATCCCTTGTGCTACCTTGGAAGATAGTCTCTGACAATCAGTAATCTGTACTCCACTTCTGTGATTTCCTCCCTTCAAGAGTGCCATAGAAATGAAATGAGACAATGTGTGACCTTTCAGGGTTGGCTTTCCCCACTCAGCATAATTCCCTTGAGATCCTTCCAAGTGGTTTGTTGTATGCATTAATAGTTTGAGTTTTTTTAATTGCTGAGTAGTACGCCATGGTATGGATGCACCACAGATTTTTTGTTTGTTTTTGAGACAGGGCATTACTCTGTCACCCAGGCTGAAGTGCGGTGGGGCGACCTTGGCTTATTGCAACCTCTATCTCCTGGGCTCAAGCCATCCTCCCACCTCAGCCTCCTGAGTAGCTGGGACCACAGGCATGTGCCACCACGCCTGGCTAATTTCTGTATTTTCTGTAGAGACAGGGTTTTGCCATGTTGCCCAGGCTGGTCTTGAACTCCTGAGCTCAAGTGATCCTGGCTTCAAGTGATCTTCCCATCTCGGCCTCCCAAAGTGCTGGGATTACCAGTGTGAGCCACTATGCCCGGCCTTACCACAGTTTTTTAACCATACACCCATGATGGATTACTTTGACTGTTTCCAGTTTTTGGCTATCACAAACAAGTCTATAATGAACACTGATGAACAAGTTTTTGTGTGAATAAAAGTTCTCATTTCTTAGGGTTAAATACCCAAGGGTACAACTGCTGGGCCATATGGCAAGTTCATGCTTGGTTTTGTAAGAAATGACTCATCCTCTTTTCCAGAGGATCTGTACCATTTCACATTCCCACCAGTCACATATGAGTGACCCAGCTTCTTCTCATCCTTGTCAACATTTGGCATGGTCGTTATTTTTATGTTAGCTACTCTGGCAGGTGTGTCTCCCATCCTATTCTGGTTTTATTTTACATTTTTCTGGCTGATCATGTTGTTCAGCCTTTCATGCGCTTATTTGCCATCTGCATATCATCACTGTAAGAGTTCTTCATGTATTCTAGAGGCAAGTCCTTTGTCAGATACGTGCTTTGCAAATATTCTTTCCCAGTCTACAGCTTGTTTCTTCAGTCTCTTAATGTGGTCTGTCAGAGAGCAAACATCTTTAACTATCACGAGGCCCAATTGATCAATTTCCTCTATTGTGGATGGTGATTTGGTGTCAAGTCAAAGAACTCTGACTAGCCCCGGATTTCAAAGATTCTCTCCTTGGGTTTTTTTCAAAAGTTTATAGTTCTATGTTTTATGTTTAAGTCCATGATCCATTCTGAGATAATTGTATATGGTGTGAGGTTTAGGTCAAGGTTCATTTTTGTTTGTTTGTTTTTGGACGATGGATGTCCATAGACAGTAGGCGTGTGCTAATTTTAAATAATTGATTCCTGTCAGTTGGTAATTGTATTTTTATTTTGTTTTTGTATTTTGCTCCCACAGGAGTCCCATGCTAAAGAGTGAGGGGAGAAGAAGGGAAAAAAGAGGAGATTGGCAAATCAAGGTTAAGGCATTCTTGAATCAAATACAAATAACACAACACAACATTCAAACCTTAGTTCCCACCTTGCCCTACCTACAGCGCTATGAGGATAAAGTGAAGGCGTGAGTGAGAAACTGCTTACAACCATGAAACCCATAAAGCAGACTTGGGTCATGGTTTGGATGTAAGTCCTGTCCCATGTGTGGCCAGTGTTAGAATGAAATCCCGCTGGGTAATTTACAATCACTTGTATTTATAAAGCATATTTATCTTAAAGTGCTTTCACATACAGTCTGCCTTTTGCCCTCACTGGTATTTAGTCATTTTCAGTCAAAAATATTGAGCCTATATTTATTAAATATATCTAATAAATTTAATAAATACATGAAATACAGTTAATAAATTTAATAAATATATTTAATAAATATAGGCTCAATATTTTATTAAATAAATCAGTCCTTTTATTAAATAAATCAATCCATTTATTAAATAAATCAGCATTTATTGAACATTTTATTAGCATTTACAGTGACAATAAAAGGGAGACTAGACACAGAGAGTAACATAAAAGCATATATGTTAACCTAAAGAATTGGAAATGTGATCTGTCATTCTTTTTTTTTTTTTTTTTTCGAGACAGAGTCTCACTCTGTCACCCAGGCTGCAGTGCAGTGGTGTGATCTCGGCTCACTGCAACCTCCGCTTCCCAGGTTCAAGCAACTCTCTGCCTCAGCGTCCCAAGTAGTTGGGATTACAGGCAACTGCCACCATGCCTGGCTAATTTTTGTATTATTAGTAGAGACGGGATTTCACCATTTTGGCCAGGCTAGTCTTGAACTCCTGACCTTGTGATCTACCTGACTCGGCCCAAAATGCTGGGATTACAGGCATGAGCCATCACGCTCGGCCATGATCTGTCATTCTTTAACAATGATTCTCATGTGACTACATACACTGAGCCTCAATGCAAGTCAGCCTCAAGTGCAGCTGGGCTGGCCACACAAGCAGGCACCTCTTGGGGGGAAGGGCCTTGACCTGGGTGAATTCTTTGCACCCCAGCTCTGGTTTCCAGAAACCCGATTTTGTTATTACACTGACAATGCCTATCTTTCTCAAGGACAGACACAAGTTAACTAGACTCATAAAAACTGATGTGTAAACCCTGAGGCTAATTTATCCATCAATAAGAAGAGAGGTGATTGTTGATGGGACAGAATGGTGTCCGTGTGACATGGCTCAGGGAACACTTTCTTCTGTAGGCTGTTTGCCAGGGCAGCTGGAATGATGACACTGCTTGATGCACAAAGAATTGGAAGAAGGTTGACCTTGGGATGTTCCTCTCATCCTAGGGGGTATGTGCCAAGGATACTTGACTGCACAAACCCCCTGAGGCAAGCTTCATTCAGCCCCAGGGAGCTAGAAGGGTCCTGCCAATGCTTGTGTCTAGGTTTCCACACCTGCCCAACACCCTTTCAACTCCAGCATGACCCAGTTCAGATGACTGGGTTTCTTTTGATTCATTTAAGATCCCGTTCTACCTCGCTTCCTCAACCTCACTGCCAGCTGGCATCTGATGTGCTCCCAAACTCTTCATCCTCATCTTCTGGAAAATCCCCTAAGTTTGCTGCCTCAGTGGTGAATGAAGTCCAGGGTGTGGATTTTACCAGCACTACTCCAGATGCTTGGAAATCCCCATCAGTGCTGCCCCAGGTTCTGGTTATCGATGCACATATTGGGTTTCTATAGATGCTGGCATAGGCTCTCTGAAATGAAAAATGGAGATTTGGGGGAAAGAAAGCTGTTTTAAAAAATAATAATAGCAGTACTTTGTTGTGTTTTTGTTTGTTTGTTGTTTTTTTGTTTTGGTTTGGTTTGGTTTTACATTGCCATGGGTGGACCTCTAGTAATTCCTCCCAATCCCTCATTCTGCAGCAGCTGCTCATCAGCAAGACGAGGTAGATGGCTGCAGAGCAGCGCAGGGACTCAGGCACAGACAGTGAGGCCTGCCCGCCTGTACCGGCAGAAGCCAGCAGGTTACCCAGAGCACACTCTTCCTTGTTTATATTGGATCACTCTGGTCCTGATGAGCTGAAGAATACCTGCAATTATCTCCAAATCCCAATGGGTTCTTCCAAGGCTTCAAAGTGCAAGGAAACCCACATCTGATTAACTATCACTGCTGCCGAGGGCAGGCATTCAGCTGCATGGAAGGCACGAAACCGCATTCGGAAGAAAGCAGTTTCAAACTCTCACAAGCTTCTAATTTCATTTAGTGCTCATAAGCACCCCATGGGGCAGATAATCCGTCCCACATGAGAGACGAAGCCACCAGTGATGAAATAAAAGGCTGCCCAAGGTCACTCTGGAACTGAGACCGGGACCGGACCTGTCTCCAAGGCCAGCGCGCCCTTGGTGTGCCTGACCTTGATGCACACGGCAAAAGAGCAAACAGGATTTGCTGCATCTGTGAGGATGCCCTGGTGCTTGTGGGGAGGAGGAGGAAGCATTGAGCTCGTGAACAGCATGAAAAGTCCAAGCCTTTGCAAAATTATTGAACTTGTGGAATTGGCATGGCCTTCAACAAATATGCCTCTCTTCTGCTAACAGAGTCCTAAGAGAACTGAACGTGGGGTGGGGATTCCAAATGGGCCTGGAGGACGCCTGCAAGGCTTCCAGGAGAGGGGCCTCCACCTCCTCACGTTCTTGGCACCTGGCGGGAACTCTGTGGTCACTCTGTCACTCTCACTCGCCTCTGAGCGATTTTAGGTTTTTGGAGCTGAGGAGCTGCCCCCAGCAGACCCACTGGCTGGGCAGGAGTCTTCCTGGGATGGCTGTGGGCTGAAGGCTGCCCTCTGTCCCGGTGCCACCTTCTAGGCAAATGCCGGCTGATGGGGACTGTGTTCCCAAAGCCATTGTTTAACAGTGACCTGGCAGCCTGGTCACTGAACTTCCCTGCAGTCAAACGTGGGTGTTAGGAAAGGATTTTGAAAAACATCCATACCACAATGTGGCTGCCAGGGTTACACGCTGGACACGTGAAATGTTAGGGCCAGGTCCTGTTTTCAGAGACTCTCAGGTTGGGGAAGGTGGAGCTTGTTCTTTTGATGAGGGGCATCCACTCTGCCAGCCTCCTGCCCCACGCCACTGCCTCTCTCCTCCAGCCACGCCCTGAATATATTCTTATCTGAATATACTATGACATTGGTGGCTACAAAATGGTAACTTTTTTCTAATTCTATTGTTTCTTATCTATTTATTACCTGAATTGTTCTGTAAAGAAGATCTGCCCCCAACATCACTTTTTGGAATTATTTTGGATTTGTGAATGCTTTTTTAAAAATGCAATGTGTTGTAATCCATTTTTAGAAAACACTCAAACCATCCCAAATGCCGCCAGTTGGAGGCCCTTTAAGTCTGCTAATTTCACATTCTTTGCCTAGTCTTTGGGTACACCCTTCCTTCTGACACTAGAAGACATTTCAGGCTGACCTCATACTTTCCGTGCTCCAGGCCTGGAATCACCCTTTTCCCCTTTGGTGGAGAAACCAAACCAAGGCCTGGTTTCTAAACACCATTCTCCACCAATGAGACTGGGCACAGTGGCTCACACCTGTGATCCCAACACTTTGGGAGTCCGAGGCAGGAGGATCGCTTGAGCCCATGAGTTCAAGACCAGCCTGGGCAACACAGTGAGACCCCTGTCTCTACGAAAATAAAAAAAAAAAATTAGCCAGGTGTGGTGGTGGTGGGCACCTGTAGTTGGGAGGCTGAGGCGGGAGGATCACTTAAGCCCAGGAATTCAAAGCTTCAAAGCTGCAGTGAGCTATGATTGTGCGCGCCCCTGCAATCCAGCAGAGTGAGACTCTGTCTTAAAAAAAGAAGAAAAAGAAAAAAAAAAGAAAGACAGAAAGGCAGACAAGAAGGAAGGAAGGAAGGAAAGATGGATGGATGGATGGGGGAGGGAGGGGGAGGGAAGGAAAGAAGGAAGGGAGAGAAAGAAAGAAAGAGGAAAGAGAAAGAAGAAAGAAAGAAAGAGAAAGAAAGAAAGAAAGAGAGAGAGAGAAAGAAAGGAAGGAAGGAAGGAAGGAAGGAGAGAAAGAAAGGAAGGAAGGAGAGAAAGAAAGAAAGAAAGAAAGAAAGAAAGAAAGAAAGAAAGAAAGAAAGAAAGAAAGAAAGAAAGAAGGAAGGAAGAAAACCAACCAAAGTCTAGGTGGCAAGTGTGCTCTTTGCTGCTATTGTGTCACTGTTTCTCCCTTTCAATAGGCAGAGATACGAAACATAGTTTTTTTTAAATTAAAATCATGAGTTCATGTGATGATGCCTTTACCTCCCACCTCCAATCCCACACCAATAGGTTCTTCTTCACATTCCCGCACCTCATATATGTTTATCTCTCGCACTGTGAGGACCTGGGTTTCCAATAACTACATATTTCTTCATTTGCCCAGTCCTACAAACCCACAAAATAGTTTTGTAATTACTACACCAATGTCACTGCTGAAAGCAAACCTATTAAGTAAATGTCAACATGTCTTTGAAGCTCTTTTGTCCTTAAAATCTATCCCACTGGAAGGTGCACAATCAAAGTACACTTTTCAAAAGTTACCTGAATTAATTGTTCTTTTCCTGTGTGGTTAGAATATCAATTTGGCATATAGTTAGGCTCATCTGGGTTTTTTGTTTTTATTATTATTATTATTGAGATGGAGTCTCGCTCTGTCACCCAGGCTGGAGTGCAGCGCTTGATCTCGGCTCACTGCAATCTCCACCTCCTGGGTTCAAGTAATTCTCCCTGCCTCAGACTCCTGAGTAGCTGGGATGACAGGTGCCTGCCACCACGCCCAGGTAATTTAGCATTTTTCAGTAGAGACGGAGTTTCACCATGTTGACCAGGCTGGTTTTGAACTCCTGACCTCAGGTGACCTACCCGCCTAGACCTCCCAAAGTGCTGGGATTACAGGCATGAGCCACCGAGCCCGCTTGGCTCATCTGTTTTTGCTTGTAATCAATTGCATTTGATTCCAATAACAAAAGCCAAGGAAAAATAGAAGAGTGTCACCTTATATAAAGCATGTATAGAGCACCATGACAATGGAAAATATTACTCAAGATAATAAAGTGCAAATTTCAATTTCAATTAAAGGGAAGATGTTTCTCAAGAGATGTAGTGATATGAAATTATCTGGACTTAGAGGACATTGGTACTTTGATTTTTCCTTCATTGTTTTCTTGGGCAATCCTCAGAGAGCTAGGAAGACTTAAATAGGGCCAGGTGCGGTGGTTTATGCCTGTAATCCTAGCACTTTGGGAGGCTGTGGCGGGTGGATTGCTTGGGCGCAGGAATTCAACAGCAGTTTGGGCAACATAGTGAGACCCCATCTCTACAAAAACAATTTTAAAAATTAGCTGAGTGTGGTCACACACCTGTGGTCCCAGCTACTCGGGAGGCTGACGTGGGAGGATCGCTTGAGCCCGGGAAGTTGAGGCTGCAGTGAGCCATGATCGTGCCACTGCACTCCAACCTGGATGACAGAGCAAGACTCTGTCTCAAAAACAAACAAACAAACAAACAAAAAATAGTCACACAATCAATAAGGGCAAAGATGAACCCTGAGATGTAATCATGGATCAACCAAGACAAAATATTACCTGCTGAAAGAACACAAAGGCACCTGGTGATTTCAGTAGCTTAACAAAACAAGAAAAGATTAAAACTCCACACCACTGGACAGTCAGACTTGCCAGGCGTTTTTCACCGGCAAACAGAGTAGGAGTGACAGGTGAGCTGGAGTCACAGTTCTGGCCATTTCTCCCTGAGCTCATTTGCCGTTCTGCCGTTTCTGCTGGAGACTCCACTGCCGTTTAATTCGCAAACTGTTCTGACCACAGTTTGGCTGCTCAGTTGCTACTTTAAATCTTTATTTTCCCTACGTATAATACATAATGTTAATTAAAATGTTGATTCCCGTGGGATTCACAAATTTCATAATTTAAAAACTTTGTGTAATTTCTTTAATTGGGATTCAAATAATGCTGACCTCCCTGAGGAGTTACTGTACATGAAGCTGAACTAGTAATAAAATTAAAATGTCAGATGAGAGTGAAATATACTTTTCTGCCTTGATACACAGCTGAATACTTGCACACTGTGAATCCAAATATGTTCCCCTGTGTTTCTTCTTAAATTCACCTAGCAAGGCCTCTATTCATCATCTCGTGTTTCCCTGGAAACCATTGATAAGATTTCAAAACACTTCAAAACAATATAACCCTTCTCTAGAGATGTTTCCTCGGTTGCCGAGGAAACCTGTCTCTCAAATTTTGGTTCCGGGAGTGAAGATTCCTATGCCAGGAACAAAACCATATCTAGAAATTTTTGAAGACAAGACCTGCCCTGAATAGGAGGATCTTCAGGTGCTTCCATCCTCCACCCACTGGATTTTGTCCCCTGCCCTCTTGTTAGGATTCCTCACGCCGCCGGATGAGGGGGCTACGAGTTCTCTCCCCTGGAGGCCCAGCCCTCACTCACAGCCTCCTCCAGCCCAGCTGGAGATGGAAACTTTCGGAAAATGTACAGGCAGCGCAGTGTGGGGTAGTTGCAATGCAGTGTGGCACTGTGAGTCTCTGCGTCTCTGTCTCTCTCTCTCTCTTCTCAGTTTCTTATTGTTATCCCAATAATTAATGGAAACCAAGCCTGCAAAACCCGGCCCCACCCTCTCCTGCCCCAGCCCACCTTCCTGCTTGTGGGAAAAGGCCAGGGGTGGAGACAAGGAACGGCTAATGCCACAGGGAGGAAATGAAAGCCGGTTGGGAGAGGGAAAGCCTCAAAAGAAAGAACTAAATTAAAGCCTCTCCCATCCCCTCCAGCCAGGGGTCAGCTCCTCCAAGTCCCCAGGCAACAGAAGTGAATGTAGCAGCTAAGGTCAGCATCTGGTCAGATGGTACAGCAGGGGCCCTAGGAACTGGGCAGGGCCAGGACCACTGAAAGGCTGCCCCACCGGCGGGGACCGGCAGGAGGAGGACAGAGATGGGAACGGGAACAGGGAGTGGGAGAGGCGAGGTGGAGAGAGCTATGCGGAGACCCAGCTGGCCATGTACGCGCAGGAGTGGGCACTTGTCCAAGGCAGGGGTGGGACTTCTGAGTTAGCAGCGTTCACCCGTGCTGGCGGGAGGACCCGTGGGGAGGAGGGGCAGGTGCAGAGGAGGGTGCTCCCGGGATGAGCCCAGGAAGAAGGTCCAGGAGTCAGAGGTCTCACTCTATAGCTCAGGGAGAGAAGGCTCCTTACAAAATGCATGACTCCACTTTTGAGAGAAAGCACCAAGATTTTCAGGAAAGTAAAACTGTGTATAACTCAGCTCCATTGGCCCGAGTTGGATTTGGCATCAGGCATAATGCTTGGTTCCCCCAACTCTTCTCTTAGAAGGGACAAAGATTTGGGGGCAGCATCAGGACTCTCACTGCCTGAGAGGGTAAAAGAGGCCTTTGGGAGCCTGCCTGCTGTGGGGCACATAATGATGACCAGGACATGGCTGGGTCCCGGGGAGAGCCCAGCCCGGAGCAGGTGTGGAGGGGGCGGGTGGGCAGGGCCCATCAGAAATGTCCAGATGACACGAGGCAGGGGTGTGAAGGGGAGCACATCCACTGCAGGTGGGGCTGTATCATGTGGGAAGCAGCATTAAACTACGCCTGAAATCGTATCGACTGTTTCTTACAAATGAGAAGGAAGAAAGACCCCCGCCAGGAACAGCATGGTGGGGGAAGTTGAATGCCCAGGTGTCTGCAGCTCAGGGTCTGTGAAGGTGGAAGCCACGGGGTGGGCCCGAGCAGTTTTAAAGAGCCTGCAGTCACTGTTGATAGGCAGGGGAGCCCAGAAACCAGGCAGGGGAGCACAGAAACCAGGCAGGGGCATGACAGCTGCGAAATGTGCCTCCCTTGGAAAACGTGCAGTATCTTCCTTCTCCCAGAGAATGGAGATAAAGGCAGGATTTTGAGGAAAGGCAGGCAGGTGGAGGGGGATTGTTTGGGTCCATGGCTTTCTGCAAATAAGAAGATGCCTCTGTGGGAAGGTAGGCGGGTCTGTGGGACGCACAGCGTGTGGGTGCGAGGTGGATGCAAGGTGTGGGTGCAAGGTGGATGTCTTAGGTTACACTTGGCACCCACATTCCTTTTATTTGAGATGACGCCTTGCCAGGCAAGCAGGCAGCTGCCCCTTCTACAAGGACAGGACATTCTGTTCCACAGAGAAAAACTCGTTTGATACCACTTCACATTCCCTCCTGCTTCCTCACAGTGCCAGACCCAGGATTCTCCCTCGCTTCTGCATCATCAGTTCCTCCTGGATTGTTTCCATTAGCAAATGCACTAAAAACAAACAAACACACAAAACAACATCCTGGCCCTGTTCACGCCCCTCTGCTGCTGCCTTCACTTTCTTCCCCCTCTGCAGCTCAGCTGCTTGGAGGAGCCGCCTCTGCCTGCTCCTGCACCTGTCCTCCTCCCGTGTCATAGTCTCCCTTTCTTTGCTCGGCTGGGCCTCCTGTACCAGGCTGGATTAACCACAGTCCTTGCTCCCTGACACGCCCTCATCGCTGACCCATGGATGGTGCACATTTGGATTTTTACTTATCTAGTTATTTTTAAGCACCAGAAAATTCACCACCCAAAACAAAACCTCTAACTTTGACAACTACCTTCCCGTATCCAGATGGTTCTCCTTTGACCCTCCTGCATTTCTCTACCTGAGGCTAATCATCGCCTGAGTCCTGGCTTTCACTGGCCTGCTTTCTTTTTCATACAGTTTTATTGCTTGTATTTATGCCAATGAAGACTTCATCTGCCCACTTATCTTTTGACTGAGGCATGAGGTTGTTTCCATGTTTTTGCTAAAACCAGCAGGGCTGCAATGAACATCCTTGTACATGTTTCCAGTTGTATGTGACTGTTATCTCCTGGGTTTTTCTCTCTTCTTTTAAAATTACTTTATCCAGAGCTGCTTTCAGTGCACACATGGCTGTTGTTTTCCACAACAAGTGTATCTCAGCATTTCCCCCATCTCTCCTGTGCTCTCTGCCATCACTGTAAGTGGTCACATGCTCCATCATACATGTAGCCATTGACCTGGTGGCCTCCCTACTGCAGGGCTTATGGCCGATGCAATGATTCCACCATGAGTGTCCTGATTATGTGACTTCCTTTGTCTTCAGATTTGTTTTGCCTTTCTTCCTGTGTCATCACAGATCACTGAAAAGTAGAGTAAGTGAAGTCAGTGGCCAAATGGAAATCTTTCAGCCACCTTCACTGCATGTGCCTTGTATTCATCCATTCTCACACTGCTATGAAGAAATACCCAAGACTGGAGTATTTACAAGGTTTAATTGATCCACAGTTCTGCATTCCTGAGGAGGCCTTAGGAAACTTACAATCATGGCAGACTGCCAAGGGGAAGCAAGGCACCTTCTTCACAGAGCGGCAGGACAGAGTGAGTGCAAGCAGGGGAAATGCCAGACACTTATAAAACCAACAGATCTCATGAGACTCACTCACTATCATGAGAACAGCATGGAGGAAACTGCCCCTATGACTCAAATTACCTCCACCTGATCTCACCCTTGACGTTTGGGGATTCTCGGGATTATAATTCAAGGTGAGATTTGGGTGGGGACACAGAGCCAAACCATAACATGCCGCTATGGGTTCTCTGTTTGGCGTATTTGTGTAGATCTGCAAATAATTGACTATTTATTGCTGATTATCATCGAAAGATGCTTCTTTGGCTTTTCTAGAAGGAATTGGAAGAGTTCAGGATTTCTCCCACAATAATAGATGTCAAGTGAAACAGAAGGAAAACAACATAAAAGAAAAGATACAAAATAAAGATTTTCTAATCTTGCATGGACGCAAGGAGCAGAGTTCTCAGTGTTTCAGCTATTAGTTGCTAAGGAACAAAATTCCCCAAAACTTACAGGAGGAAAACAACCAACATTTTATTATTATCATGGATTTTGTGGGTTGGGAATTTGGGCAGGGCACTGTAGAGTTGGCTTGTCTCTGTTCTCTGTTCCACAATGTAAAAGACTTGAATGACTGCAATCTTCTAGAAGTTTCTTCACTCACATCTCTGGTGCCTGAGCTCGGCTGGGACTGCTGATCAGAGTGTTTCCACACAGCCTCCCCACGTGGCTTGGGCTTCCTCAGAGCATGGCAGCTTCAGAGGCATTGGTCTTTTTACCAGGCAGTCAGGACTTCAAGAGCAAATGCTCCAGTGAACAAGGCAGAAACCACATGGCCTTTTAGCCCTGGCTTCAGAAGCCACACAGCATCACATTTGGCCTGAAGAACTCTAAAGACTTGATCCCACTGGTCATGTTCTTGCGGGGCACGAGAGCTGGATCCAGCACCTCTAACTCAGCCGTGTGTAGAGAAGGGCCGACTATTGAGATGCAAAATTGCTGAGCGGTTCATTTTCTTCTAATGTCATCACTAACTGTCACTGGGACTTGGCAGCTCCTCCTTAAGATCAAATGGGTTGGAATTCACTTGGAATCTATTCTAATGAGAAAGAAGACAGTCTTTAACTCTGATAAAATAGTGCTTGGGATCCACTGACTCTTGGTTGGAGAGAAGAAAACCACATGGGAAGCTGGCAGAGGGGAAGTCAGAGGAAGGGAGTGGTGTCCAGAGAACTCCAATACAGCTGTGGGCTCAGGAGCTGAGTAGGAATGATGGTTTCCTAATTGTGAAAACAGGAACAGGTGCCACTACAATGCTACGCCAAAAATAAAATAAAAACATGATGTGAATGCTTAGTAAGAGAACACAATCTTTGGGCTGCTTGTTTTCAAGGTGTGTATATTTCTCCCTTGGGGACCTTTCTGAGAGGTGTCTGGGATCCCGGGCTGGTACTGGGGGCAAAATTCCACCTTAACAGTATTCCAGTGTCATCGTGATCCCCAGGGGGGTTCCCAGAATGGTTGAACATTATTGCTGCGATGGTCACAGATCTAGCTTGGGCCTGTCCCTGGCCACTCATCAGAAGATAGTGGGTGACTAGTGTTGGAATTCCCCTCAGATCAGTGAAGGACAAGAACCAGTTAAAAAATTCACCAGAGTCCTACATGCATCCTTGATCAAGACCTGAGACTCAAGGGAGTTTCTCTGAGAGGAAAACAGAAATAATGCCAATTGGGAGCCCTCCCCAGTCCCTGGGCAGCTGTTCAAGTCTTTGTTTCCTACCCAATTCCTAAACATATTCCACAAAGAGAGATACTTGGATTACTAAAATGATTTTTCATATTTTTAAAAGGCCTTTTGGAAGAACACCCCTTTGGTAGCCCATGGTTTGTACCCTTCTGAAAGTTCCAATCCCTCTGCTTTCTGCTGCTGTTTAGGCAGGAGCAGAGCTCCAGTGGGTGGGGTTCCCTGTCCTCATACCATGATTCAGATGGGTCTGACAGGTCTGTATGTCTTGTCTATGTGGCCTATGGACTGACCCTATCAAAGACATATTTGCTGAGAGACTTTGGAGCTCCCTGGGAAGAAACTCATCCTAAGAGGAAGGAGGGTTGAAGAGCACACAAGGGTACCTAGTGAGTGAGCCAGGTGAGGATCAAGGGCTCATTTTGGTTCTGGACAGCATCTATCCCACTAACTGCTCTGTGGCCCAGCCCACACAGACTCATGTCTGTGCCTTAGGAAGAGGGTTCTGAAATAAACAAGTGAAAAAAAGTGAGTAAGAATGAACAGATTAACTGTTTCACTCAACTCTCATTCTGCAATGTTGACTGTGGGAGGGAAAGCATGTTGAACTGGTGGCCCTGCAGGTGGTTTCGTGGAGGTTTCATGGTGACTGCTGCAGCTCTCTTGCAGCGCTGGTGGCTTCAAAGATGTTGATCTTGATGTGGCAGCAGACACCTCAGCATGGAGCCGGAATCCAGGTAGCACCTGGATCTCACACCTCCCTGTAGCCTGGAATGTGGGGACAATCCCCAGGAGTAGTGTATGGGATGATTTCTGCATCAAACAGTCCAAAGGGCTTGATGGGAACGGCAAGGCCAGGACCAGACCAGACCAGATCAAGACCCGATGGGGAGGCCTGACCAGGAGTCAGGGCACTAAATCACAAAGAATCCCCAGAGCTGCCAAATGAGCAATCAATTTACCGACTAACACACACAAGTCTATTTTATCAGCTATCAAGTTCACAAAGATATTTTAAATTTATAATCCCAAGGGAGAGCTAAAACCATGAGGTGAAAAGTTGATGGGAAACTTTATAATGGATGGATCAGGCTGACAATACCTGATTCCTCTCATTTATCTTAACGTCACCAAAGGTGGGACCCCAGACATCCTGTGCCTCTTGACTCTCGGCAATAAGTTTCTAGTGTCACCTGTAATGTTTTATTGTCTGTAAATTGAAGAACCTGAGCCAAATTGAGCCTCTAAATCTAACTATCCATCCACAGGAAATATGAGGGTTGGAAGACAGCCTTAAATGATTCCTCAACGATTCAACCAGCCCAATCCAAAAGCGAGACATTCTGTAAGATAAATGACCTGGAAAATGAGCTGATTGTTTCCAACACATAGCTGGCATGGAGAAACCAGAAGAAGAGTTGAAACTGTTAAGATCACAGGAGAATTAAGAGACATATCAGCTAAGAGCAATAAATAGCGCAAATGAACCGGAAAAAGACACTTTCGAGACAACAATCAGGAAAACTGAAGATAGACTGGTTATTAGATAATATTAAGGAATGATTACGAATCTTTTGGATATAAGAATGGTGCTGTGTGTGTGCATGTAAGCACTCATCATTTCTTTGTTAGAGAGAAGCACTGGAGTATTTTTCAGTGAATGATATGGCATCTGGAATTTGTTGTACATGCGCCAGAAGAAAAGCCAAAACAGTTTTGGGAGGACAGATGCAACACAAAGGACAGAATGTGGGTAATTGTTGGAACGAGTGATGGGCACTAGGGGTTCATTATACTATTCTCTATACTTTTGTGTATGCTTCAAATTGTTTTGTTTTTTGTTTTTGTTTTTTTTTTGAGATGGAGTCTCTCTCTGTTGCCCAGGCTGGAGGGCAGTGGTGCCATCTCAGCTCACTGCAACCACCGCCTCCTGGGTTCAAGCGATTCTTGTGCCTCAGGCTACAGAGTAGCTGGAATTAATAGGCTCATGCCACCATGCCCAACTAATTTTTGTATTTTTAGTAGTGATTGGGTTTTCCCATGTTGGACAAGCTGGTCTTGAACTCCTGACCTTAGGTGATCTGCCTACCTCAGCCTCCCAAAGTGCTGAGATTACAGGCGTGAGCCACCGCGCCCGACCTTGAAATTGTTTTATATTAAAAGATTGTTTTTAAATGTCACCCTGGATTAGCAAAGATGTGGAAAGACCTGTATTAGTCCGTTTTCACGCTGCTGATAAAGACACACTCAAGACTGGGCAATTTACAAAACAAAGAGGTTTAATGGACTCACAGTTCCACGTGGCTGGGGAGGCCTCACAATCATGGCAGAAGGTGAAAGGCACATCTCATATGGCGGCAGACAAGAGAAGAGAATGAGAGCCAAGCGAAAGGGGTTTCCCCTTATAAAAACATCAGATCTTGTGAGAATTATTCACTACCATGAGAACAATATGGGGGAAATCGCCCCCATGATTCAATTATCTCCCACCAGGTCCCTCCCACAACACATAGGAATTATGGGAGCTACAATTTAAGATGAGATTTGGGTGGAGACACAGAGCCAAACCATATCAGGATGTGTCAGGCTTTCCTATAGCAGATGTTGAGAAGCAGATCATATGAGGGTGATGGAACAAGTCATGCCTCAGAAAAGACTAGTGGGGGAAGGGAAGTGGCACCAGGGATGGGAGGTAGGGGGGAGCAATATCCAACAAAATCCCCTGGAGGGTAAATGATATGGTTTGGCTATGTCCCCTCCCAAATCTCATCTTGAATTGTATCTTTATGGCAGAGTGAAAACGGGCTAATACAAACTTTGGCTCCACCCCACAGGAGAACTCCAGAGGAAGGGGAGCTCATACTTTAGAGTTGCCTCAGTCAGGGGTAAAGAGTGTTTATTCTTAAGTTATACATGTGGAGTGTTTACACATGGCAACCACACTAGGAAGTCAATTCACTGGTCCGTTGTTTTCCCTAGGTGAGGGAGGTATTTTAAATTTTCATCTTTATACTTTTGCAGATTCTCAATAATGAGCGTATATTGTAATTGAAGAAAAATGATGAAAGATACATAATATAGATTTTTAAAACTTAATGCAACACCCAGCATGCTGAGAGTACGGCTGGCTCAGGGTGACAATGTCAAGCATGGACATGGGTGCTACATTAGAAAGAAGGTGCTGGAAACACACACTGGTTTGTGGGTGAATCCCAATGCCTTTGATGTAAATGGGACTCATAAGGAGAGAAGCAGATTTTGAGAGATAAAAGATAGTTCTGTTTGGACGTAGCTAGTTGAAAATGCCGGTGAGTCTTCAAAACTACAAAGAGATGCCACTTCACACCCACTAGGATGGCTAGAACCAAAGTGAGATAATAACAAGTGCTGACAAAAATGTGGAGAAATTGAACCCATGTGCACTGTTGGTGGAAACAGAAAACAGTGCAGCCACTATGGAAAACAATGTGGCAGTTTCACCAAAATACAAAGATCGAATTAGTATATGATTCAACTACTCCATTTCTGGGTATATATTCAAAAGAAAAGAATGCAGAGTCTCTGAGAGATAGTTGCACACCCAAGTTCATAGCAGCATTACTCACAATAGCCAAAAGGCAGAAGTAACCCAAGTATCTGTCAACAGATGAATGGATAAACAAATGCAGAATATATTAATACATACAGTGCAAAGTTACTCAGGTTTAGAAAAGAAGGAAGCATTAACACATGCTACTGCATGGATGAATCTCAAAAACATTAAACGTTATGCTAAGTGAAAGATGCTAGTCCCAAAAGACCACATATTATATGATTCCATTTATATGAAATGTCCAGAACATTTCTACAGAGGCAGAAAGCAGATTAGTGTTTGCCTAGGGCCGGGGGAGGGAGCTGGGAGAGCAGAGTTCGATAGCTAAAGCTTATGGGGTTTCTTCTGGAGGTGATGAAAATGTTCTAAAATTGTAATGGTACTTGCATATATTTGTGGATATACTAAAAATCATTCAATCGTATACTTTTAATGGATAAATTGTGTGATATGTCAACAATAAACTATTAAAAATATACAAAATGAAACATATAAAACTATAAGTCTTTCAGAAAGTGATGCAAATTCAGGACTGAAGTGAGTGTGACTCAAATATCAGTCAAAGACATGTGAAGATTTCATTCGTACCTATCTCTTTGGAGACAGGGGTCCTAATACCCATGCTTTGTGATGCACTTTTAGTGAAATTAAATTTGAGTTGCTCACTTTTTCAATGATTAATTATGCACAGAATCAATTGCATTAGTAAAGACCCAAACTGCTGGCATGGACATGGTGGCAGTCAGCTGCCTACCAGAGGCTGCCAGCTGCCAGAGCCGTTCTACAGGCAGAAGGGGTTCAACGAGAAATGCTCATCATAAGGCATTGCTCTAGGTTGCGCCAACCACACGTGTGCACAGAGAAACTGCCTTGTTCTCAGTCCATTTGGATAATCCACTGTGCTACATCAATCCACGAATGCCTGACACACACACATGCATGCAGACACACTCACACACACACCCTCTCACATATACACACACTCACATACACACACTCGCACATGCACACACACATCACACACACACTCTCACATACACACAGCATACACACATACACACTCGTACACTCATACACACACCACACACATACACACACATTCACATACACACACCACACACACTCTCACATATACACACTCACATACACACACTTGCACATAAACACACATCACACATACATGCACACTGTCATACACGTTCACACACACATGCACACACATTCACACATACACACGTACACATTTATACACACATTCACATACACACACCACACACATACACATACTCATACACACACATTCACATACACACACACACGACACACTCACATTCACACATACATACACACACATACACAACACATATGTACACACACACAAATGCACATACTCATGCATATACACTCACATACACACATTCGCATGCATACACACACTCACACACACTTACAAGCTAACTGAACTAGGGGATGACAGTTGCCACAAGCTGACCCATCAGATTCTCTTTCCGGGGATCTTTAAATTTGTGGACACTAAAACTAACCTACCAGGGACAGAGCAGGAATATCCTGTTGACTTGAAGGCTGGGCCACCCATTTGAGGCTAGCCACCCAGGACCACGTGCAAATGTGTGGGCTGGTTGGTAGCAGGGAACAATGACAGAGATGGTGATGAAGGGAATTGACCAGACACAACGTGATGTCACCGCTGCCTTTGTTCCTGACAGCTTTCCCTGTTTAGTGGTTCCTGAGTCCTGACCATGTTTCTTACCTTTAGGCTGCATAAGGTACCTTTGTCTACACTGTAAGGCTCTCTTGACTCACCTGGTTGAATGGGCTTCTTTCTAGAAACCAAGTGTGATGTTGTGAAATATACATTTAGTCTTCCTCACTGTTTCGTAACACACAGCTCCTAAAATCCTTGGAATCTCCAGAGCGATAAGAGTGTCTTTTGTATGCTAATGAGATGACCAGCGGCTGGCAGTCCCTAGATGGCTTCAGGATGGGAGCTGGTCACAGGAAAGACCAAGGTGTGATTGAAGGTTGGGACTTTCAACCTCAGCCTGCAACCTCCAGGGAGGGGAGAAAGGCTGAAGGTCGAGTTGATCACCAATGGCCAATGATTCATCAATCATGTCTATGCAATGAAGCCTCCATTAAAACCCAGAAGGACTGGGTTCAGGAACTTCCCGATAACTGAGCACGTGGAGGTTCCTGAAAGGTGGTGCGCCTGTGGAGGGCCTGGAAGCTCGGCACCCGTTCCCCAACCCCTTGCCCTATGCATCTGTTCGTTGGTATTCTTTGTAATATCCTTTATAATACAGTCATGTGCCACATAATGATAGACCACATGTAGAAGAGTGGTGCCCTAAGATTATCATACTGTGTTTTTACTGTACCTTTTCTGTGTTTTGATATGTTTAGATACGCATACACTCACCATTGTGTTATAGTTGCCTACAGTGTTCAGTACACTAACATGCTGTACAGGCTTGTAGCCTCGGAGCAACGGGTTATACCATATAGCCTAGGTGTGTAGTAGGCTACACAATCTGTTTGTGTGAGTACACTCTATAATGTTTGCACAATGACAAAATTACCTAATGACACATGTCTCAGAATGTATTGCTGTTGTTAATCAACGCATGACTGTGTACCAGTACATGTGTCTCCCTGAGTTCTGTGAGCTGCTATAGCAAATTAATTGAACCAGAAGAGGGAATCATGGGAACCTCAATTTATAGTCAGTAGGTCAGAAGCACAGACACAACCTGTGCTTGCAGCTGGCATCTGAGGTGGCATGGGGGAGAAGCCTTGTGGGACTGAGCCTTCAACCTGTGAGATCTGACGCTACCTCCCAGTAGAGAGTGTTAGAATTTAATTGCATTAGGGACACCCAGCTGGCATCCACTGCAGAATCGGTTGCTGGTGGAAAGAAATTCCCACACATTTTGATGAACAAGAGTCACAGAAGTATTCTGTGCTGACTGTGCTGTGGTGAGTAGAGAGTAGGGGAAATGGAGTCTGTTTTTTCCTCTATCCTCTCACCAAGTGATTCATGATTGAGACTGAGAGGCTAATTGTGTGACTAACACATTTTAAGAAGACCGTATTTGGTCCATAAGCCACATGTAGAACAATCGGGAGAATAGGGTGAGAATGACAAGGGCAGAGAACAGAACCCGCATCACCCAGCAATTCTGTTCCTAGTTATTTACCCTAGGAAGATGGAAGCATTTGTCCATACAAAGACTTGTCCATGAATGTTCACAGCAGTGTTACTCATGATAGCCTGGACACAGGGACACTCCAAATGGCAAATGTAATCAGCAGAGAAACAGATAAATTGTAGTATATTCATGCAGAAAGACACCCTACCACAACAGAAAGTAATAAACTACTGACACATGGACAATGTGGATAAAACTTTAAAACTTGCTTCTGAGAAAAATAATGATTTCGTTTACAAGAACTTTTAGAATGATAATACTTAGCTATATTACAAGAAACTGATTGGTGGTTGCCCAGGGCTGGAGTCGGGGAATAAGATTAATTGCAGGGGCCAGGAGGAACCTTCCAGGGGTGATAAAATTATTATTCCTCATGGCTGGAAGCAAGGATCCAACTTTTACCATGTCTTAAAAAAAAATCATGGCCAGGCGCGGTGGCTCATGCCTGTAATCCCAGCACTTTGGGAGGCCAAGGCGGGTGGATCACGAGGTCAGGAGATAGAGACCATCCTGGCTAACACGGTGAAACCCCATCTCTACTAAAAAATACAAAAAATTAGCCGGGCATGGTGGCACGTGCCTGTAGTCCCAGCTACTCGGGAGGCTGAGGCAGGAGAACGGCGTGAACTCGGGAGGCAGAGGTTGCAGTGAGCCGAGATCGTGCCACTGCACTCCAGCCTGGGCGACAGAGGGAGACTCTGCCTCAAAAAAAAAAAAAATCATTTGCCAGTCTAGAAGTTTCTACTAAATGAACAAGGCAGAAATGAAGTCTTGACAAAAATAGGGTCAGTGGTTTTCAGCCAGTATGAGGAATATCTAAGGGAAGAGGCTGGTTTTCAGCCAGTGTGAGGAATATCTAAGGGAAGAGGCGACTATTACTCACAACATGCTCTTATTTCTTCAGCAGTTATCTTTGCAGGAAAAAAAAATGGAAAAATAAAAAAAGATATATAAAACAATAAACAACAATAGGAAAGGAAACAGGTTCCTATAGGCCTGAAAGACTTTTGAAGAAAATGAATTCCTTAGAATGAACAGTGAGCAAGTTAACTTGTGAAAAGCTGATGCATCCTTCCTCCCCAGCCCCTGCCAACAGTAGGTCCAGAGGACGTGGTCTGTTACCCACTTGTAATCACGTCGGGATTCAATACCTTGTAAACGTGCATCGTCTCATGCCATGTCTGGAGGGCTTTGAATTTTCACCAACAGCACTTGAGTGGGTAGGTATTGGCATAACACCACTTTTATTAAGAGTGGGAATGCAAGATAAATGAGCCTGTTCAAGAGCAGTGGACGGTGATGGAGAGGAGGGGGAGGAAAATCCCCAGACATTTTTCTTTTAGGAAACTGCCCTCTCTCTCTCAGGCCCTCAGGTCCAGAGCCAGGCAGGCTTCCCTAGGTGCTGGGTGAGTTGTTGGCCTGGCTGAGATCACATCGGATCTTCCAGGGTGGACAACGGCATGGCCTGAAGTGAAGGTCAGGCCGGGGGATGCCAGCCAGCTGTAGCCAGTTGCTGTCATGAATGCAGCCATACCTCCAACATGCCAGGCCTGCCTCCTTGCTGATTTCCACTCGAAACACCAAGAGTCAAATCATTTCTCCTTATGTAAGGTTCGGGTTGACTTCTCCAAGGCTAGATAACGTTTTGTCTTTCTTCATTCGACTCTGGATATGTATATGTAACTCAGGCAGAAAAAGCACCGATGGATGGTATCTGCTGCAGAGCAAACTGTATCAAGTGCAGTTTAAGGCCGTGAGTTTTCCCAGGAGACTAACAGGAACTTCAGCCGAGCTCTTGGGGGCTTATGGCGGCCTTTCATTTTGACAAAGTTGGGCTATTAAGCCACAGGTAATAATATTAGAACCAGGCACCTGCAGGCATTTTCAGGAACCCACCATACCTCCAGGACTCTGGGTATGAAATTGTTTTATCAAATATGATAGTAGTTTTGTTCCTTTAAGCGACTCTAAGCACCAGTAGAGGATGCTGCTTAAAAGTGACATTAAGAAAGGTGAATGAGCCCCAAGAGCTGGCTGACTTCTCCAAATGGGGGAAGACCTCACTCTAGCACCGACAATGGCTGGCTGTTTGCATTTGGATGTAATCAGCCAAATAAACACTGTGTCCAGCTCCAATTTTGAGCTCCGCGGGGTTGTCAAATCAGACTGTCCAAATGAGAATTTGGATGGCCCAGCAATGGGATCCTTCCTTCCCTCTTTCCTTGCCTTCTCTTCCATTCCTTCTTTCCTACTCGATGTTCAGCGCACCAACCCCTATACTGCCTGCCAGGGATGCAGTGGTGAGCGCAGCCAGGTGGGACACCACCCAGAATCTTGTGGGGAGGTAGCATTAAGGAAATAGTTATATTAAAGATGGTGTAGGCTGGGTGTGGTGGCTCATGCCTGTAATCCCAGCACTTTGGGAGGCCAAGGCAAGAGGAAGGCTTGAGGCCAGAAGTTTGAGATCAGCCTGGTCAGCATAGTGAGACCGTATCTCTACAAAATATTTTAAAAATTAGCTGGGCATGATGGTGCATGCCTGTAGTCCCAGCTACTCAGGAGGCTGAGCAATGGGAGGATATCTTGAGACCAGGAGACTATGGCTGCAGTGAGCTATGACGGTGCCACTGCACTCCAGCCTGGGTGACAGAGAGAGACACTGTCTCAAAAGAAGAGAAAAGAAAGACGACGTAATTATAAAACAAGGTAAGTTGTCCAGAGTAAAGGGTTATGGGGCCTGTGACACTTTAACAAAGAAGCCTCCAGGGGTTCAGAGGGCATCCCTAGGGAAGTGTTAGAGGGAGTGACCCAGGGGAGCAGGAGGAAGGGGTGTGATGGAGAGAGTCATCTCCGGGGAGGGGACCCCACCGACAGCCAGAGAACCAAGAGCACCTCCCAGATGTGCTTTTTCATGTGTGAAATGTGACCCTTCCATTCATCTTGTACTCACAGAGGCCTCTGCTAAGGAAGTGACATCCAGCTTGACAAGATGTTATTTTGAGTCCTCTGCAGTCCATCCAGATAAGAGATTCTGGCTGCCTCTAATCAGAGTGACCGGGCCAGCCAGTCACCCAGTAAATGTAGGCTGACTTTAACAATGGCACTTGCATTTTTGATTGCATATCTCTTTAATTTTTTATGCAGCTCCCACAAGGACACTTTAAAGCTTTACAAGCTGTTCGCAGGATGCCTCAAGATACTCGAAAGCATCAGACTACGTGAAGTATACCTGTTTTAAAATATTGTAGAGAGAGCTGTGATAAACAAAGCATATGTTAAAGAAACATGGCTTTCAATTTATCCTCAGAACCTTAATGGAAGGACTAATATTTTCCCAAATTACAGCTTTTGAATTGCCTTGTGGCTATTTCTTTGGGTGTATAGAAAACGTAAATCAAAGGTACTTCACATGATTTTTTAAAATACCATCTTGTGTAACAATGAAAGAGAAGCTATGATCCAAAATCATTCTCCAGTAATTTCTCATAAAAGGCTGAACAAGTATCTGTGTATTTTGGATTTTCTCTGTTGGAAACTAAAAAAAAAAAAAAAAAAAACCTTCCTTTTTTTCTTAGACTGTGGGTTTTTGCAAAGATATACTCAATTATTTTTCCTTATGTATTAAGTCATATAAATTTTCTGATTCCTGCAATTTACACCGCATTCAGGACAATCATTTTATTGCAATAAACAAGAGGGAAAATTTGGAGACTATACTATCCAGTAACATCTGTTTAAAATACAAAGGTCTCAAGTTAAAATTTTGGAATTAATGTAAAGAACATGGAAAATTTCCAAGGAAGAGAATGCTTTTAAGTTTATATTCATAATAGTTTCTGGTGAAATGTTACTATAAATTAGTAAGTTATTGTCCTTTGGAGAAGTATCACACTGCAAATATTCCATTCTTGCTTTCTTTTTTTTTTTCTTTTTGAGATGGGGTCTTATTCTGTCACCCAAGCTGGAATGCAGTGGCGCTATCATAGCTCACTGCAGCCTTGAACTCCTGGGTTCAGGGGATCTTCACCTCTCAGCCTCCCCACTAGCTGGAACTACAGGTGTTAGCCACCATGACTGGCTGCTTTTTTTAATTAAGTTTTTTTTTTATTTCCATAGGTTATTGGGGAAGAGGTGGTGTTTGGTTACATAAATAAGTTCTTTAGTGGTGATTTGTGTGATTTTGGTGCACCCATCATCACCTGAGCAGTATACACTGCACACAATTTGTGGTCTTTTTTTTTTTTTTTTTTTTTTTTTTGAGACAGAGTCTCGCCGTGTTACCCAGGCTGGAGTGCAGTGGCGCAATCTCGGCTTACTGCAAGCTCCTCCTCCCGGGTTCAGGCCATTGTCCTGCCTCAGCCTCCCGAGTAGCTGGGAATACAGGCCCCCGCCACTAAGCCAGGCTAATTTTTTGTATATCTAGTAGAGATGGGGTTTCACCGTGTTAGCCAAGATGGTCTCGATCTCCTGACCTCATGATCCACCTGCCTCGGCCTCCCAAAGTGGTGGGATTACAGGCGTGAGCCACCGCGCCCGGCCAGTTTGTGATCTTTTATCCCTCATCCCCTTCCCACCCTTTCCCCCTGAGTCCCCAGAGTCCATTGTGTTATTCTTATACCTTAGCATTCTCATAGTTTAGCTCCCCCTTTTGAGTGAGAACATATGATGTATAAGGTTTTCCATTCCTGAGTTACTTCCCTCAGAATAACAATCTCCAATCTTTCCATATCACTGCGAATGCCATTCATTCATTCCTTTTTGTGGCTGAGTAGTATATGTATATATATGAGATACATGTATGTATCTCACAGTTTCTTTTTCCACTCGTTGATTGATGGGCATTTTGGGTTAGTTCCATGTTTTTGCAATTGTGAATTGTGTTGCTATAAACATGTGTGTGCAAGTATCTTTTTCGTATACTGACTTCTTTTCCTCTGGGTAGATACCCAGTAGTGGGATTGCAGGATCAAATGGTAGTTCTCCCTTTAGTTCTTTAAGGAATCTCCACACTGTTTTCCATAGTGGCTGTACTAGTTTATATTCCCACCAGCAGTGTAGAAATGTTCCCTGTACATCACATTCATGCCAATACCTATTATTTTTTGATTGTGGCCACTCTTGCAGGAGTGAGGTGGTATTGCATTGCCGTTTTGATTTGCATTTCCCTGATCATTAGTGATGTTGAGCATTTCTTCATATGTTTGATATTCATTTGTATATCTTCTTTTGAGAATTGTCTATTCATGTCCTTAGCCCACATTTTGATGGATTTATTTTTTCTTGCTAATTTGTTTGTTGTAGATTCTGGATATTAGTCCTTTGTCAGATGTATAGATTGTGAAGATTTTCTCCCACTATGTGGGCTGTCTGTTTACTCTGCTGACTGTTCCTTTTGCTGTGCAAAAGCTCTTTAGTTTAATTAATTCCCAGCTATTTATCATTGTTTTTATTGCATTTGCTTTTGGGTTCTTGGTCATGAAATCCTTGCCTAAGCCAATGTCTAGAAGGGGTTTTCCAATGTTATCTTCCAGAATTTTTATAGTTTCAGGCCTTAGATTTAAGTCCTTGATCCATCTTGAGTTGATTTTTAAATAAGGTGAGAGATGAGGATCCAGTTTCATTCTCCTACATGTGGCTTGCCAATTATCCCAGCACCATTTGTTGAAAAAGGTGTCCTTTCCCCACTTTCTGTTTTGTTTGCTTTGTTGAAGATCAGTTGGCTGTAAGTATTTGGGTTTATTTGTGGATTCTGTATTCTGTTCCATAGGTCTATGTGCCTATTTTTATACCAGTACCATGCTGTTTTGGTGACTATGGCCTTATAGTATAGTTTGAAATCAGATAACATGATGCCTCCAGATGTATTCTTTTTGCTTATTCTTCCTTTGGCTTTGTGGGCTCTTTTTTGGTTCCATATGAATTTTAGGATTGTTTTCTTCTAATTCTGTGAAGAATGATGGTGGTATTTTGATGGGAATTGTGTTGAATTTGTAAATTGCTTTTGTCAGTATGGTCATTTTCACAATATTGATTCTACCCATCCATGAGCATGTGATGTGTTTCCATTTGTTTGTGTCATCTATGATTTCCTTCAGCAGTGTTTTGTACTATTCCTTGCAGAGCTCTTTCACCTCCTTGGTTAGGTATATTCCTAAGTATTTTATTTTTTTGCAGCTATTGTAAAAGGGGTTGATCCATGCAGTTATCCTGCATAGAAAAGGCTTTCAGTTAAAATTCAAGGAAACTCACAGGAATAAAGTTGATCTTACTTCATTCGACTTGAACTCTGTGTAGATGGAAGTCTTATGCCCCACATGCAGTCACTCTCTGCACTCTTAAAGACTTATTTGGTCATTTGGTTCAAGATCATTTCTTGTCAATTCAGCTCCCACTTTCTCCATCAATCCACCAGACTCATTCTCTGCTCCACCTGTGTCATGTAGTTTTATCAAAATAAAACTTGAGTAGTTAAAAATCATGCCAGTACATTCATCTTAGATTCCAGTGGCACTAGTGAATGCAGATTGTGAGTCATATCCCCTGGCTGCACCTTCACAATGGGGTATTAGGCCAGTTTTTAGCCCCAGTTGATCCAGGAATCTGTGCTTGCCAGCTCACAGGGCAAACAAAGCCATACATGGCAGACTCCACTTGGGGCCTGAATAATTTCTCTCTACTTCTATTCTTCCCAACAAGCAGCACCCCTAGGGGTACATGGTTAGACTGTAACCAATGAGTGAACACAATCCTCCCCACCTCACCCCAGGCTCCCTATAACCAGGGGCAGCCATGGGGCACAGCTCTGCTAATGCAATGCAACAGAATTCCACTGAATGCAGTCACCTGCAAAGTCTTTGTTTCCCTTTCACAAAGAGAGAGACTGAGCTGGCAGAGCCCCCTCCCCTTCCTCCTGCCTGAAAAATGGACCTGACACCCAGAGGTACAGCAACTGTCTTGACTGTGGGACAAAGCTACACTCTAAGGGTGGCTATGCATTCTGAGTAAGGGACGCTCACCCACCCTGGACAACACATTAGGTGAGAAAATGAAACCTTTTCTTTGCCACATCTGCTCTTGGTTGGGTTCCTGCTGCAGCCTGTGGAATGCAATCCTGCAGACTGGTAGAGGTGCAGGTGCCTGTTGTGGGTGTGCTTTGCCTGATGTGTATTTGCTGAGAACATCTGGGCAAGGTGTGCCTGGGCATCACAGCCAGTAAGTAGGTCTCTGGAGACTAATGGCCTCACACCTTCATTTTGTTTAGCTTTGTACGAGACAGTCCCTCACCAATACTCACTAACCTTTGAACAATATACTGACATCCTCCTTTGCCTACCTCCAGGCTAATAGTTATTAAGCTTTTATGGATCACGAGCCTCTGTGAGACTCTATTAAAAACTCTTGTGGATCACAAACCTGTGTGAGAATCTATAAAAAACTCTGGATAACCTCCTCAGAAGATGCACAGGCCAAAATTAACAAAACACTTGTGCATCATTCTGAGGGTTTCATAGACCCCCTGATATGGTTTGTCTGTGTCCCCACCCAAATCTCACCTTGAATTATAGCTCCCATAATTCCCATGTGTCATGGGAGGGACCTGGCGGGAGATAATTGAATCATGGGAGTGGTTTCCCCCATACTGTTCTCATGGTGGTGAATAAGTCTTATAAGATCTGATGGTTTTAGAGGGGAAACCCCTTTAGCTTGGTTCTCTTTTTTTCTCTTGTCTGTTGCCATGTAAGATGTGCCTTTCACCTTCCACCATGGCTGTGAGGCCTCCCCAGCCATGTGGAACTGTGAGTCCATTAAATCTCTTTTTATTTATAAATTACCCAGTCTCAGGTGTGTCTTTATCAGCAGCATGAAAACGGACTAATACACCCCCTAAAGCCCATCCATGGATCCTGGCTGCAAAAGTCTTGTAGGCATACACAATTAGTTTTGATTATCTGTCTGTATATTCCCACTTTGTTGATTAACAACATGTTAATTAGGTACTTGTTTGATTTTTAATTTTGCAAATTGGGATATTTGCTCTATTCCTTCGGTACTTACAGCCAATTCTAAATTGCTCTCATTTCATAAATTATCTGTCACAAAAAAGTCTGTAGAATTATGAAAATTACATTGGCACTGAGAAAGATGCTAAACAACATAAAAGGATACACAGTGGAAACTGGGTCCTTTTCCAAATGTTGATCTGCGGGTCCCAGCAAACCCATCACTAAGTTTCTTGAGTGTCATTTTAGAAATACTTCACGTACAGCTCTATTTTTTTTCTTTCACTATAAATGAGATATTTTATACTCACTGCTCTCTTTTTTCCCCTTATTGTATCTTGGAAAGCCTTTCACACCAATAATGATAGAGTTGCCTTTTCCCTTTTAATGGTGGAACAGGATGCCATTGTATAAATGTAGTGCAAGCTATCTAACTACTCCATTATTGATAGACATTTACATTGCAGCAAATTTTAAAATCACTCTTGGTTCAGGAGGTCTGTGGGCTGTCTCCATGCCAGCCGTCCAAGTGTGCAGAGAGAATACAAACTAATTATATCTGCTTGGCCAAAGGAAATTAAAAACAAAAAGCATCAAGCCGATGGCAAATCTTTCTCCACTTCTTACTGTCCTCTTCATGTCAGGAGTGAGAAATTACAATTTTTGCTATTTACCACTTTGAATTAAGTCACTATTTATTTCTCTTGCTGGGGTTTTTGACTCAGAAAACTATCACCTGAGCATGATGGCAGCAGGATACTGCACGCACATTAGAGCCTTGGAGCTGCATTTAGATTTCAGCTCCACACTTCCTAGCTGTGTGACCTTGGGAAAGTTACTTAACCCCCCTGTGCCTCATTTTTTTTTAAACTATACTTTAAGTTCTGGGGTACATGTGCAGAACGTACAGTTTTGTTAATTCTGTCTACTTTACAGGCTATTGCCAGAGTCAAATGAGCTAAAAATCTCTAAAGTGCTTAGGACTGTGATGGGCACAGGGTAAGTGCTAAGTGAGCCTTGGCTGTTATTAGTCCGGGTGGCCTAGGAATAAAACTGGAGCCGCTTTTGCTTCTGTAGTCATGGTGTTGCCCAGGGTAAGGAATGCCAGGAACTGGGCTTGTCTCAGAACCCTCCTTGAACCTGGTGGAGACACACACACAGACACACACACACACACACACACACACACACACGAATACCTCACCTGCATACCTCCCAGGGACTTACAGAGGCCTACTACACAGGTACCAGTGTGCAAAAGGGACCTGAGCAAAGTCCTGTCTGAAGATTGGCATCAGCCAGATGTGAGGACTGTGGATCTGCCCGTGTGGTACCTTCCACAGAGACAGGGAGCCTCTGTCCATCCAAACAGCCATGGCCCTTAGTCCCTGAACACATAGCCTCAGGTCAGCCCCAGGCCTTAGCCTGGCCAGGGGCACATGCTGTCCTGTTTCGGAGTTTCCAGCAAGGGGATAAAAATCACTCTCTCAGGCCAGGCGCGGTGGCTTATGCCTGTAAACCCAGCACTTTGGGAGGCCGAGACGGGCGGATCACAGGAGGTCGGGGGTTCAAGACCAGCCTGATCAACATGGAGAAACTCCATATCTACTAAAAATACAAAAAATTAGCTGGGTGTGGTGGCACATGCCTGTAATCCCAGCTACTCAGGAGGCTGAGGCAGGAGAATTGCTTGAACCCGGGAGGCGGAGGTTGCGGTGAGCCGAGATCGCGCCATTACACTCCAGCCTGGGCAACAAGAGCGAAACTCCGTCTCAGAAAAAAAAAAAAAAATCACTCTGTGATGCACAGAAAGCCTGAGACAGACACTGGGTAGAGAGAGGGGTCCATTGCTAAGCCCTGGCTGGCTTCTTTATCCCTCTCAGCAGGGGCAGCCCAACAGGTCCCAGTCACGTGGTCTGCATCAAGCAGGCTCCCTGAACACGACTGCCTGGATTTTAATTAAAGTTCAGCAGGAGGTGACTGCAAGTCCAACAATGATTGGAAGCCAGGAGGTGCAGAGGGAAGAGGCTGGAGCTGTGGCTGCTGAAATATTTAGAAATCACAAACAGAATCCCCCCTCCTCCCCTCCTCTCCAGACACGGAAGTCATTTGTTTCTTTTCTGTCTAGAATTTTACCAAAAAAATCAAAAATGGAGCTTGTCCTCACACTTTAGGACACGGAAGAATCCGATGGAAAGCTTGCTAAATTGCAGATTCCTGGGCCTCCACAGGCATCAGATTCAGGAGGCCTGGGAAGGTCTTGGAAGCTGCATTTTTAGCAGGCTTTCTCCTGCTGAGTTTTCTTCAGGAGCTCCATGGGCTACACTTAAAGACACAGACGAGTGGTCACAGCAACTATGTTTTCAGAATGATATTAAATAGTGGAATTCTTTCATTTTCTCCAGATTACTAGGCTGGTAGCCAGTCGGCCTCCTCTCAGAGCTGTGAATGAAAGAAAATACATGGAAATCCAAGATAATAATTATATTTCAACCAGAGCTCTGTTGTGATCTGGCTGACTTGCAAAATGCCCAAATAAGATACTTTTATAAAAATTTCAATAATGTGGCTGGGTGCCATGGCTCATGCTTGTAATCCCAGAACTTAGGGGGTTCGAGGTAGGAGCATGGCTTGAGGCCAGTAGTTCGAGACCAGCCTAGGCAACATGGCAAGATCTCATCTCCACTAAAAGTTAAAAAAGAAAAAAAAATAGCCGAGCATGGTGGTGGCACACAGCTGTGGTCCCAGCTACTTGGGAGGCTGCAGTGGGAGGATCACTTGAGCCCAGGAGGTTGAGGCTGCAGTGAGCTGTGATGGTACCACTGCACTCCAGCATGGGTAACAAGAAAGAGACTGCCAAAAAAAAAAAAATTCAATAATGTAAGGAAAACATATTTTTTTAAAAAATGTATTTATTTATTTATTTATTTTAAGATGGGGTCTCGTTATGTTGCCCAGACTGGCCTCGAACTCCTGGCCTCAAGCAATGCTCCCATCTCAGCCTCCCAAAGTGTTGGGATTACAGGCATGAACCACTGTGCCTGGCTTAGAAAACGTATTTTTAGGACATTTTGAAAATAGTGATACTAGTAATGACACTAAGAAACTGCTTTGTTTGAAGTGAAGTGTGAGTAACCATACAAAGCTCTTTCATTGAAGGAGAGAAAGCTGCCTGACTACAGCAAAGTACTTTAATAATATTTGAAGTAGGATTTTGGAATATTGTTACATGCACGTCACAAACAGAAAATGGAGTTGTTTTTGCTTGGATATGAATTTCTGAATGCAAAAAAATTATCCTTGTTCTGATATTCTTGTGCCTGGCATAGTGACATCAACCTTTGGTATATCTCTGTATAAACCTAATATTCTGTATAAACCTAATATTTATGGTTTATTCTGTATAAACCTAATATTTGAAAAATGATAGCTATCTCCCAGGTCCTGGGAAAAAATCCGTAAATCTCCAGGGTCCGTGTGAATTATTTTTAAGTAGGTCGAGTGCCCTGAGTCCCTCAACACACATCCCCTTTCCTGTCTTTAATTTCTCAGCTCATCTATCCATGGAAAATGTGATAATGAGGAATATGTAAAGGTGTTGTACAAAGCTCCTGGAAGAACTGGAATCTGACTTTCTAAAGATATTTTTAATGCATAATAATATACTTATGAATTCACTGGCTG